>NC_000017.11:10794141-11097171 GCF_000001405.40 Homo sapiens | reverse complement strand
GGGGTGTCCAGCATCAGATAAGGAATGTTCCAAGGAAAGACTGAAGTTAGAGGAGGAGGAAGTGATCATAGAGCCTGAGTTCCAGGGAACACGTAACAGGGTTTAGGCAAACAGATGTGCAAAACCAACTCAGATTTGGTAGTGCAAAAAAGGTAAGATAAGATTGGGAAAGGAAGGGATATGGGAAATTTGATGAAAGGGGTGGTTACGACCACAGCTGTGAGTGATAGCTATGCCCTTGAGTGTCTTTTATGGGGTTTTAATTTCCTATCACTGCTGTAACAAGTTACTGCAAACTTGATAACTCAAAACGAAGTTATTATCTTACAGTTCTGGAGGTCATTAGGTCAAAAATGGGTCTCAATGAACTAAAATAAAGGGATCAGCAGGGCGTGTTTATTCTGGAGGCTCTAGGGGAAAACCTGTTCCTTTGCTTTTTCAAACTTCTAGAGGCTGCCTGCATTCCTCTGCTTGTGTCTCTTTCCTCTGTCTTCAAAACTCGCCATCTCTCTAGTTCTGATTCTTCTCCCTCCCTCGTCCTCATTTTAGGACTCTTACAATTATGTTAGATCCACCTGGAAAATCCAGGAGAATCTCTTTACTTTAAGGTCAGCTGATTGCAAACCTTCATTCCTCCCTACCATGTAACATAAAATATTCACAGGTCTGGCCAGGCGCGGTGACTCACACCTGTAATCCCAGCACTTTGGGAAGCCTAGGGGGGGGCAGATCATGAGGTCAGGGGTTCGAGACCAGCCTGACCAACATGGTGAAACCCCGTCACTACTAAAAATACAAAATTAGCATGGCATTGTGGCGCGTCCCCCTGTAATCCCAGCTACTCAGAAGGGTGAGACAGGAGAATTGCTTGAACCCAGGAGGCGGAGGTTGCAGTGAGCCGAGATGGTGCCACTGCACTCCAGCCTGGGTGATAGAGTGAGACTCTGTCTCAAGAACAACAACAAAATATTCACAGGTCCGGAGAATTAGGATGGGGACATCTTTGGGTGGAGGGGGAGGGCATTGTTGTGCCTACCACATAGTGTCCTGCTTAAGATGAAAGGGTGTGCATAGCCACCTACAGGAGCCGTGCCAGGTAGAACAGGAGGTGATGGGACAGGGGAGGTGAAGGGAATCGCAAATCAGCTACTGATTCCTTTCCAGGGATAGATCCACAGTGGCCCCAAAACTGTTCCAGGACCTCAACATGCAAGGATGGAACCCTGTTCTATGACAGTGGTTCCCAAACTTTACTAAGTATCTGAATCACCAGGAGGGTGTGTGAAAACAGATTTCCTCCTCTCCCCTGCCCATTTGGCTTCAATATGTTAAGGAGTATAGGCTAAGATTTGCATTTTGAAGTTCCCAGGAGATGCTAATGCTGCTGGTTCAGGAGCCACGCTCTGAGAACCAGCACCCTAAATGCTCTTGCTTCAAAAATTCTGTGAATTGAGATATGTTTGTTTGTATGTTTTTTTTTTGTTGTTGTTTTTTGTTGTTGGTGTTGTTCAAAGCATGGCACTTGTGGCCCAGCTGGAATCCCAGCTCCACCATGAATGGACTGTGTGACCCACTCTATTGCTCAGTCTCCACGTCTGTAAAATGGGCACAATACTAATCCCTACCTCATGGGAAAGTCATGAGGATTCAATGAGTTAATAATGTAAAGCATTTCCTAATGCTGTACAAAGTGTTATCTACCATTATTATTTTTTGAGATGGAGTCTCACTCTTGTCACCCAGGCTGGAGTGCAGTGGCATGATCTCAGCTCACTGCAACCTCCACCTCTTGGGTTCAAACGATTCTCCTGCCTCAGCCTCCCAAGTAGCTGGGATTACAGGTGTGCACCACCATGCCCAGCTAACTTTTGTATTTTTAGTAGAGACGGGGTTTCACCATGTTGGCCAGGCTGGTCTCAAACTCCTGACCTCAGGGGATCCGCCGGCCTCAGCCTCCCAAAGTTCTGCGACTACAGGCGTGAGACACTACGCCCAGCCCTATTATCTATTATTTTAAAACTTTATCAGCATAGAAAAAGGAAGAACTAGAGGAAACAGGAGTTTTAAAACAGAGGGAATTTTATACAGGGAATCGGTTTCATAAGGGATGGAAGAACTGAGAAGCCGTGATTAACCACAATGGAAAATCACTGCCACCTTAGGGACAGGGACTACAGAAGGAGAGGGTAGTCCTCTCTCTTGTAGTCCCTGCCCCTAAGTCCAGACCATAGATGCTGAGGCCACACTGGCAACTGCCCAGTGGGAGCAGAGCAGGGGAGGAGTGGGACAGGGGCCTGCCAGCAAACAATAGCTGAGTGGTCCAATAACTAACCCATGGATCTTAGGGATAAAAAGAGCAGAAGAAAAATTCCTCCTGCAGAGTCCAATGATCCTGGCTGATTTGTCTCAGCTCAAGGGTGGCTCAGGCAATCCCCATTCATTTCCCTGTCTTGGAACGATTAACTCAGAAACAACATTTAGAGCAGACACTGAGAGAACATCTCCTCCCACGTGCAATCTGTGCATGTGCTCAGTTCTGCACAAGGAGAATTCATTAGTGCCTGAACGCTCGCTGGAATCCTCATGTGGCTCTGAGAGTGTGTGTGCGCCATCCACGGAGGGGCCCTTTTGGCACATGGAGGAGGCCAGAAGATGCTTGGTGAGATGTATCGCGCGGAACAAACCCGAAGCAAACGGAAAGAGGCGTAAACTGGATGTGTCTGGGAGCTCAGGGAATTGCAATGTCTGTCTTGTTGGCTCTCTTGAATATGCTTCAGGAAGATCGTTTCTCCCCAAGTGGCTTTGCCGTATTGCATGAGAAAAGTGCCTCCTTATGTCATCATGATGAGTAAAAACCACAGACTGTGCGGTGTCTTCCATGAAGGGTGTAAATTCCCTGATGCTGGAAGCTCCCGTTAGGAAACAGAACCATTTGAAGGGGGTTGGAGAAATAACGACATTGGCATTTAGAATGTTGTCCTTATGGTGCTGGTACACAGGGACCTGTCAAATGGACCTGAGTGAGCTGGCCGTGGAATCAAGCTAGAACTGAGGCTATGACCCAGGCCAGATGGGATGCAGGAGATCAGATAACGGAAGGTGTAGGGCTCCTTGGCACGCGTACACGTGGATGAACACACATAGGTGTGTGAAGCTGGAAGACCCTTTCCATGAGCAGCACCCCAAAGTTAAACAGGAAGGAAAAGTCAGCGAACCTCCATTGGCAGGAAAGCTGGGGATGGCATCTTAAGATTAACCAACAAGAGGATGAAATATCCTGTTTAGCATGCATCTTTTGGGATCTCTAAACTTTCAAATCTCCTCTATCCAGTGACCTGTTGTGAAACTCCATTCTTCTACTCCATCCATTCTTGAGTCAGACTTGTCCCTAAAAATGGGAAATTGAGGAATTCCTTGATACAGCATTTTATTTCTTTAAATCTCATCTACTTTTTTTTTTTTTTTGAAACGGAGTCTCTTTTTGTTGCCCAGGCTGGAGTGCAGTGGTGCGATCTCGGCTCACTGCAACCTCTGCCTCCTGAGTTCAAGCAATTCTCTTGCCTCAGCCTCCCGAGTAGCTGGGATTACAGGTGCCTGCCACCACGTCTGGCTAATTTTTTGTATTTTTAGTAGAGACTAGGTTTCGCCATGTTGAGCAGGCTGGTCTTGAACTCCTGACCTCAAGTGATGCGCCCACCTTGGCCTCCCAAAGTGCTGGGATTACAGGTGGGAGCCACCACGCCCGGCCTTTTGTATGTTCTATCACTAAACCATCTCCGCCTTCCCAGAGAGGTCCCACTTTCAATATGAGTCCAGTAGATTTCTGATTATTGATCCAAGGGATGAAGGCAGCTAGTTAATTTTTACTCGAATTGTATAAGTCTTTTCTGATGATGGAAAAAAGTGTGTCCAGCATATGCTAGAAGCAAGGCCACTACCCAAAATATAGCCATTAATAGTGCAGAAAGGTCAAGCTCATTATTATCAACCGTGGCTTCTCACTGTTCTCACCCAAAAGCTTTAATCAATACTCGTGCTTTGGTACCATTCCAGGGCAATCGAGATGCAATTCCAGCACCTCATCATATAGCTATGGCTAATGAGTTAGGCTTCCCCTTTCTTAAGGGTTCTGATTCATTAGACCTAGAGTAAGACCTAGAGTTATTATTATTATTATTATTTTTGAGATGGAGTCTCGCTCTGTTGCCCAGGCTGGAGTACAGAGGTGCAATCTTGGTTCACTGCAACCTCCGCCTCCCGGGTTCAAGCGATTCTCCTGCCTCAGCCTCCCAAGTAGCTGGGACTACAGGAATATGCCACCACGCTCAGCTAATTTTTTTGTATTTTTAGTAGAGACAGAGTTTCACTGTGCTAGCCAGGGTGGTCATGATCTCCTGACCCCGTGATTTGCCCGCCTTGGCCTCCCAAACTGCTGGGATTACAGGGGTGAGCCACTGCGCCCAGCCTGGAGTCAGTATTTTTAACTAGCGCCCAAAATGATTTTGACTGATAAGCTGTGGGGACTGACCCCAAAGCTTCTTGTACCCATGAAATGCCACCATGAAACAAGAAAGCTGCAAATGTTCCCAAGTGTCCTGTGTTCTAGACAGGGCTCAAACCAATTAGCGGTAAAGCATGGTAGGGAAAACCAAGATTTGATTAGCAAAGAAACATTACACTTAAAAATTAGTCAGAGGCTGAGGCAGGAGAATTGCTTGAACCCGGGAGGCGGAGGTTGTGGTGAGCTGAGATTGCGCTACTGCACTCCAGCCTAGGCGACAGAGGGAGACTCCGTCTCAAAAAAAAAAAAAAAAAAAAAAATTAGTCAGAAAGGTCTTAAATCAATACCTTCATTTTTGTATTTAAATCTTTTCCTGAATCTGGGTGTGGTGGCATGTGCGTGTAGTTCCAGCTATTTGAGAGGCTGAGGTAGGGGGATCACTTGAGGCCAGGAGTTCCAGGCCAGCCTGGGCAACATTTGGGTCCTCTTCTCTTAAATTTTTTTTAAATGAAATATTTTCCTGAGTTCATTTTTTCTTAATATTTTTTAAAGTTATGGTTGGTTAACACTTTGCATATTATTTTTATTACATCAGAGATTTTTGCTTTGAGAAAAATAGGCAATAGTTGAGATCGCATTCTATAGACATATATTCATCTTTATTAGTCATTCTTGTCCATGAAAAGCAAGAGAAATACCCCATGCGGTCATAACTTGAGGTTGCATGCGAAAAAGCATGAACTCTAAAGCCAATGGCCTGATTTCCTTCCACCTGCTTCAAGATCTGTAGGCAGACTGCTTAATCTCTGTTCTTCAATTTACTTATATCTAAAATATAAAATGGGAAGAATAACAAGCCTTACTTCCTAGGATTGTTGTGAGGACTTAAAAAGTTAACAATAATATGCATAAGACACTTACAAAAGGGTCTGGCATTTAGTAAGCACCTAGCTACAATTATTATCATTTCCACTATTCATCTTTTGGTAGATACTATGCTCATGGTACCATAGCAGAAGACAAGAACACAACTCCGAAGGGCTGATCTGGTAGACTCCAAGCCAACAAAGTGCCAAATGACCATTACAGGATTCAATCCTTTTTCTAGCATTTCTCTAGAAATGTCATATAGGACATAGTCACTAAGTTTCATTAGCTTCCAATTTGCTGGGCCGAATAATGGTGATTAGGGAAGAAAGCAATCAAAGGGGGTCCCATACATCTCTCCCTTCCACCAACTCTCAGGCACACCCTATACTTCTGTCCCTCCTCAGCCCCCAGCACCACCTCCCCATCCCTGCCTGAAATTGGCTTCAATATGGCTCATCCGGGATCAGAAAGAAGGACATTTTATTTCAGTTCCTTCCAATGGGTCTCTGCCTTGGGAGGTGGGATTTTATCAACCCATGAATTGTGGCCCTCAGGGGACCCGTAATATTTATAACCACAGCTTTTGGTGTGGAGTTGCTGAAGCCAGCAATTTGTTAGGAAGACATAACAGACATAACAGAACTGAAAGCTGCTAAATAACAGCTCTCCTGCCCTCTCGTCTAGGTGCCCAGGAACTTCAGGATCCAGGGGATGATTTTATTGCCTGTGTTTCTGCCTGCTAAAAGGTATTATTTCCTTTCCCCTGGTGATTCCTTCAAGCCAGAGCTGGCTGCTGGGTTGGTCCCGTAAAAGACAGGAGCAGCCCGTGAACCAGGACAGAAACTCAAGTCAGGAGTGGCATTATATTTTTAGGTGGCAAGTCCCTTGCATTATGTTTTTCAGGAAACTTAAGCAAGATAGTAAACTGACAGGATGCACGTGGAAACCACGGAAGATAGGGAATCCCTGTCTGCTACATGAATAACACCATGGCCTAAGGACTGGAAGATGTGCCACTACCACTGAGTGATTCTGTTCAAGATCTTGGTAAGAGCCTGGCATGGAGTGAATGCTCAGTGAACAGAAGTTTTTAATAACGCGATGAGCACTACCAAGTCTCTAGGGCACTATTCCTGGTCCAATCCTTTTCAGAGGACATGTGGAAATTGTAGCAATAATAAATAATAATAATAAAGTATCTATGGCCAGGTGCAGTGGCTCACGCCTGTAATCCCAGCACTTTGGGAGGCCGAGGCAGGTGGATCACGAGGTCAGGAGATCGAGACCATCCTGGCTAACACAGTGAAACCCTGTCTCTACTAAAAATACAAAAAATTAGCCAGGCGTGGTGGCGGGTGCCTGTAGTCCCAGCTACTTGGGAGGCTGAGGCAGGAGAATGGCTTGAACCTGGGAGGCGGAGCTTGCAGTGAGCCGAGATTGCGCCGCTGCACTCCAGCCTGGGCGACAGAGCGAGACTCTGTCTCAAAATAAATAAATAAATAAATAAATAAAATAATAATAATAATAAAGTATCTATAAGAACTTTCTGCTGTCTCTAGATGATGCAAGCTTTTACCAGGTTTGAGGAACTGAGCTAAATGTATTAAGTTTCAGATCAATTCCTGGCCCTTCTCTAGGAACATTACTTAGATACTATATTTCTTTGTATAAGCCTACTTGTTTGAAAAAGTTTGAAACTAAGGTGGAAGCAATGCGGTAGTGGGAAAAAAATCACTGGGCTGAAAATCTGACTTGGAATATGTAGGGAGTTTGAGGGATTTGGAGGCAGAGCAAGGAGACGGGGGTGATCATGAAAGGCAATAACATACAATAAGCTGTATTGGACAGTGCATGGACAGGGCTGGGACATCCCTTATGGCATGAGACTGTCTGCAAGTTCATGGATGGAGGCAGAGGCCACCATCCAGAAGGGGAGGCGGGCAAGGGAACTACTGGGGCTGGAGGAATTAGAAAGGGGGCTTAGTTTAGGTGACGTTGCTCAGCAGCAAGGTAGGAGGATCTGGGTCGGAGAGGGCCTAAGGCCAGGGTCGTAGCAGCTTGGAGGCTTTATGGCCAACGTATGTGGCCTGAGGTTTCCTGGAATATGCAAAGGAGACAGACTTGAAATGGCTACAAATCTGCTTGTTTGGGCTATTTTTAAAACAACTGGGTGCATGAAAATTTGAGTTTAGCCCCAGCTTTTGAAATAAGCAACAAAGAGGCTAATATACAGACACCACCTTTGGATAATTTATTTATTTATTTATTTATTTTTATTTTTTTGAGATGGACTCTCGCTCTGTCGCCCAGGCTGGAGTG
Source organism: Homo sapiens (assembly GCF_000001405.40). NCBI lineage: Eukaryota > Metazoa > Chordata > Mammalia > Primates > Hominidae > Homo > Homo sapiens. Next base: position 11,089,481 of record NC_000017.11, on the reverse strand, counting down.
CAGCGGCGCAATCTCGGCTCACTGCAAGCTCTGCCTCCTGGCTTCACGCCATTCTCCTGTCTCAGCCTCCTGAGTAGCTGGTACTACTTGGCCACCCGCCACCATGTCCGGCTAAGTTTTTGTATTTTTAGTAGAGACAGGGTTTCACCGTGTTAGCCAGGATGGTCTCGATCTCCTGACCTTGTGATCCGCCCGCCTCGGCCTCCCAAAGTGCTGGGATTACAGGCGTGAGCCACTGCGCCCGGTGGATAATTTCTATAACGGAGTGCTGAGACAATGATTTCCTGGCTGTGTTGCCTTGGAAGATTTCTTGACTGTCTTTGAGCCATGGCTTTTCCATCCATTAAATGGTGATAACTACTTTGCAAATTTGTTGAGACTTAAAATCAAAGATCCAAGCCCAAGGATTTCAAGCACTTTTCGGTTTGGTTCTGTTTTGATTTTGGCCACTTTATTTCAACTTGAGAAAGTGAAATGGTAGCTATTCCTTTCATGGAACGTCTTAAAATGGGAAGAATAGGCCCCGAAATTGAACTCTTTCCTCCCTCTCACCTCTTTAACCCTGACCTTGAATATGACATCCCTACCCACCTGATGCTTGAAATGTAGGAAAGTAGAGGATAGAAAAGAATAATCCAAGAAAGAAAGAGGAGAATGAGAGGAAAGCGGTGAATATAGAGAGGGTTGTGGGGCCGAGGGGGCCGGGGGGCAGCGGGGGGAGGCTCCTGGTACATAGACATAGGCAAGGAAGTAAAATAAACATACCAAAAGTAAAACCAGGGTGTGTCTCCTTTCTAGCCCTCCATCTCCGCCTGAAGTGTTCAGGCCCCCTCCTGCTCCAGCCTCATGGATGACATGCCTTGGCCCCAGAGTGTCGGTCCCCTTCACCTGACACAGCCTTGACCATCCATTACCTGCTCTGCAGGGGCAGAACTTAGCTTCAGAACCTGCTATGATCTGCCTCTCTCCTGGTCTCTGGGGGTATCAGTAGCGTGTTAGTGGAACTGTATTTCTCCTTGTGCCGGGATTTCTCAACCTCATCACTGTTGCCAGATAATTCTCTGTTATGGGGGACTATGTTGTGTATTGTAGGATGTTTAACAGCGTCCCTGGCCCCTACTCACTAAATGCCAGTAGCACCAGTCCCTAGTTGTGACAATCAAAATTTCTCCAGACATTATCAAACATCCTCTGGGTGTCAAGGAGGGGACAAAAATTGTCCCCAGTTCAGAACCACTGCCTCATTCTACCTTTTTTTTCTGATCATTTTCTTCTAAGATGAAATTAAACTAAAATACAAAAGACATAGTTTGGATGTGTGTCTCTGCCCAAATCTCCAGTGTCGGAGTTGAGGCCTGGTGGTAGGTGATTGGATCATGAGGGCGAATTTTGCATGAGCAATTTAGTACCATCCCCTTGGTACTATCTTCATAATAGTGAGCGAGTTCTTATGAAATCTGGTCATTTAGTAGTGTGTAGCACCTCCTTTCTCTCTCCCTTGATCCCGCTATGGCCATGTGAGGTGCTACTCCCACTTCACCTTCTGCCATGACTGTAAGTTTCCTGAGGCCTCCCCAGAAGCCAAGCAGATACCAGCATCATGATGCTTCCTTGTACAGCCTGCAGAATTGTGAACCAATTAAACCTCTTTGCTTTATAAATTACCCAGTCTCCAATATTTCTCTGTAGTAATGTGAGAACAGCCTAATACAACAAGAGATGAAGTCTCCTTCCAGTAAAATCATTTCGCAAGGTCTCCGACATATGTAAGCATGAGCTAAGGGCAATGTCCTCTTAGTACCTTCTTGGAGACCTCCGCTGGAGGTAAGTGCTCCTTCCTGAAAATTTTTACAGCACTTTGTACCTCTCATCACATTACCTTTCTGTTATAATGAAAGTTCCTATGTTATAAGCATCAATATCATCAATCTTTAAGTCCTTGGAGAACCTAGAACTAGGCCTGAAACATGATCACACAATGATGTACTGTTTGGCCAGCACAGATTCCATCCCCAATCCCCACTCCTGTTGGTTCTTGTTGGAAACAGGCTACTGGGGACAAGTGACCCTGGTGAGCATCTCATTTAGGCTGTGAGTACCTTGCATTCAGGTGCTCTGTTCCATTCATGTCTCTTATTCCCAGATCTCACACAGGCCTGGTCCAGATGTGTTTTCATCTGTCTTCCTTCCATTTCAGTTCAGTAGGTCAGGGGTGCGGGCTAAGGAGTAAAATTCCTCCACAATTATTTCTTGAATTAATGTGTCCCTCCGGTGTGCTAGCCCCTTTGACATCCCTTTTCTTCTTCGTTACTCCCTTAGAGCTCCATAAAACCTCCACCTGCCAGAAACAAGCAGCTGTATCTCCACGGAGCCAGAATCCAACCGTTTCTCAGAAGTTTGCTTTGCGTTGTGGGCCAGTCAGCACCAATTATTAAAAAAACATTTTTCAGCAAAATCTAGAGCAATGATGTTCCCAGCCCACTGTCAGGGTTGCCTCACAATAAAGCCTTCCTATTGGCAGGGGAGAGAAAATGAGAAACATGGAAATTTAATATCTTTGCATTATGCAGATCTGATTTAATCAGTGATGAGGGTGAAGTGCAATAAAAACTATAGTTTCATTATGTTTATGACTTTCAGACTGTATGTCAATTATTTTGTTACCATGGCCACCAGCGGTAACAGCCTCCATACGATTGTTTCCCCACAGAGGCTGAACAGGAGGAAAGGGATATGAAACAGGAATGAATTTCCCATTTTATGCCCTTTTCCTGTGTTGGAGGTTTTGGAAAGGAGTAAATCAAGTTTCAAGAGTCATGTAGAGTCCTCTTTGAAAAAGAGCCAGAGAGTGGGAAAAAAAAGGAGAGAGGCTGTCTGTCTTCTGGTTTTCACTTCTTTCAAGACAACTGTTAGAGACCCTTACCTTCCAGGGGCAGCCAGGAATATTACTACATGTTAAGCAGTTGAGCTACAGATGTGAACGAAAAGAGCCTTCTGTTGCCCAATCCTCTCTCCATGGTTTGCCAACATGATGATCAGCCAAAACTTTACTCTCTGCTCTTCTCAAGAACTGCCATGGAAAGCTAAATTTGTGGAAGAGGGTTGATGGCAGCTGCTTAAATGGTGTATTATATAGCTGCCACGTCTTCTGCACACTCCATGAGCCACGAGGGCATAGCAATCACCAAAGTACGTTGTTGACAATTTCATGGTAGGAAGATTGGCTGGTGGCTCCTAATATAACTTTGTCCCCATACTGCATGTTTTATAGATATTTGGGGGACAGGAGGAACAGCTCTACCTAGGAAGGAGAGAGTGGCTACTCTTAGACATGATGTTGAACAGAACCTGTTAGTTGCCTGCCTGACACCCATTCTTATTCTTCCTTACAGAATGTAAAATTCTGATTTTGTTCAGCATGGCTCTTACAAACTGTCTCTTACAAGCTGTCCCGCTAAAACTGCTCCATTCTCCAGATTCCTTTTCAGCTAGGGGTGGCCATAGGACCCATTTCTGGCCAATGACAATTGATTTGAGGGTACAGGAGGAGGTAGTTTTCACGTTCCTGATTGTAGCAGATGACTTCTTTGCCTTCTACCACATCTTATTCACCTACCTCTGATTTCACCACAGCTGTGGTAGGCAACTCCAGGCCCACTGTCAGTGTCGCCATTTCAAGGGCACGCTATGGCATGGCTTTATTTTTCTGCCTTAGGGCTTTCTTCAAAGTCACAGTAGTCTACTCAACTCACAGCCTGGCACAGTCAGAAGGGGAAAGGATGTTACCCTGGGGGTTAACCCTCAACCAGTGGAGTATGGCAGCCAGTGGCTTACTGCCCCCAGCTTCGTGTTCTTCAGAAAAAAAAAAAAAATTCTAGGAAGCATTCTGTATTAGTCTGTTCTTACACTGCTACCTGAGACTGGGTAATTTATGAAGAAAAGAGGTTTAGTTGACTCACAGTTCCACAAGCTTAACAGGAAGCATGACGGGGAGGCCTCAGGAAATTTATAATCAGGGCAGAAGGTGAAGGGGAAGCAAGTACCCTTCTTTACATGGCAGCAGGAAAGAGAGAGAGAGAGAGAGCACAGTGAGGGAGATGCCACACACTTTTAAATCACCAGATCTTGTGAGAACTCACTTGCTGTCACGAGAATAGCAAGGGGACAATCCATCCCCATGATCCAATCACCTCCCACCAGGCCCCTCCTACAATTCGAGATGAGATTTGGACAGGGGCACAAGTCCAAACCGTATCTCATTCTGTATGTTTCTCCAAGATTCCCTAGGAGCTGAACTCTCCTGCAGGAGTTGTAGTAATGAATCCTTTATTAGCTCCTCCTTCCCTGTCTCATTCTCAAAGAATCACTGGGTAGAGATTTTGCAGAGGGATCCTTATGTATGTCTTTTCTCTCCAAATAAATCTAAGTCTCTCTGGGACATGAATGATGCCTCATATTATACCTCTAAATATCTTCTACCACTTAGCACAGTGCTGACTAGAATGCCCACTGACACTCTATGATTAGTTCATGGCTTGGATTTGCAACGTTGTGTATCAGTTAGATCATGGTTAATAATTTTTAAATATAGAAATGGGTTTCATTTGAAGTGAAAAATGCATTTGATTTTCAAGAATTTTCTACTTACTCAAGTGGATATATCTAGTCTACAGAGAAGTTCAGAAGCCAAGTTCTCCCTCTCTCTCTCTTTTATCTCCTTGTCTTTAAGAAAACAAAACGATTTCTCTGAATAAGATAAATCCATGTAGCAGAACAGAACTAGATGATAAGGGCAATGTGATATTTGACAAACTGCAGTGTGTAATTCATGCCCTGACAGTTCTTTCACTTTATCTATTTCTTAGGTTTTACCCCCAATTTCAGCTCATTTGAGTGGTGATGTTCTTTTGACTGCATCAGCCTGATTTTCACCTCCAACTCTGCTTTCTCCTGCCTGTCCTTTCTCAATCACAGATCCATGCTCCCTGGGCTTCGTTTTCCCCTTCATGTAAGTATCCCCCATCCATACTTGTTCATTCATCTCACAAAGGCTTCACATTCAGAAAGACCATTTGGATTTCACTTCTGAGACTCTGAGAAAATCATTGAACTTCTCTGAACCTCATCATCAGGTATGATGAGAGGATGCTACTGATAACTTAGTATAATGCCTGGAACATAATGAGCATTCAGTACACTGTTGTTTTTCTTATGTCATCATTGTTTACTCTTTCATGACTGTCTAAGTATCTTAAATACTTAAGGGATTACTTTTATGAGGGAGGCAATATCATAGAGTGGTCAAGAGTACAGCTTTACAGAGAGTAGACTGAAGCTCAAACCCAAATTCTGCCAGCCCCCAAGAAATCCTCCAATGATTCTCTCCTCCTCATAGTTACACCCTTGTGTTGGAGCTTCCCCCACTGGATCATGGCAGTCCTGTGTACACAGAAGAACATGGTAGAAGTGCCAGTGTGCAATTTCTGGGGCTAGGTTATGAAGACACTGTCATTTCCACCTTGCCCTCTCTCTCGAATTGCTCACTCTGGACAAAGCCAGCTGAAATGTTGCAAAAACATTACAGCATCCTCTGGAGATACCCATGTTGACCCAGGAGAAACTGAGGTCTCCTTACAAAAGCCAGCACCCACTTGCCAGTCATATGAGTGAATTATCTTGACAATGGGTCCTCTGGCCCCAGTCAAGCCTTCATATGTTGCAGCCCCAGCTGACATCTTGACTGTAATCTCAGGAGGGATCCTCACCCCAAAAAACCCAATGAAACAATCCCTGAATTTCATACCTAGACATTTTATGAGATGATAAATGTCTATTACTGTCTTAAGCCTCTAAGTTGTGGGGTAATTTGTTATGAAAAATAGGTAGCTAATATACTATGTTGATAGTATGGGGGAGCTCCTTATAAGCCTTAATTTCCTTATATGCAAGATGAGAATAATTAATTGCACTTACTTCACTTACTTCAGAGTGTTGTTAAGAGGATGCACAGAGTTAATATATGCATAGCAATTATGAAATTTTCTTGCACAGTAAATGCTCAGTATATAGTAATACTGTTATTGATAATAAATATTTTTATCCTATTGTGCATATAACACTATTCTCCTGAAGTACTTTAAGGAGCCAACCTTCTGTTTATATCAAATTATGTCTATAATAGAAGGAACATGAATCACAAAGGACATGACACTGCCTGATTCAGTAATAATCTGGATCCTAAGGATCAGAGACCTCCTGGACCAAGGAACTCTGAGAAGAAGTAATTTAAGAGGCAAAATGCTCAACTCTTCTTTGACTTGTTAACGTACCTGTATAATTGATACCCTGTTTATTGCTTTCTATAAAAAGCTAGAGTTAAATTTTAGTTGTGCCCATTATTAAAGATAAAGACTGTCCTGTTTATTAAAAAATGAGTGAAGACTGTGGGGGTATTTCTGCTGTCTATAGTTCTTTAAATCAAAGCTCTCTGGATTAATCCCCAAGCAGATGAAGGTCTGGGGCAGCCCAGCCCAGGTGCTAAGTGTTCTTCAGGCTGAAAGAATTGTAGAGAGCAGAAATAGCCCACAGTCTTCACTTCCTTTTTAATGAAAAGGACAGTCTTTTTGTTTAACAATGGGCACAGCAAAAATTTAACCCTAGCTTTTTACACAGAGCAATAGCAAAGCACAACATTTAACTAGCATTCATTTGGAACTCCTCTCTGCAGGATAATCTGTAATTGAGCTGATTAGCAAGAAGTGTTTGAAGAGCTTTTTTTGTCAACTTAGCTTGTGCAGATACCCAGCTGGCTCCTAGGTGCAGTTTATCTGTGGCTGCCCTTCAGAAGTGCAGTGTTAATTATTTTATTAGCTCCTGCCCTTAGAATTCCTTGAGAATTTAAGAGCTATTAAGATATCTTTCACTGTTGAAGCTCTTACCTCTCCTACTTGGTGTGGACAAGTACTACAGAATGGAGAGATGGAAAAAAGATGTTAATTAATTAATTAGCTGGGCATGGTAATGCGTGCTTGTAGTTTCAGCTATTCAGGGGGCCGAGGCAGGAGGACCCCTTGAGCCCAGGAGTCTGAGGCTGCAATGTGCTCTGATCTTGCCACTGCACTCCAGTTTGGGTGATAGAGTGAAACTCTATCACTAAAAGGTAAAAATTTTAAAAATCAAGAATGGAGAAGTGGACTTTCACCTTCATCTCTTAAAAACTGAACATCTGAAGACTTCCTCCTTATTTCTCAAATGCATCCCTCTTCCCTCATAAACTTTTAACTCCTTAGAACACACACAACTGGAACATACTTGGTGTTATGAACATGTTGTTATGTTGATAACACAAATTCATAAATAGCTCCTTCAGAGTAGAATAGAAGCCTCTGCTCATCATTGACTGGTTCATGAGGAGGAGGGTGGTGGGGAAGAAGAGGCAGATAAATCCCTAAGATTCTTGGTCCCTGGTGGTGGACTGTTCCTTGCAGACCCGGAGCCTGGCATTTCATCAAGAAGCATAACATAGCCAGTGCTTTGGGGTTTTGTGACCCATCTGCCTTTCATACCACCTCTTATTGCCCCTTGTCACAAGAAATAGAAAATGGAACATGATTAAATGTCACTATCCTTATAGGTACCATGCAAGGAAAATCAACTGAGGTGTCAGGTCATCCATGCTTTTGTGTCAGCTCTACCTCTAATTAGCCAGTCATGTTGGGCAAGTCATTTGTCTCATCTCTGGGGTATCTTGTTGTTCTTAACCTAAAAAAAGGAAACATCTACCTAGCGCAATTTCCAGGCTTCTGGTTTGAGTCACAGGAAGGGAAAAAGCACTCAAATTTGAATGCCACTATGTGCCAGGCTTTTTATAGACATGATTTTATGTAATCTGTATGCAACCCATGAGATAAGTGTTTAGTCACTTTTTTTATAAATGAGAAAGCAAAGTTCAGAGTCCAGTCACCTGACTCGACCCCTCCCACTCCAGACCACACGCTCCTACCTCTCATCCAACCACCAATGGCAAGAATGCTTTGCCATGCCTATGTCCTGAATGGTATTGCCTAGGTTTTCTTCTAGGGTTTTTATGGTTTTAGGTCTAACATTTAAGTCTTTAATCCATCTTGAATTAATTTCTGTATAAGGTGTAAGGAAGGGATCCAGTTTCAGCTTTCTACGTGGATGAAACTGGAAACCATCATTCTCAGCAAACTATCGCAAGGACAAAAAACCAAACACCGCATGTTCTCACTCATAGGTGGGAATTGAACAATGAGAACACATGGACACAGGAAGGGGAACGTCACACACTGGAGATTATTGTGGGGTGGGGGAAGGGGGGAGGGATAGCATTAGGAGATACACTTAATGCTAAATGACGAGTTAATGGGTGCAGCACACCAACATGGCACATGTATACATATGTAACAAACCTGCACGTTGTGCACATGTACCCTAAAACTTAAAGTATAATAATAATAAAATAAAATAAAAAAAGAATGCTTCCCATTTTTGAAGTGCATAACTAGCATTTGGCACAGTCTGTACTTCGATGCTCCCATGTCACCCTGTGCTTATTTCTATTATCGCATCACAATGTTTTCTAATATTCTGTTTGAATGTATGTATCTCCCTGTGAGTTGGAGCTCCTTCAGGGCAGGAGTCTTCTGTATGTTTGCATGCCTAGTATATACAAGGTGTTCAGAAAACATTTTCATGTAAAATTTGTCATGTGCTTTTTTTTACCTGGAAAATATGACGAAAATTTAAGTGGCTCCTCATCTCTTCAGCCAGATAACACTGTTAGCCTTAAAATAATATTAAACATATTACATGAACATTGTTAAAAAAAAGTCAAAATGGTACCAAAATGAAAAATAAAAGTTTCTTTTTCTTCCTCTACCTCTGGTTTCTTTCTACAAAAGTATCAAACTAAAACTTTCCTTTCGTTGGCATCTTTCTTAAGAATTTATATACATATACACATGTGTGTATATATATATATATATATATACACGTGTATATATATATATATATATACACGTGTATATATATATACACACACACATATATATGCATGCATATATGTGTGTGTGCATGTGTATTCTTATATATACTATAAATATTATATATATGCACACACATATATTTGCACACTAAACACACTGATCTGTACTGTGCTCTTTCACTTAATAATTTGAAATTATCCTATCAGAATAGAGAGCTACGTCATATTCTTAACCTACGCATAGCATGGTATTCCATTATATGGATGTTCCATAATTTAACTATTTCCCAACTATTGAATGTTTAGGTTATCTGCAGTTTTTTCCCTTAGCTATTCCTACAATAACCAACCTTCTCCAAACATCTTGATGTTCTTTTGTATCTGCATCCATATCATTACATTAACAATGTTGATGACATTTACATTATACCATGAAAAATATATGAACAGTCTTTTGTGTAAAAGCTGATTTTGAAAGTGGAAGAAACAACCAAACACGTGTATAATATTATGATTGTGCAAGTCATTTACATTGTACAGCCAAAAAATGGTCTAGGATTATAATTCCCTATTTACAAACTGTAATGGTCAGTTTTATGTATCACCTTGGCTAGCCTAGAATTCCCAGCTATGCAGTCAAACACCAATCTAGGTGTTGCTATGAAGGTATTTTTTAGATGTGATTAAAGCTCCTAGTCAGTTGACTTTATGTAAGAGAGATCATCTTAGATGATCTGAGTAGGCCTGAATCAATCAGTTCAAAGACCGTCTTTCTTGACATCCACTCATGTTTTCCTGGGGTAAATAGTTGACTCTCCATACCCAAGTGTTCTACCTCTGAAGATGCAACGAACATTGGATCCAAAATATATGGAGAAAGACATTGCACCTGTACTGAACATGTATAGAATTTTTTCTTGTCATTATTCCCTAAATAATATAGTACAACAACTATTTACCTAGCATTGAATTGTATTAGGTATTATAAGTAATCTTGAGATGATTTAAAGTATATGGGAGGATGTACATAGCTTATATGCAAATGCTGGGACATTTTATAGCAGGGACTTGTGCATCCCCAAATTTTGGCATTGGAGGGGGACCCCAAAACCAATGTCCCATGAATCTTGAAGGCCAACTATACTCAGCTTTCCTAGAAAGGCATCATGGGAGGCAAATTTTAAGTTCTTGAAAATTACAGAGTCTTTTCCCTCTCCATCTCGATTTGTCTGATAATATAATTGATCATAGAATTTAGGTTCAAAATCATTTTTCCCAAAACTTTGCCTTCCAGCATTTAGTGTTGCTATGAGAAGTTTTTTGCCTGGCTAATTTTAGCCTCTTTGTGTATGATTCCTTTTCTTTTTTTTTTTTTTAAGTCTTTGAGGATTATCTCTTTCCCCTTGTTTTTGTGGAATTTCATATGATGTGCGTTGGTGTGGATATTTCTGGAACTTTACATGAGTTGTCTCAGTATGGAACTTTTTTTTTCTTAAATCCCAGTCTGCATTGGGAAGGCCCTTTAGAATCTTCAAGCACATCTCTTTTCAGCCATGGAACTTTTTTTCCTCTTTGTTACTGTTTTTTTGCTCCCCTTCATTTTCTTTATAATTTCTTTCTAGGATTCTACTTCAGAGTTGTGACTCTTAATTTGATTTCCCATGCTCCTTATCCTTTTACTTGCATTTCTACATCTTTGGTTTCTTGTTCTGTGATCTGTGAGATATCCTTAATAATTTCTTCCATCTCTTTATAGAATTTTTAATTTTAGCCATCACACACTTACTTTCAAAGCACTTTCTTATTTTTTTATTTGCACCATTTAATATATAATATCTTCTTGCTGTTTTATGGTTAAAATATCTTCCCAAACTACTATGCAGTTACTAGTTAGAGTTTCTTCTTCTTCTTCTTCTTCTTCTTTTTTTTTTTTTTTTGTTGTTGTTGTTTTTGTTTTTAAGTCCTCTAGTTTCTGGCACCAATTGTTCTATTTGTTCATCTTAGATTTTCTCTTTAATGTCAATTTTCTATCATATGTTTGCTAGATGAGGGATCGAGTTGATTTTTTGAACTCATCTAATGCTGTTGCTTATCTTGGTTAATTTTCTACTGGGTCTGTGCCGCGGATGGGAAGGCTGACTAGGATTATATAATGGGAGAGGCTGGCGGTGGGAGCATCTTGGTGTGAACCCAATTGCCAAAATTTGGGATGACTCAACCCCATCCACTCCCTCCATACACTGCCATCTGCTCTACCTGCCCTCACTACTCTCAGGCATCATATTCTAGTTCTTTAGAGAAGAGTCCTCTATTTCTTATAAATTAACCAGCTATCATACTGAACTTTTCCAATTTTATATAATTACAGTTTGTCAGTTGGCTCTTTTGCTTTTACATAGTATACAATTATAACTGCAAATAAGAAAATTTTGCTTCCTCTGATTTAATTCTCTTATCTAATTGCATTGGTTAGTACTAAAAGAAGTGCAGAAGAGTACTAAATAGTATTTGCCCTAGGAGTTTTGTCTTTCATTCCTAAATTCCCCAGCAAGTAAAGTGCTAACTTTTAATTTGTGCTATATAATTTATTACGCAATTTTCATAAGGGTTTGTTTTTCTTGCTTTATTAAGAAGTAAGATCTAGTGTTTTCAGATGACTTTTAGCATCTATTAGGATCATGTAGTGCTTCTCTCTTAACCACCTGTATTAGTTTCCTGGGACTATCACAACAAAGTTCTATAAACTGAATGCCTTACACAACAAAAATGTGCTGTCTCACAGTTCTAAAGCCTAAAAATCTAAGACCAAGATGCTAGCACTGTCCTGAGGGCAGTGAGGGAGAATCTATTCCATGCCTGTAGCCTAACTTCTGGTGGTTTACTGGCAGTCTTTGGCATTTCTTGGCTTGTTGATGCATCACCCTGATCTCTATCTTTATCATCATGTGATGTTCTCCCTGTGTGCATGTCTATATCTGTGTCCAAATTTCCCTTTTCCTAAGGACACCAGTCATATTAGATCAGGGTCCACTCTAATGACCTCATCTTAACTTAATATCACATAGACTCTATTTCCATAGACTCTATAGGCACTAGAACACCTTTTTGGAGACAAAATTCCGGCCATAACAACATCTTTACACTCACTGGGGGAAAAAAACCTACTTGGTTAGAAACACTATATGAACCTAATAGATGCTAAAAGTCATTTGAAAGTCACTTGGTAATGGTAGGCCATTCATTCGATATTTTGCTAATTTATTTTTTATAATATTTTGGTGAAGATTTTCTCCATTGATCATCACAAGTAAGCTTGGTCTTTCCTTGTGTTATTTTTATTAGATTTTGAAATACAATTTTTTTTCTTTTCAGACGCAGTCTCACTCTGTCGCCCAGGCTGCAGTGCAGTGGCGTGATCTAGGCTCACAGCAACTTCCTCCTCCCGGGATCAAGCGATTCTCCTGCCTCAGCCTCCTGAGTGGCTGGGATTACAGGCACCCACCACCATGCCCAGCTAATTTTTTGTATTTTAATAGCTGGGACTACAGGCGTGCACCAACATACTCAGCTAATTTTTGTATTTTTAGTAGACACGGGGTTTCACCATGTTGGGCCAGGCTGGTCTCAAACTTCTGACCTCAAGTGATCTGCCAGCCTTGGCCTCCCAAAGTGCTGGAATTACAGGTGTGAGCCACCACACCTGGCCACCCTGCAGGCTGCAACCTTTTATGAGAAATACAGCTCTTCCTTCCAAATTTATGAACCCCATCACTCTTCAATTAACACTCGGTAACTAACTTTTGGGGGCGTGATCTTCCCCACAAAATATGATTCCAGCAAAGGCCCCATGAAGAGAAGGAGCTATTTGCTCCAGATATAAACGGTCTCCGAAAGGTTGAAGTGGCCTATCATTTCCTATACCATATTTTTAAAAATTTAACAAAAGCTTACATTTGGCCTTTTGAAGTGTTATTTTATCTGGCAATGCTGACTGCTATGGACTAAATGTTGTATCTCTCCAACATTCATATGTTGCAGCCCTAACCACCAATGTGATGGTATTTGGAGATGAGGCCATGAGGGTAGGAGTCCCTCCCGATCTCATGATAGGATTACTGCCCTTATAAGAAGAAAATATATGGCTAAATGCATGAACCAAGGAAAGACAATGTGAGGACACAGCAAGAAGGTGGCCATCGGTCAGGCATGGTGGCTCACGCCTGTAATTCCAACACTTTGGGAGGCCGAGGTGGGTAGATCGCGAGGTCAAGAGATCGAGACCATCCTGGCCAACATGGTGAAACCCCGTCTCTACTAAAAATACAGAAATTAGCTGGGTATGGTGGCACGTGCCTATACTCGGGAGGCTGAGGCGGGAGAATCGCTTGAACCTGGGAGGCGGAGATTGCAGTGAGCTGAGCTGAGATCGCACAACTGCACTCCAGCCTGGCAACAGTGCAAGACTCCAAAAAAAAAAAAAAAAAAGAAGAAGGTGGCCGTCTGTAAACCTGAAGGACAGCCCTCACCAGAACCCCAACCATGCTGTCACTATGATGCTCTGATGTCGAACATTCAGCTTCCAAAACTGTGAGAAGTAAACTTCTCTTGTTTAAGCCACACAGTCTATGGTACTTGGTTATAGCAACCCAAGCAGACTAAAACATTGGCTCACATAGCACTTATTACCAAAATATCTAAATATTCAGTCTTATGACTTCCCTTTTTATGTTTGCATTGATTCTTTTGAACAAAAATAGTAAGATTTACACCTATACCTATTACGTTTGATCTGCTTATTAAATGTTTTTATTTATGTAATCTCAAATCTTTTACTGTAAACTGTAGTACTTTTTCATTACTCCCAAGATGAGTCTTGTAAGCTACAAAGGTAAGAGAGGGGCCTGGTTTCCCCAGTAATTCCCATACCCTGAAAGAAGCACAAATCTTGGATTAGGCATGAACATTAAAATTCACCTAACAGCTCAAACATGGAAGATTAAATGCACATTGGAGAAGATGGAAATAATTGGATCTGAGCCAAGTTCATTGAGTAATGTGTAAACTACAAGTTACTTGTTCTGTGTTCACTGAAATTCCATCACAAGCATTCAAATCATTTGTCATTTTCAACCTGAAGTGCTGACTTGTGGACTTGACTATGCACTGTCTATCTTAGTAAAAGAGATTATAAAATGCAATCCAGGATGTGTGAAAGGTATAGAAAAAGGATATACCCAGTCCATCTGGATACTTGTCTCAGCCCTCATGTGTGACCTTATATAAATTAAATAATATCTCTGAGCACTGATTATTTTGGTCTGTAAAATGCAGCCTTTTGCTCTAAAAGCCCCTTCCAGCTCTTGAGTTCTAGTTTTCAGGGGTATAGATATAAAGACAGAGCAGAGGATACCAGTATGTCCCTTGGTGTCCTACACCTGGCCCCAGAGGGGAGCTGAGCAAAGGTGCACAGAGAAGTCTGCTCCCCACACCCTCTACTCCATGCATAAATAAAGCCTAAGAGGAAGGAGCAAGTGATTTGGCACTAAGCAGCCTGCCTGCTCTCTACCCTGAGCCACCTGAGTCAGTTCCTGTCACTGCCAACACATCTCAGTGGGTCCCCCGAATTCCTGGGGGATGTAAAAGAGACATGCACACATTTCAGCCCCTTTCTGCTGACTCTGAGATTGCACAGCAAGCTGCAGCCATTATTTTTATTGCTGATGCCACTTCCTATCGAAACAATTTGGTGCTAATAAGCCCCTATAATAGTAAGCAATGGTTTGGCTGAATAATTGTCACTAAATACCATTCAAGGCTTTGTTGCTTCTTGGGCATATTGCTAATTATTCTGCATCTGAAATAACACCCAGAGGCCCACTGAATGCTAGTAAATAGGGTTTCTTCATGCTCCTGAAGCCCAGGGCTGGGTGTGATTTGGAATGCCAAGGCTCTAATCCAGTAAACAATGGCTGCTTCACAGCCTCAACTCCTACAAAATCACAGCTTTTTGCAAATCGTACTGGAGCTCAGACAAATCAAGATGTCTGTCTGGTGACAGAATTGGTGGAGGAGATTGGTGTGGGTGAGGGTCTCCTTGGGACTGTCCAGGGGAGGTCTTGGGGTGAACACAGGGCTTCTGTTGTAAAGGGAGGAGCCACAGAGTCTGACTGGTTCACCTCAAAGCTGGATCTATGTAATTATAGTCACCACTAGGAAAAGCAAAGGTTGGTAATATAAAAGGAGTGAATACCGCAGGTGGAGTGGAGGTAGGAAGTTTAGAATGTCCATATCAAGCTCCATGTTACAGAGCAGTTTATGCAGACTTTGTTTTTGCCTGATCTAGGATGCAGGTGATTTTGCCTTCTATTTTCTGGCACAGTGCTATTCCCGACCCTCAGTTTCCTCGCATGCACTGCCTCATTCCTCCTCACTCTCAGGACAATTCAGTTAGCCAAAGGCCATGCTAAGAATCACAGGGATCTGAGGCAGGATCCTGCAGAGGAGCAGAGGATTATGGAATTAACACATGCAGCTACATGCATGGATCAGCTCAGAGATGATCTATAGAAGGAGTTAATGGTGGTTCCACCTCAGGAGGGAAATTAGAGAACTTGGTTCCACCTCAGGGGGAAATTAGGGAATTTGGAGACAGGGATGGAAGAGAGGCAAACTGTTCATTGTACATCCTTTGTACTATTTGGAATTACAAAGCAATATATATGTGATAAAGATGTTTAAAAATATGATGGCATGTGTATTACCCTGGCTTAGCTCCACATCTGAGATAGTCAGTGGACATGGGCAGGTGGAAGTACTCACAGGGCACTGAGGCTTCTCATTTCTCTGCAAAATTCCTACTCTATCCATCCATTAATTCATCACATCCATTTATCTATGCAGGCAAACTCTAGGCCCCAAGGCTATAAAGTATTCTTACAGGAAGACTTCTATTCTCAAAAAAATTGAAAACTTAGGAAGGACAGAAAACTTCATAAATACTTATAATACAATTTGATGAATCCACTCATACAGGTATGCTCAAGGGATCCTGAAAGCCCAGAAAAGGAGGGCACTGAGGAAGGCTTCCTGGAGGAGGGGAAAGTAATGGCGGAGGGGGTCAGGATAGGCTACTCAGTGACTGTGCCACTAGAACTTTACTCCTTGGCCACTTCAAAGGACTGTTATGATTAGAAGACACATCACCGAATTTCAAAATGTAACTTCTTTGGGGGAAATTGGTAATGATTTAGGAAAAGACATACCACATGCTTCTTATTTGCTATTAGGATGAAGAAAAAAATTGTTTCCTTAAAGTTTAAAATCAGGCCTACAGTCTGACTCTGGTGATGAAGAAGGTAAAGATTGTTTGGATAGGGTAGGAGATGCTAGAAAATCAGGAAGTGGAGAGTCAGCTGCAAGAAGAGGTCCCTGACAATATTAGGGTCAGATGCTTCCTTAGCTTGCAGACAGAAAACATCCAGGAGGGAGGAGGAGGGATGTCAGGAGGGAGAGAAGAGGAGGGGCTCCCAGGAGGAAGGAAAGAGGAAGGTGAAGGGGGACTCCAGAGGTAGGGAGGGGGAGGGACCTCCAGGACAATCATCAGCTGAGGGAAGTAGACACACGAGTGCTGCTCAGGCAGGGCCCTGTACCTCTTGCCATTTAAAAGGAAGTCAACACTCACCTTCCCCGATGAACATGCTGGACCCATCATAAGAACCAGACATAATGTGGGAATGGACCTTCCAAACAGGTGTAGGAAAGACAACTTCTTACTCAGATGATGTCCTTGCTTTGCTAAAACCATCAAAATGAGGTTTAGTTGCACAAAAACCAAACTTATATTCACCTATGCTACACAGGGTAGATGAAGGATCAGTGTACACATGCACTTTGACTGAATTAGGACCTGAGATCTGGCTTTAGGTTGGGTACATTTTGCCCTTGAAGGAAAAGGTCTTTTCTGGGAGAGAAGTGATGAGCATCAACCCCAAACCTTCTCATGGAGGTTCAAAGTTGTTGAAACATGTCAGACGGTGATTTGGTTTGGCTGTGTCCCCACCCAAATTTCACCTTGAATTGTAATACTGTTTTCGTCGTAGTGAATAAGTCTCACAAGATCTGGTGTTTTATAAATGGGAGTTCCCCTGCACAACCTCTCTTGCCTGCTGTCATGTAAGACATGACTTTGCTCCTCCTTTGCCTTCTGCCATGATTGTGAGGCCTCCCCAGCCATGTGGAACTGTGAGTCCATTAAACCTCTTTCCTTTATAAAGTACCCAGTCTTGGGCATGTCTTTATTAGCAGTATGAGAGCAGACTAATATAAACAGTCTGGGTTAGAAATGACTACTCTACTTTGCTCTCGTGGCATGAAAGCATCCACAGATAGCACAAGACCCGTGAGTGCGTGATCAGGTGTGCTGAAAGCCAGGGCTGGTGACCCAGACTGCACATGCAGGCTGATTCTGGGAACATGAATATCTGGATTCAGTAAGTGCTCGCTTAACATCATTGACAGGTTCTTGGAAACTGTGGCTTGAAGTGAAACGATGTATAATGAAACCAATTTTACCATAGACTGATCCATACAAACAAAAATTCCTATGGCATATTTCTGGTCATCAAACATCACCAAACTTCTAAATAAAGACCAAAACACTTGAAATTTGAACATGGAAACAAATGTGAGCTACACATATACTTAAGAAAGATTAATAAAAACAAATAACGTAATTACTCACCCAATTATTCCAGTTCAGGGGCTCAGGTGGCCAGAGCCTGTCCAGTCAGCTCAGGGTATAAGGTGGGGAACTGATACCTGGACAGGACACCATCCCGTCACAGGACACACTCACACACTCACACACACACCCTCACACTGGAGCAATAAGGACACACCAATTCACCCAATGTGCCCATCTCTGGGATGTGGGAAGAAGCCAGATTATCCACAGAAAACCCACGAGGACATGGAAGGAACGTCAGATGCCACACAGGCAGTGGCTCTGGTTAGGAAGCAATTGTTTTTATTATAACAAAACAAAGTTAAATGAAATGACATGATTCAAGGACCTGCTGTACAGGTGGCCTGGTGCTAGAACCTCTCCTGACCTAAGCAACCTTGACACTGGGCAAACTCAAGGAAATAGTTGTGCACACAGTAGGCACTCAACATTTGTTTGTTGAATAAATGTATGGAAATATCAGGTCTGGAGGAGTTTGATTTTGTGAACCTAACTTTGGCCTGGAGCAGTGATCAGAGGACAGATCACAAAGGAAGGATTCTCCTGATATGAGGAATCTCTGTGGGGTGAGGAATCCTCTGCAGAACAGACACTATCACCGTACCGACAGCTTGCGTGAATGAAGACTTGCATCCCACACTCATGGTTTCAGGGACAGTGTTGAATTACAAAGCGGTGCATGAGAATTTCTGTAGAGGAAACAGGACCAACGGAAAAATCCCTGGCTGTCTATAGGAAGGCTTAGGGAGGCATTATGGTCTGGATGTTTGTGTTGCCCCAAAATTCACATGTGAAAACCCTAACCCCCAAGTAATGGTATTTGAAAGTGGGGTCTTAGGGAGATGATTAGGTCATGAGGGTGGTGTTCTCATGAAAGGGATTAGTGCCCTTATCAAAGAAACCAAGAGATGTCCTTTGCCCTTTCCATCATGTGTGGACACAGAGTAGGCCATCCATGAACTAGGAAGTGGGTCCTCATCAGACCAGATCTGCCACGACCTTCATCTTGGACTTCCCAGTCTCCAGAGCTGTGAGAAATAAATTTCTGTTGTTTATGATCCACCCAGTCTACAGTCCAAAAGGACTAAGACAGGAGGGGAACTCTAGAAGAAGGGCTGGATTTCCTGATCTCTGTGCAGAAACAGGAGTGTGGTGGTGTGGGGCAGGAGTCATCGTAATTTAAACATTACATGATATATGCCCTTATTTTGTATTTGAAGGATAACATGCAGAATATACTACTTTTGGAAACTCCTTTCCATCCACTTCTCCCAGAAAAGCCTTTCATTGACTCAACATCCTCCCTGACTACCACCCTGACTTTCTCCTCCACTTGGCTCACAAACATCATGGAAAGCTCTTGGTCCTCACCACTTTTACTCCCTTCCTTTACACTCATTCCACAGTGGTATCCCCTCCTTCTCTACCACTTTACCGCACTGATTTCACCAAGGTTGCCATTGCTCTCCGTGTGGCTAAATCCACTGGGTGCTCCACTCTCACCAGCATTTCATTGCATTCTCCTTCTTAAAACACCTTCTTCCCTTGGCTTCTTGGACACAGCATTCTCCTTGACCGCCTCTCTGACATTCATCATTTTATTTTCTCCTCACCTGCATCCATACCTTAAATGTTAACGTCCCTAAGAGTTCCTTTCTTTCATTCTCTGCACGGTTGAATTCTCAATTTACATATTTTTTTCCTGAGTGAGCTCAGGTGCTTCTATGACTTTAATTGACATCTATATTCTGACAGCTATTAGATCTCTGCCTCCAGCCCAGCTTTCTCTCCTGAAACACAGACTCTTTTAACCAAATGTCCACCCTGTGAGCCCAACTTATGCCCAGCGTTGGTGATGATAGAAGAATCCTCATACACAAGGAGTGTAAAAATATATAATTTTGGAGGTTGATTTGACCATACTGCCAGATCTAAAATTATGTGTAGTCCTTCAAGCTAACCTTCCACTTTTAAGAATCTATTCTGTAAAATATTCCACTTATATAAGGTATCTAAAATAGTCAAACTTAGAGGAGCAGAAAATAGAATGGTGGTTGCCAGGGGCTGGGAGGAGGGGAAAATGGGGAGTTGTTGCTCAATGGGTAAAAAGTTTCAGTTATACAAGATGAATAAGTTCTAGACATCTGCTGCACAACACAGTGCTTATGGTTAACAATATGATATTGTACACTTTAAAATTTGTTACGGTAGACTTCATGTTCAGTGTTCTTAATACACACACACACACACACACACACACATATACACACACACACAAAGGGCACAAGAAATCTTTGGGAAACTTTTTGACATGTTCATTACCATGACTGTGGTGATGGTATCACAGGTGTAGCCATATGCCCAAATCCATTTAATCATGTTTGTTAGTGTTTTTTTTTGTATAGCAATTATACCTCAAATTAAAAAAACAGTGAAGAATATGCACAAAGTGTGCAAAGATATGCATATGCAGTTAATTTTTGCAGAATTTTTTACAAATGTGAAAAGTGGGAAATAAAGACCAATGGTGGATAGTCAATGAAATTGTAGTATATGCATACTATTGCCCACCCATTCCACCTGGGCACTCACCAGTTGGGTATATGCCAGTGGCATCCTCCTTGCAAATAACTGTGACTCTCAGCTCAAGATCTGGGGGCAACTCAGCCCATGACAGTTGATAAAAAGAAGTGATATTATGAAGTAGACTCTTAGGATGGGTTTCTGAAATTAGATCCCTCCCCACCCAGATGACAACAAGGAACTTGTTTCTATTTCTGGCATTAAGTGGAGGGGTTATCACACTGTGGAATCACATTTACTAAGATTCTCCCCTGTGGTTTATTTGGATTGAACAATAGGCAGAAGAGGGTGCACATGCTTATGCAGTAGATCTAATAAGTGAAAGATATGGGCACAGCCATAATTGTAAAGGTTAGGTCAAATGGTATTTCTAATTCTAGATCCCTGAGGAATCGCCACACTGACTTTCACAATGGTTGAACTAGTTTACAGTCCTACCAACAGTGTAAAAGTGTTCCTATTTCTCCACATCCTCTCCAGCACCTGTTGTTTCCTGAATTTTTAATGATCGCCATTCTAACTGGTGTGAGATGGTATCT
This sequence comes from Homo sapiens, assembly GCF_000001405.40. Classification (NCBI taxonomy): domain Eukaryota; kingdom Metazoa; phylum Chordata; class Mammalia; order Primates; family Hominidae; genus Homo; species Homo sapiens. The sequence goes on along the minus strand of NC_000017.11, from coordinate 11,068,609 downwards.
CATTGTGGTTTTGATTTGCATTTCTCTGATGGCCAGTGATGATGAGCATTTTTTCATGTGTTTTTTAGCTGCATAAATGTCTTCTTTTGAGAAGTGTCTGTTCATATCTTTCGCCCAATTTTTGATGGGGTTGTTTTTTTCTTGTAAATTTGTTTGAGTTCATTGCAGATTCTGGTTATTAGCCCTTTGTCAGATGAGTAGGTTGCAAAAATTTTCTCCCATTCTGTAGGTTGCCTGGTCACTCTGATGGTAGTTTTTTGCTGTGCAGAAGCTCTTTAGTTTAATTAGATCCCATTTGTCAATTTTGGCTTTTGTTGCCATTGCTTTTGGTGTTTTAGACATGAAGTCCTTGCCCATGTCTATGTCCTGAATGGTATTGCCTAGGTTTTCTTCTAGGGTTTTTATGGTTTTAGGTCTAACATTTAAGTCTTTAATCCATCTTGAATTAATTTTTGTATAAGGTGTAAGGAAGGGATCCAGTTTCAGCTTTCTACGTATGGCTAGCCAGTTTTCCCAGCACCATTTATTAAATAGGGAATCCTTTCCCCATTGCTTGTTTTTCTCAGGTTTGTCAAAGATCAGATAGTTGTAGATACGCGGCATTATTTCTGAGGGCTCTGTTCTGTTCCATTGGTCTATATCTCTGTTTTGGTACCAGTACCATGCTGTTTTGGTTACTGTAGCCTTGTAGTATAGTTTGAAGTCAGGTAGCGTGATGCCTCTGGCTTTGTTCTTTTGGCTTAGGATTGACTTGGCAATGCGGGCTCTTTTTTGTTCCATATGAACTTTAAAGTGGTTTTTTCCAATTCTGTGAAGAAAGTCATTGGTAGCTTGATGGGGATGGCATTGAATCTATAAATTACCTTGGGCAGTATGGCCATTTTCATGATATTGATTCTTCCTACCCATGAGTGCCATCCCATTACTGGGTATATACCCAAAGGATTATAAGTCATGCTGCTATAAAGACACATGCACATGTATGTTTACTGTGGCACTATTCACAATAGCAAAGACTTGGAACCAACCCAAAATGTCCAACAATGATAGACTGGATTAAGAAAATGTGGCACATATACACCATGGAATACTATGCAGCCATAAAAAATGATGAGTTCATGTCCTTTGTAGGGACATGGATGAAGCTGGAAACCATCATTCTCAGCAAACTATCGCAAGGACAAAAAACCAAACACTGCATGTTCTCACTCATAGGTGGGAATTGAACAATGAGAACATATGGACACAGGAAGGGGAACATCACACACTGGGGCCTGTTGTGGGGTGGGGGACGGAGGAGGGATAGCATTAGGAGATATACCTAATGTAAATGACGAGTCAGTGGGTGCAGCACACCAACATGGCACATGTATACATATGTAACAAACCTGCACGTTGTGCACATGTACCCTAAAACTTAAAGTATAATAATAGTAAAATTAAAAAAAAATTTTAAAGGTTGTAGAGCTGGATGTTGTTTACTGATATACAATAAAATAACTGATGCAGGTCAACCAGTGATGAATTCAGGGCATGGTAAGAATGTCAGAAAGTATCCATGGTAGCATTGAAAGAGACCCTCATCTCCTACAAGCAACCTGTGCTGACGATATGGCCCAAAACTTTGTTGTAAGGGTGGCAGAATTATAAAGGAGGTTGAATGCACAAGCTAGTAGTTCTCTTATGTTTATTACTAAGAGCTTGGACCCAGCATATTCCACTGAACACTATTTTTTCTGTAAAAAGGTTATTTTTAAACAAAATTTGCTTCTAATAAATAGACATATGAACACTTATGTTATACCTCATTCCATGTCAGCACATACAGATATAGAACACTTTCTGTCTGAATGGATACTTACACACACACACACTCACACACACACACACATTTATTCCATTGAATGCAGGCGGTCTATTTCTTGGAATGGAACCTCATTTGGGGGGATTACTATAGCATAGGCTCCTATGAAATGTGCTCCTAATAGTCAGTCTGTTGCAAAGTCTTTTCTTTTCCCTTTACATTCCCCAAAGTCAAGACATGGCTCTGGCTGTAGGTTCCTATATTCCACAACTATGCATATAATACCTTCATCATGTCAAAGCATGACTACCAGCCTCTTATTTCTTGCTAAATTTTATACCACTCTGATTCCTTCTTAATTTCCTTCAAGGAAACTGGAGCCACCTTGGCATTTGCATAAAACCTATACTATGCTTCTTTTCCTGGCACTTTTGGAGCAGGCTTTCTTTTGTGCCTTTTGTAAGCCACTGTGGGTCAAAGCTATTTACTGTAACTTGAAACAGTGGCAGAAAGAGAGATCAAGTGGAACAACATTCAACCTGAGAAAAGTCAGTATCTCCTTTCAGCACTTATTAGTGAAACACACAACAGTGCACAGTCTACTCTCTGTCTGACACACTATGAGAAAAAAATAATTCTGTTCTACTTGGACATTGAATGAATATGTATATATATTTTAAATGTTAAGTAATTTTGAGATGAATATTACTTTTAGTAATCATGGGTCCCCCAAGGCAGTGCTTAAGAGATGTGAATCTTAGGTTAGATTTTCCCAGAATCAGATCTTGTGACAAGGCCTTGAATACCTGTGGCTTATTTGGCAAGTGGTCCCTGGAAGCACTGGTAGGGAAGGATGTGAGACAGGAGTTGGAGAAAGTGATACAGCGCACACTAATGAGCAGGATATCTCCGTGGGCACCCAGGACTCAGCCCCATTAGGGACATCTGAGAGAAGGTATGAATCATGCCTCAGAATTATCCCACGTGAGAACAAGAAAGCAAGGGTATGTATCCAGCACTCATCTGTCATTGGCTGAGGGCTGCTCCTGGAAGTGGAAACTCCCATACACCTTTGTGCACTAAGTAGATTAAGAGATAGCTCATAGGTGGAGAGTTACCAGTGCTTGCTGTAGGACGCTGTTGGAAAGGTCAGTGCCAAGAGGACATGAGCAGAAAACACAGCCTCTGCTAGAGTTCACTCCTGACACCGCTCAGATCCCATATTCATTCTGTCTTGGCACTGCTTCATCAAGGAAGTTGTCATCACAATTTTTAAAAAAAGGACTTACAATGAAAGGATTGGTGGAACAGACTATACCCTCTGCTGCTGTGATTGGTCCTGATCCAGCATCTCCTTCCTCTATGTTTTATTCTGGATAAGAGGTAGCGTCTTCAGCCTCAGCCAGCACCTCATGCCTGAAGGGTCTGAGGTCCTGATTTACTGGACCCTTGAAAAGCTTTCTTGGTTGTTATAATTGCCCAGTTCATGACCATCACCAGGCATAAAAGCACCCAGAGGTACCCCAGTGAATCATCCGGGCCCCAAACAATTCCTCCTGCTGTCTATCTCCTCATAATAATCGTGATCAATTATCCCTGCCAATACAGGAATCCCTTTGATTGTTTGATAATCCGACTTGAAGAGCCCCAAAGAGACAGATATCAGCCACAGCTTTAAGTTCAGTGGAACACTTACGATGTCTCCTGGTGTAACTATCCCCTCCACACTAGTAGCCAGTATCTGTAGCCTAGAAGAGCCTAAAATTGTGGGGACAGGAAGTACAATTTATCTAGCTGGGTTCCTGCAGTAGTGTTGAGAAATCCAATCCTTCTTTCACCTCTTGAATTCTGGACCCAAGTGTATATTACCTCTTGAAGCATTTTTGGTGTATTATTCATAAACTGGTGCCTTAGCTTAACTTTAAGAGGTCATCCCAATATTCTACTAGATCAGCCACTTGTGGATGAAGCAGCATATGATGAAACCAGTAGAGCCCATTGTCACAACTCCTTTGCCCAAAAGTGGCTTTTGGCCCCTAGGTTTTCTTATTCAGGATACCATGTTGGAAAATCAGACATTCTAGGAGCCAGTGGATAGTGGTGCTTGCAGAAGCATTGTGGACAGAAAGGCAAATCCATACCCAGAATATGTAGCAATCCTAATTAAAATGAATAATTGCCCTCTTCAGGAAAGAATGGTCTGATTAATCAACTTGACATCTACTGGTAGTTGGTCCAAAAACCCAGGCTCAGTGCTGGGTTCTGCTGCTCTCAAGCCAGAATACTCAGCAGCAGTGGTAGCTAGTTCAGCCTTGGTGATCAGAAGCCTGTGCTGTGGGGTCCATGAATACCCTTCTTTATGTCTGCTGGGCTTATTTTGTAGGCACTGGGTGATGGAGGATCAAGGCTGGCTGAAATCCACACGTCATCCCATTCACTTGGTGTTTCAGTGCCAGGTGCTTGTTGGTGGCAGGTGCTTTCTAGTTGTCAGTGACATGAGACACAGGACTAACATGCTTTGTGTCCACTCCCATGTGACCATCCATATGCCCCTTCTCTTTCCCTGACTTCTTGTATATATTTTTCAAGTCTAGCCCCTGACAATCAGCCAAGGCATTTTCTACCACCAAGGAATCTGTATATTTCAGATCAGCCACTTCTCTTGCCACACAAAGTTGATGGTTTGGTGCAATGCTGTAAGCGCTACCCAAGAGGCTTTTACTCATCACATTATTCTGGAGCCACCCCTCTGTTGGGTTATAATGTGGTAGCACTCTCTTTTCTGCCTATGCCAACATGTTGAGCCAATCCTTTGATGAATCAAGCCTGGGTTTGTTTCCTCTTCTGACAGCTAGTTATAGGGACCTCACCATGAAGCTGCACTTGTGAGTTGATGGAAATACATTGCTACAGACTGAACATTTGTGCCCCCCTCCCTCAAATTCATATGTTGAAACCTAATCCCCAGTGTGATGGTATTTGGAAGTGGGGTCTTTGGGAGGTGAATAGGTCATGATGGCAGAGCCCTCATAAATAGGATTAGTGCCCTTATCAAAGAGGCCCCAGAGAGCTTTCTTTCTTCCTCTCCCGTGTGAAGAAACAGCAAGAAGGTGCTGTCTATAAAGCAGGAAGTGGACCTTCACCAGACACCACATCTGCTGGCACCTTGATCCTGGACTTTCCAGCAACCAGATCTGTGAGAAATAAATGTTTATTGTTTATAAACCACCCAGTCTATGGTATTCTGTTATAGCAAACCAAATGAACAAAGACATACATCAACACAAAAGGGGTGGGTAACTTGGGAATCTGGGCTACCTGCTTATGTAATTTATACTTCCTGGACCTTCTTAAGAACCATTCCAAATATTCCATTTCCATCACAAATCACTCTCATGTTCACTTGTGGTAAACAGAATAATGGGCCCCCAAAGATGTGTACATCCTGATCTCCAGAACCTGCGGATATGTTAGGATCCATGGGAAAGGGGAAGAAAAATTGCAGAGGGAGTTAATGTTGCTGATCATCTGACTATAAAGTAAAGAGTTTATCCTGGATTATCTGGGTGGGCCCCATATAATCATAAAGGTTTCTAAAAGTGGAAGAGGGAGACAGAAGAGGAGGTCAGAGGGAGCTGTGATTAAGGAAGAATGGTCAGAGATGCAACACTGCTGACTTTGAAGACAGAGGACAGTGTCCATGAGCTAAAGAATAGAAACGCTTCTAGAAACTGGAAAAGGTTAAAAAAGAAAAAATAAAAAGTCTTCCCTAGGTCCTCCAGAAGAAATGCAGCCTTCCTAACTCTTGGTTTTAGACCATTGAAATCCACATCAAACTTTTTTTTTTTTTGAGTTGGAGTCTCGCTCTGTTGCCCAAGCTGGAGTGCAGTGGTGCGATCTCGGTTCACTGCAAGCTCCACCTCCTGGGTTCACGCCATTCTCCTGCCTCAGCCTCCCAAGTAGCTGGGACTACAGGCACCCGCCACCACGCCCGGCCAATTTTTTGTATTTTTACTAGAGATAGGGTTTCACCGTGTTAGCCAGGATGGTCTCGATGTCCTCGTGATCGCCCGCCTCGGCCTCCCAACACATCAGACTTTTAACCTGTTTAACTGTAAGATGCTAAATTGGTGCTGCTTTAATCCATGAAATTTTTGGTAATTTGTTATGGCACAGTAAATAAACTAATACAATACATGAATTTATGATGGATAGGTCTGACAATACCCAGGTTATAATGGGCAGCTACAGCTACAGTTTAAAAGTCATTTAATGTCACATGAACAGGTGCTCTGTCTCTCCTTGGTCCCCAAAGCAGGTAGGAATGTTTTTTGTTTTGAAATGTAAATGGTTCTCTGCTGTATATATCATGACCTTACTCCAGAACCGTCAGGCTCTGCACTGCAAGTCTCCTATCAGAGCTTGTCAGGTATTCCACGTGGCACCTTATCTACCATGGATACTTTCAGCATTGTAAGATCTGCTCCATGATAGCGTCCATGTGGCAAGGCTGAATGTAACACAGTCTGAACCTTTCTTTCTCTTGGCCCCAATTAAAACACAAACCTTAGCGGCAAAGGAATCATCTGAGGGGCTTGTTAAATTCAGATTCCTCAGCATCTCCTCCAGAGACTTTGGTTCAGTAGAACTGGAAGGAAGCCTGAGAATTTTCATTCCTAATGATCTCCAAAGTGTTGCCAATGGATCACACACACATTGGGTAGCGCAGTTGAGATCACTGAGTCTCTATAATGATTACCAACGTGGCAGGTCCCTTATTCTTTGTAAGATTTATGTTCTACCCACTGGTACATTTTTATTTTACTAGGATATCCAAAGTACTATATACTACCTGCTTATCATTTCTGATTTTTATGATATGATCAATATAGTGTACCACTATAATGTTTTATGAAATTTTGAGACAAAGTCCCTTTGGACTATGTTGTGTCAGAGGAAATGAGAGTTATCATAGCCCTGTGATGAGACTATGAATGTATATTTGTGGTGAATGCAAACTGCTTTTTATTCTCTTTTTTGATGGATATTGAAAAAGGCATCTGTCATATCAATAGCTGCACAAGAGCATAAGCCTGCATTGATCTGTTCCAGCAAAGATACAGGAACACTAAAAAAGCAGCTGCAGATGGGTCCACTGTTTGGTTAGATTCACAGTGGTTTACTACTGCTACAATTTGCATATTTGTCCCCTCCAAGACTCATGCTGAAATTTAATCCCCAGTGTGGCAATATTGAGAGGTGGGACCTTTATGAGGTGACTGGATCATGAGAGCTTGTCCCTCATGTGGATTAATGGACTAATCCACTCATAGATTAATAGATTAATGGGTTATCATAGGAGGGTAACTGATAGCTTTATAAAGAGAGGAAGAGTGATCTGAACTAGCATGTTAGCACACTAAGCCCCTTTGCATGTGATACTCTACATTGTGTTTGGACTCTACTGTAGACATTCCTCATGAGAAAGAAAGTTCTTAGTAGATAAAAGCCTTTGACTTTGGACTTCTCAGTCTCCATAACTATAAGAAATAAATCGCTTCACTTTATAAATTACCCTGTTTCAGATATTCCCTTATAAACAAGAGAAAACAGACTAAGATCAAAAATTTGTACCTGGAGTGGGGTGTTGCTGATAATGAATGCTTGAAAATATGGAAACAGCTTTGGAACTGGGTAGGAACTAATAGGCAGAGGTTGGAAGAATTTGGAGGACAAGACCTTAAAAAGCCTAGATTCTTGTGAGGACTTAGAGGACAAAAACTCTAGGGGAAGCTTGGAACTCCCTGGAGATCAGTTAAGTAGTCATGACCAGAATGCTGACAGAAATGTGAATGGTAAAGGACATTTTGATAAGGTTTTGATGAAACTGAGGTGCAAGGTATTGGAAAGACCATTTTTGTTATAAATAAGGGAAAAAAAAGTTGCCTGAACTGTTCACACCCAAGGGCTTTGTGGAAGGCTGAACTTGATAGTGATGAACTAGGGTATTACAGAAGAAATTTTAAAGTAAATTATGGTAGGAGCTGCATGGTTACTTTTGGCCACTTACACAGAGATTAGGGAAAAAAGGAATAATTTAAAAAGAAAATTTATAATCAAAAAGGAAGCATAGCAGAAAGATTTGGAAAACTCTCAGCCTGGTTGTGTGAAAAGTAAAAAAAGCATGTTCAAGATAGGAAACTGAAGGTGTGACCCAGCAACCTTTTGCTAAAGAGATTAGTACAGAGAGAAGGGACCATCAAGAAAATGAAAGACCCCAAAGGCATTTCAGAGATCTTTGAGGCTGCCCCCATCAGAGGCCCAGAGACCCGAGAGGGCAGAGTACTTTCAGGGAACAGACCCAGAATGCCTTTCATGGGCTGTTAGCCAGGGACCCTTGAGGTCTCTGCTTTCTGCATTCTAGCATAGGGCTCCTTGGCCACCGCAGCTGTGGCTCAATCAGCCCAAGATATGAGTCAACTCACTGCTCCAAAGGTACAAGTTGTAAACCTTGGCAGCATCCACGTGGTGCTAATTCTGCGGGCTTGCAGAAAGGAAGAGTTGTGGAGGCTTGGCAGCCTCCACACGTATTTCAAAGGATGTCACTAATGGAGGCCCAGACAGAGATTTGTTACAGGGGTGGAGCCACTGCAGAAAGCCCCCACTAGAGCAATGCTATGCAGAAATGTGAAGTTGGTATTGCTGCAGAGTTCCCACTAGGGAAATGCCTACTGGAGCTGTGAGAATAGGACAACCATCAAGACCACAGAACTACAGAGCTGCCAGTGTGCAATGCTCCCCTGGAAGGAAGAGCTGAGCCCAGCCAAGCCATAGAGGTAGAGTTGTCCAAGGTCTTAGTCCCCAGCTGCACATCAGCGTATAGCTAATTCTAGATGTAGAGTCAAATAGTCTACTCTAGACTCTTAAGACCCAATGCCTGCTCTCTTCATTTTTGAACTTCCTTGGTGCCTGTTACCCCTTTACCCCTTTATTCTTGCCTATTTCTCACTTTTGGAAAGGAAATGTGTGCCCTGTGCTTGTAAGCAGATCATTTGTGTTGATTTCACAGGCTCATAGATGAGATTTTGGACTCGGGATTTTTGAGTTGCTGCTGAAATGAGTAAAGATTTGGAGCTTAAACTTATTTGGGGAGGGGATAAATATATTTGTATGTGAGAAAGATGTGAATTTTGTGGAGCCAGGGGGCAGAATGCTATGGTTAGGATATTTGTCCCCTCCAAAACGCTGTTGAAATTTTATTTTTTTATTTTTTTATTTTATTATTGAAATTTAATTTTCAATGTGGTAGTATTGAGAGGAAGAACCTTCAAGAGGTGATTGGATCATTAAGATTCAGCTCTCATTAATAATCTACTTATGGATTAATGGGTTATCAAAGGAGGGGAACCGGTGGCCTTATAAGAAAAGAGATATGTGAGGTAGCATGGTGGCATGCTCAGCCCCCTCGCCATGTGAGACTCTGCGGTCTTGGAATGCCGGAGAGCCCCCATGAGCAAGAAGGTTCTCATCTAATGTGGACACTTGACCTTGGACTTCTCATCCTCTATAACTGTGAGAAATAAGTTCATTTTCTTTATAAATTACCAAATTTTAGGTATTTTATTACAAGAAGCAGAAAATGATCTATGACAACCACCATCCTCTACGATCCATTTGGTTTTTGCAAGTCCCATACCAATGAATGAAATGAGATATAAAAACCACTACCTCTGCAAACTTTAAGTCTCTGAAAGTGTCCCTAGCTTCTGCCATTTCAGCTAGGATGAGTTATTCCTTCTAATTTACCATCTTGATTGGGATAATGAGCAGTTTCAGGGGCTTCCACTTGGCCTTTTGTACTGTAATGGCTCTCACTATGCAGGTCAGAAGCCAGGGGTCTGGTGAGGGGTCTTCCAGCTGTTAGGTGCATCCAAACTAATTAAGCACTCAGAGACCATGAAATTATCACAGTGTGAGTTGGCAGACTCATTGGACATTCATAATATCAACGTGGGCCAAGACTCTATTTATCACCTGGTTTTCGCATACCCACCCTAACCAGGGCATCATGATGGTGTTCTGGTTTCTCTGGTATTAGCATCATCTCAAACTCTGGATTCAACAGCACTTGAAATATTTGGCTACTTTCATCTCTGTAGTGCATAGTGTAATGCACACTGTACAGGTATTTTATTTTCTGCAGTATAGATTCTTTTGGAGAAGGATTGGGGAAATTACTACTATAAATTTATTGAGGCATTATAAGATTTTCTGCAAAAGGATCCAGCATCTCTATCAATCACACGATTCTGGATCTGAGAACGGTTCAGTTTGGAAAACCAGATGTGTGATTATTATATTCCACTTGGCAGCCAACACCAGCATTCTGATAATCTGCTCCTGGTCTATTTTGGTTTTATAAGCCAAGTAATACCCCTGTTGCCTCCCCAGCTAGTTGCCCCTAGTGATACCATGGTCTAGTAGTCTTTGCCATAGAGTCCTGTTGTTCTAAACCTCCCACTTGCAATCCCACTGTTGGTGTTCATTAAATAATTAATGGATAATGGATAATTAAATCTACCTTGCCCCTGTTGATTAAGAGCCACCACCTTGCACCTGCTATTCTGGATGGAATTCTATCATTTCCATTGATACTAGGGATCTTACCATCATAGCAGCATCTCTAGCCATCAACTCTGGACTACAGAGGAAGCTGCCACTGAGCTCAACAAGGCTAGGGTCCCCTTCACTAGCACATTTATTTCTTTAGTGAAGGTACTTTCCTTTGGGTCTGTATTAGTTCACCTTGTGTTGCTATGAAGGAGTATCTGAGACTGGGTAATTCATAAAGAAAAGGGGTTTATTTGGCTCACAGTTCCGCAGGGTGAACAAGCATGGCACCAGCATCTTCTCAGCTTCTGGTGAGGCCTCAGGACAATTTCACTCATGGCGAAAGGCAAAGGGGGAGCAGGCATGTCACACGGGAAGAGAAAGAGTGAGAGGGGAGGAGATGCCAGGCTTTTTTTTTTTTTTTTTTGACGGAGTCTTGTTCTTGTCACCCAGGCTGGAGTGCTGTGGCGCAATCTTGGCTCACTGCAAGCTTTGCCTGCCGGGTTCAAGCGATTCTCCTGCCTCAGCCTCCCAAGTAGCTGGGATTACAGATGCCTGCAACCACGCCTGGCTAATTTTTGTATTTTTAGTAGAGACGGGGTTTTGCCATGTTGGCTAGGCTGGTCTCAAACTCCTGACCTCGTGATTGGTCTCCCAAAGTGCTGGGATTACAGGCGTGTGCCACAGCGCCCAGTCATTGATGCCAGGCTTTTTAAACAACCAGCTTTCATGTGAGCTAACAGAGTGAGAACTCACTCATTACCATGAGGACAGCACCAAGACACTCATGAGGGATTAACTCCCTTGACCCAAACACTTTCCACCAGGCCCCACCTCCAACATTGGGGATCACATTTCAACATGAGATTTGGAGGGGACAAAACCCAAACTATATCAGAGCCCTTCTAGGGAACAGAGTCAACTGGCAAGTTGTCTTGTCTTACATAAAAATCTATTTTAACATGCCTACATCTGAGCCTATTGGCACTTTCCTCAAAACTGCCAGGGCAATTCCACCATCTCTGTTTTATTTTCTGTAAAACATTGCTGTTTCCAACCTTCAAAAAGAAGCCTTTCCAACATATTTTGCCCAGCTTTTGGTATCCTTGCCAGGATGTTAAATCTATAGTCATTGGAGAGTATGCCTGTATAAATATGCTTTACACTACTCAGCCTTATATTTCAGCTTCTTTGGTCCAACACCTTCCAGAGCCCAGCTATATTCTCTCAAATCTTTTCAGTACATTAGCCATGCCTTACAGTTCTTTTGGAAAATAATCCCTTTCTTCTCAAAGGAGGAATAACACTTCCCCGATTGAGCCATCCTGAATCTTCACCCCTATTATTTGCTTGAAACAATGAGAGAAAGCAGAGGCAGGTCTTGAGGACAAGTTTACGTGTTTTTTTTTTATTTTTTGAGACGGAGTCTCGCTGTGTAGTCCAGGCTGGAGTGCAGCGGCGTGACCTCGGCTCACTGCAAGCTCCGCCTCCCGGGTTCATGCCATTCTCCTGCCTCAGCCTCCCGAGTAGCTGGGACTACAGGCGCCCGTCACCACGCCCGGCTAATTTTTTTTTTTGTGTGTGTGTGTGTGTGTGTGTGTGTGTGTGTGTGTGTGTGTGTGTGTGTGTGTGTGTGTTTAGTAGAGACGGGGTTTCACGTGTTAGCCAGGAAGGTCTTGATCTCCTGACCTCGTGATCCACCCGCCTCAGACTCCCAAAGTGCTGGGATTATAGGCGTGAGCCACCGCGCCCAGCCCAAGTTTACTTTTTTAAGGCATGTTTCTTAGGAGTCCCCTTTGCATGCTATCCAGGCAGGCAATAATGCTGATCTCCTCTAGCAATAGGGGATATTTCTGGCATAAATAGGTTTATTGTGTGTTTTAACTTTCCTCTCTCTGTATTTTTGAATAGTTTAAATTTTTCCTAAGTACGCTTTTTTCTGTAATCAGAAGAGAATCTCTGCTCCTCTTTTCTCTTTGAAGCTACCTGAAAACAACAAAGAGAAGGAGAAACAGAAAGGAAAATTCCATATTTGGTGAAACTAAGACATATTTGAAACTTTAAACCACAATTGATGAGGCACAACTAATGCAGACAGTTACAATTGAACAAGGGTGAGGGAAGATGCTGCAAGAGAACTCATGTCCCTCAGGTTTTGGGATGAAATAGACAGAGCACAGAATATTCAGGAAGATAGTACCTTGGACTCTCACTTTTTATTTTATTTTATCTTATTTTATTTTATTTTATGTATCTATTTTTTTTTGAGACAGAGTGTCACTCTGTCACCCAGGCTGGAGTGCAATGGCACTATGTCAGCTCACTGCAGCCTTCGCCTCTGGGGCTGAAGCAATTCTCCTGCCTTAGCCTCCCAAGTAGCTGGGATGACAGGCATGCACCACCACCCCCAGCTAATTTTTGTATTTTTAGTAGAGATGGAGGGTTTCACCACTTTGGCCAGGCTGGTCTCGAACTCCTGACTTCAAGGTATCTGCCCACCTTGGCCTACCAAAGTCCTGGGATTATAGGCGTAAGCCACCATGCCCAGCCTGGACTCTCACTTTAGAAAGGTAACTGAGGTCCATTGTCAGCTAGGGGAGTTCTCCTGACAGTTGGCACCATGAAATAGTGAGGCAGTAGGGCTGAGTGTGAGATTATGTGGACCCGACACTTTTATAAAAAGTAGGCCATCATGGAGGAAAAACCAAGAGGATGAAAGCCCACAGGAAGCATGCTACTCTGATCTGCTAGGGAAAATCCAAGACTAAAATCACTCCCACCAAAAACAGCTGTGACATGTGAAGCTTCCCTGTGACCAGGTAGATGTTCTGCAAAACCATAGAAGGAGAAAATGCTTGTGTAAAAACGCTTAGAGACAGTAGAATCAAACTCCACTTTGTTCACTATCCCAAATCCATCCTGTAACCCCTCACTCTTACTGTTATAATGAACTCATCCAGGGAACATTCCAAGGAGAGCCATAATCATGAAGAAAATAAACAAACTAATGTGAACGGAGAGGGAGAAGAGGAAGGAAAGCTAACAAAGGACACACCTCAGAAATATTATAAAACAAAGTAAATACAAATTATGACCAGAGTTCTATATGAAATGAAAGATACAAAATTCAACCTGAAATAAAAGCTCAAAGAAGAGATATAAGAGCATAAGAAAGAAATGACAGAACAATAGAAGGGGACAACGAGTGTACTGACAAATCTCAAGAAATAAATGGAAAAGAAAAATTAAACAATTTCAGAAATGAAGATAACACCAGAGGCAGTCAAAAGAAAACTAGATAATGCAAAAACTCGTGAGGAATATGCAAATGGGACTCAGAAAATGGAGCAAAATTAATTTGAGGCCGGGGGTGGTGGCTCATTCCTGTAATCCCAGCACTTTGGGAGGCCAAGGTAAGTGGATCACCTGAGGTCAGGAGTTCGAGACCAGCCTGGCCAACATGGCAAAACCCCATCTCTACTAAAAAAAAAAAAAAAAAAAAAATACAAAAATTCGCTGGGCGTGGTGGTGGGCACCTGTAATCCCAGCTACTCAGGAGGCTGAGGCAGGAGAATCACTTGAACCCGGGAGGCAAAGTTGCAGTGAGCCAAGATGACACCCTTTCACTCCAGCCTGGGTGACAAGAGTGAAACTCCAATTCAAAAAAAAAAATTAATTTGAAAAGTATAGAGTTTAAAAGAAATAGACAAAAATGATAGATCAGAAAAACTATTTGAAGAAAGATGCAAAATCTCTGGTGGATCTATAGATTCCTGCCTTGGAGACAAAAATACCAACAGTAAAAAGTATTCTAATTATGTTAGAGGAGTTCAAGGAAGAGTTTTGATTAAGAAAACTTCACCAGACACCTTGTGTTAGTTATCTACTGATGCACAACAAATTATCCCAAAACTTGGTGGCTTATAAAAAGAAAAATATATTATCCCATGGTTTTGGTAAATCAGGTATCTAAATGTGGCTTAGCTGGGGCCTCTAGCTCAGGGTCTCTCGTGAAGCAGCAACCATGATGTCTACAGCAGCTACAGTCATGTCAGGTCTTGATAGGGGAGGATCCATTTCCAAGCTCACGCATGTGGTTGTTGGCAAGATTCAATTCCTCAAGAGCTGTTGAATTCAGAGCTTCGGGTTTTTTTTCTGGCTGCTGGCTGGAGGCTGTCCTCAGATCCTTGCCACATGACACTTCCATAAAGCAACTCACAATATGACAGCTGGCTTCTCTGTGAGCTAGGGGTGCCAGATAAAATACAGGATGTCCAATTATTCAAATTTCAGATAAAAAAATAACTTTTTTGTATAAGTATGTCCCAAATATTGCACAAGACATACTTATACTAAAAGATTATTCATTGCTTATCTGAAATTCACATTTACCTGGGCATCCTGTATTTTTATTTGCTAAATCTGGCAACCCTACTTGGCATGAGTCAGTTAGAGAGTGAGAGAGGAAGAGCAAGATGTAATCACAGTCTTTCTGTAAGCTAATACTGGAGGTGATACTCCATCATTTTTGCCTTATCTCATTTGTTAGAAGCAAATCATCAGGTATGGACCACCCCCAGGGGGAGGGGATTTCACAAAGGCATGAATTCTGCAACAAAGAGACCATTCTGGGACACCTTAGGGGTTGGCTCATACACAGCCACACCTGTGCAAGGAAATCATATACAAGGAAGAAATTAAAATTAGGCTTATGCTAAAACTTATCTACAGCAACACTCAAACTACAAAACTATGAAACAATGTCTACAAAGTTCTCACGGTGGTAGCAGGGAGGTGGGGAGTAATTGAAATTCAGATATAAAGGCCATGGAAATACATATGATTCTTGACTTATGATGAGGTTACATCCCAATAAACCTATCATAAGTTGAAAATATCCTAAATGGAAAATACATTTTAATACACCTTACCTACTGGTATAGTTTGGATGTTTGTCCTCTCTGAGTCTCATGTTGAAATGTGATCCTGAGTGTTGGAGGTGGAGCCTAGCGGAAGGTGTTTAGGTCATGGAGGTGGATCCTCATGAAAGGCTTGGTGCCCTCCCCATGGTAATTAGTGAATTCTTGCTCTATTAGTTACCATGAGGTCTGATTGTTTAATTAAAAACAAATAATAAAGCCTGGTGTCTCCTCCTCTCTCTTGTGCTCCCTGTCTCACCTTGTGAAATGCCTGCCCCTGCCCTTAGCCATCCTCCATTATTGTAAGCTTCCTGAGGCTTCACCAGAAGCAGATGATAGTGCCATGCTTCTTGTACAGCCTGCAGAACTTTGAGCCAAATGTATCTCTTTTCTTTATAAATTATGCAGTCTCAGGCATTCCTTTATAGCAACACAAAATAGACTGACACACATACCAAATATCATAGCTTATCCTAGCCTACCTTAAATGTGCTCAGAACACTTACATTAGCCTACAGTTGGGCAAAATCATCTAACACAAAACGTATTTTAAAATAAAGTGTTGACTATCTCATGTAATTTATTGAATACTGTAATAAAAGTGAAAAACAGAATGGTTATATGGGGACTTGAACTACTGTTTCTACTGAATGCATATCGCTTTCACACCATCATAAAGTCAAAAAAGCAGACCATCTGTATGTGCAAATCTTCAAGATTTCTGGGTGTAAAGCTGATATGGTTTGGCTCTGTGTCCCCACCAAAATCTCATCTTGAATTGTAATCCCCACGTGTCAAGGGAGGAATCTGGTGGGAGGTGATTGGATTATGGGGGCGGTTTCCCCCATGCTGTTCTTGTGATGGTGAGTGAGTCTCATGAGATCTGATGATTTTTAAAGTGGCAGTTTTTCCTGTGCTCACACTTTACTTCACTCACCTGCCACCATGTAAGACGTGCTTGTTTCCCCTTCCACCATGATTGTAAGTTTCCTGAGGCCTTCCCAGCCATGCCGAACTGTGAGTCAATTTCTTTATAAATTACCCAGTCTCTGGTAGTATCTTTATAACAGTTTGAGAACAACTACTACAAAAGGTTTTAGAGCATTTTCTAAAACAAACAATAAAATGGAAAGAAAAAGTACAGTTCATCATGATGCAGTCTCAAAGGAAAACCATTGATTTCATGCATCAACATACAATGCAAAACTAAAGCTAAATAGTTTTGGGAAATATAAACTTATGCTTACCTTGATAATACATAATAATGTAATTCACGAAACTCATGAATTGGGATGTGGAAAGAAAGTGGGGGATCACATATGTGGGCTGACCTCCTTGTCGTTCATAACAGGGTAGGGAGGGCTGTCAAAAAAACAGTACATAGAGGTGATACATAAAATAATAGAACTGTAAGTATGATTCCATTTATAAGGTTAATCCCAAGAGAAACAATGGAAAATAGTGTAACCAAATTAATCAGTGATGGAAGTATCAGGGTAGAGAGAGAGATAGAAGACAGGAAGAGTATACTATTATAGATGAAATGTTTGTATCTCGCCATCCCTAAATGCACATGTTGAAATCCAAACCCACAAGGTGATAGTATAGAAGGCATGATTTTTGGGAGATTATTATATCATAAAGGTGAAGGCTTTGTGAATGGAATTAGTGTCCTTATAAAAGAGACCCCCAAAACTCCCTTCCCCTCTTTCTGCCATGTGAGGATACATTAAAGAGTCAGCAGTCTGCACCTATAAGAGACCTCTCATCAGCACCCGGCAGTGCTAGCACCCTGATCTCTAATTTTCAGCCTCCAGCACTGTGAGAAATAAATTTTATGTTGTCTGTGAAACACCCAGTCTGTGGTCATTCATTATTTCAGCCTGAACTAAGATATATATCAAGATTCTCATCTCACATAAGGGGAACGTTGGACACTATTTAAAGGTGAAATTCAAGAAAATAAATAAAATAACCACAGCAAGAACAAAAAGTCTTCATAACTTTTCAAGGTATCAGAAGAAAAGAATAGTTAATAAACAAAGGGAACAAATACTGTAGAGTATAAGTTTTTTTTAAAGTAGCATTCAGAATAGAAAAAAATAGAAAAACAAGATGATAAGAATAAAATAAGTTGTCTCATCAATTAACTTACGTCAGACCAACTCACCTTTTAAAATCTTTTATTCCCTTAAATATCAGCAGGCTGTACCAAAAATCAAAACCTGAGGGAGACATTTAAAACAAAATAACCTAAAGAACTGAAAATCGAGGGGTGGTCAATGATACAACAAACAAGTGTAAACCAGAAAAGTGAAAAATCATTATGTTGGACAAGGAAGGGTTCTTTAAAATAATAAAGGATATAGTTTATAACATAATAAACATTCCCCACAAGTTACTACACAGTAAATAAAAATGAATCAGTGTTTGGTTAATAAAATTTACCCTTCGGGGACCAGGCTCAGTGGCTCATGCCTGTAATCCCAGTATTTTGGGAGGCTGAAGTGGGTGGATCACGAGGTCAAGAGATGGAGACCATCCTGGCCAACATGGTGAAACCCCGTCTCTACTAAAAATACAAAAATTAGCAGGGCGTGGGGGCACGTGCCTATAGTCCCAGCTACTTGGAAGGCTGAGGCAGGAGAATCGCTTGAATCCGGAGGCGGAGGTTGCAGTGAGCCGAGATCATGCCACTGCACTCCAGCCTCGTGACACAGCAAGACTCCATCTCAAAAAAAAAAAAAAAAAAATTACCCTTCTGGAGAAACAGAAACTCATTCCCGTTTGAAGATTCAAATACATCTTTCTTAGGGGCTTGATAGATGAAGTAGAATGACACCATGTAGTCCCAAGCCACACAACAAACAAGTCTCACATAATATATAAGAATATATCAGAGTAAAAGAAATAAAAAGTCTTTTCAAAGATTTTTGGAACATTTCAAAGAGTAGAAATAACATAGAGCATTTTTTCTGAACACAAAGCATTAAAAGTATGAAATAACAATGAAGTGAAAAACAGCAACAACAAAAATGCTGCGCTATCTGAAAATTTTTAAACTTTCTCTTAATTCTTTGGCCAAAGAGAGGAACAAAATCAAAATTGCAAAATATCAAGAAAATAAGAAAAATTTAGAAACATTATGTTGATCTTGTCCAGTGAAAACAAAGTCAGTTTCTTTGAAGACATACATATCTTACAACACTGCTTAATGGTTTTTCCACTGCTTTTTAGATGAAGTCAAAACTCTGCAAAGCCTTTCAAGCCCCATATGTGTGGCACGCAGCCTCTAAGATGCCCCCCTCCATGACCTTACCTCCTAGTGCTCACATCTTTGTGTTATCTCCTCTTACAGAATGTGGGCTGGACTCAGTGACTCCCTTCTAACAAACAGAATAAGGCAAAAATGATGGATGTTACTTCTGAGATTAGGTTTTTTTAAAAAGCGTATTCTCTATCTTTCTCTCTTTTTTCTCTCTCTCTCCTTCCCTCTTCCTCTCTATACTCCCTCCCCAAGTCCCCCACTGAAGAAAGCCAGATGCCATATTATGAGTAACCCAATGGCAAGAAAACAAGGTCTCTGGCCAATGACCAGCAAGAACCCAAAGCCTGCTAAAGCCGTGTGAGTTTGGATGTGGATTCTCCCCCAGCCAAATCCTGAGATGACTATAGCTCCAGCCAACCCCTTGATTCAGCCTGGTAGGAGTTCCTGAGTCTGAGGCACCCAGATAAGACAGGTTCAGATTCTTGACCCATAGGAACAACGAGATAATGAAACTTTGTTGTTTTAAGCCATTAAGTTTTGGAGTCATTTGTTATGCAGCAATAGACAACTAATACATCATGCTTCTCTCTCCCCCTGTTAAGTCACTCTCCCTGTATTCACTTGGTCTGAGATACCACCTGGATGCAGACACCTCTGCAGCCTGTGAACAGACAAACAGATCTGTTACTCAATATGGCCATCAAAGGGAAAGAGTAAAGGGCTCATATGAACAATATCTCTTTAAATATTTTTAAATCAATACATTCTCCCTTTTAAAATTCTTATAATGATTCCCCAATCAAAAGAATTGTACAATGAAGGCATATGGGATTCCTTTTTTTTTTTTTTGACATGGAGTCTCATTCTGTTACCACGCTGGAGTGCAGTGGTGGGATCTTGGCTCACTGCAACCTCCGCCTCCTGGATTCAAGTGATTCTCCTGCCTCAGCCTCCTGAGTAGGTGGGATTACAGGCGTGCACCACCACACCCAACTAATTTGTGTATTATTAGTAGAGACCAGGTTTCACTATGTTGGTCAAGCTGGCCTCGAACTCCTGACCTTGCAATCCGCCTGCCTCGGCCTCGCAAAGTGCTGGGATTACAGGTGTGAGCCACCATGCCCAGCCGATTCTTTTAAATATTTATTGGAAACCACATCTGGACACTTGATGCTGTTTTTTTCCTATGCAAATTAAGATCTCATTTGTCTAACTTCCCCTATGGAGATTAGGAATGTGTCATGGTTTGTACCATGCACACTTGGCAAAGCTGAAATTATGTTTTCTCAATGTCCCCCTAACCTGTATGGTTCCACATTAGAGTTGGACAAAAGAGACATTTTCAAGAAATTTGGAGGGAAGAATGGAAGTGTGACTTGTGAAGGCCACCAAGGCTCCAGCATGTTCTTGCTCTCTTCCCTCTGCATCCAGCTCTTCTCCTTGACTCCTGAGCCTGTGGACCAGCAACAGCCTTGAGTTCATCAGCAAATGCTTGGAGGTAGGCCCCTAGAGCAGAAGCTACAGAGGCAGCTTCCCACGGAATTCCACTTGAGCTTTCCATTTGCGGCCCCACCTTGGTGCCTGAATGTGTTTGGGTTCTCATATTAAATGGATGGTGAGTTCTTCTTTGGTTCTCATCCCCTCCCTCCTGGACCTTCGCTTTGCCAATTCCCTACAATTGTGCAAGGTCAAATTCCTCTCCCATAATTCACCATAGTTCTGCTTACCAGCTGAAACCCTGACGGATACAGAAGAACTTGTCATATGAACAAAATCTATACTATCAAGCACTATATGTGCCCAGGAAAAGCAAGCCACCCATGCTCCATGAGGCATAACTGCAGGAAACAAAGAAACCCAGAATGAGAAAAATAAGCTTGATGTTCTTGAGGGGGCAGTCATTTCTCAAACCCAGCAAGAGTGAGGACCCAGGTGAAGATTCTGTTTGTGCCTACTAACTGAACAAGCTGAGTAGTGGCTTTGGAAGAAAGACGTTTCCAGAAGAATTAAAAGAAGGCTTTGAGAGATCTGGACTGTGATCATTTAGACAAACTCATGAGGACACAAACTGAGTGAGGGAGCATCCCTGAGGAAGCTGGCGTCCCAGTTTCTCTGCTGGTTCCCCTTAATATCCTCTTGACACTTTCATCTTCCCTCTCTTAGTACTACAAGCAATAATAAGCCAAGATTTATTTAGCACTTCATATGTGCCATGCAGTCCTCTAAGTACTTTTATGTATATTAACTCATCATTTTCACAAAACCTTGAAAAACATATGGTATTGTCCCATTTTCTTAAATTGAGGTAAAACTCACACAATGTAAAATTCACCATTTTAAAGTGTATAATTCAGTGCTTTTAGTACACTCACAATGTTGTGCACCTATCACCACTATCTAATTTCAAAACATTTGCATCATCCTGCAAAAGCAGTAACACCCCATTCTCCCTTCTAATTCCTGGCAACCATTAATTTGCTTTCTGTCTCTTACTGATTTGCCAATTCTTGATAGTTCATGTCAGTGGAATTGTACCGTATGTGGCCTTTTGTGTCTGACTTCTTTCACTTAGTAGTATAATGTTGTCAAGGTTTGTCTGGTCATGTTGGAGCATGTATCATGACTTAATTCCTTTTTTGGGTAAGTAACGTTCTATTTAATGGAGCATTATTATCCCATGTTTTGTTTATTCATTCATCAGTGGATAGACATTTGGGTTGTTTCTATGTTGGGCTATTATGAATAATGCTGCTATGAACATTGTGTACAAGGTTTTTTTTGAATATACATTTTCTATTCTTTTGGGTATATACCCAGAAATGGAGTTGCTGGGTCATATGCGAATTCTATGTTTAACTGGTTGAGGAACTGCCAAACAACTTTCCACAGTGGGTATACCATTTACATTCCCAAGCTAGCGATGTCTGAGTGCTCCAATTCTCTACAGCCTTGCCAACACCTGTTATTTTCCATTTTTTAATCATAGCCACCTAGTGGGTGTGAAGTGCTATCTTTTGATTTGCATTTCCCTAATGACTACTGATGTTGAGCATGTTTTTATGTACTTATGGGCCGTTTGTATATCTTCTTTGGAGAAATGTCTATACGAGTCCCTTGCCCATTTTCTAACTGGGTTGTCTTGTTGTTGAATTGTAAACGTTCTTTATTGAGGTAAAATTCACATAATGTAAAATTCATCATTTTAAGGTGCAATTCAGTGCTTTTAGTACATTTGCAATGTTACGTACCTATCACCATTATCTAATTTCAAAATATTTGCAATGCCCCTCAAAAGCAGCCCTTTTAGAGTTAAAGAAACCCTACACCCATTAAGCAGTCACTCCCCATTCTCCCTTCTAGTTCCTGGCAACCATTAATATGCTTTCTGTCTCTTGCTGATTTGCATCGGGATACTAGATGCTTATGAGATATATGATTTGCAAATATTTTCTCCCATTCTGTGAGCTGTCCTTTTACTTTCTTTTAGTCTCCATTAATGCACAAAAATTGTAAAATTTGATGAAATTCAATTAGTCTATTTTTTATTTGTTACCTGTGCTTTTGGTTTTTGAAATGAAACCATTGCCTCATCCAGGTCTGTGATGGTTAATATTGAGTGTCAACTTGATTGGATTGAAGAATGCAAAGTATTGTTCCTGGGTGTGTCTGTGAGGGTGTTGCCAAAGGAGATTAACATTTGAGTCAGTGGACTGGGAGAGGCAGACCCACCCTCAATTTGGGTGGGCACCATCTAATCAGCTGCCTTCGAGACTAGAATAAAGCAGGCAGGAGAAGATGGAAGAGCAGACGTGCTGGGTCTTCTGGACTTCATCTTTCTCCCGTGCTGGATGCTTCCTGCCCTCGAACATTGGACCTTAAGTTATTTGGCTTTTGGACTCTTGGACTTACACCAGTGGTTTTCCAGGAGGTCTCAGGCCTTTGGCCACAGACTGAAGGCTGCACTGTTGACTTCCCTACTTTTGAGGTTTTGGGACTCAGACTGATCCAACACTGGCTTCCTTGCTCCTCAACTTGCAGACGGCCTATCGTGGGACTTTACCTTGTGATTGTGTGAGTCAATTCTCCTTGATAAACTCCCTTTTATATATACATATATCTTATTAGTTCTGTCCCTCTAGAGAACCCTGACTAATACAAGGTCCCAAAGATTCACATTTATGTTTCCTTCTAAGAGTTTTATTGTTTTAGCTCTTACATTTAGATCTTTGTTTCATTTGTAATTAATTTTTGTAAATGATATTATACAAAGATTACACATAGACATCCAGTTGCCCCAGCGCTCTTTGTTGAAAAAAACTATTTCTTCCTCTATTGAATGGTCTTGGTATCCTTGTGAAAAATTAATTGACCATGGATGTGGAGATTCATTTCTGGAATTTTAATTCTAATTTACTAATCTATATTTCTAGCTTTATGCTAGGACCACACTGTCTTGATTACTGTAAATTTGTATGAACTTTTGAAATCTGGTTGTGTGTTCTTGGAGTACCTTGCAATTTCTTTTGAATTTTAGAATTAGCTTTTTAATTTCTGTATTATTATCTTAACAGTATTAAGTCTTCCTCTCTGTGAGTATAAGATTTTTTTCATTTATTTAGATATTAATTTCTTTCAACAGTGTTGGTAATTTTTAGTATACAAGTCTTGAGCCTCCTTTATTGAATTTATTCCTAATTATTCTATTCTTTTTTTTTTGAGATGGAGTCTCGCTTTGTCGCCCAGGTGGGAGTGCAGTGGTGCTATCTCAGCTCACTGCAAGCTCCACCTCCTGGGTTCACACCATTCTTGTGCCTCAGCCCCCTGAGTAGCTGGGACTACAGGCACCCGCCACCACGCCTGGCTAGTTTTTTGTAGTTTTATTAGAGACAGGGTTTCACTGTGTTAGCCAAGATGGTGTCGATCTCCTGACCTCATGATCCGCCTGCCTCTGCCTCCCAAAGTGCTGGGATTACAGGCGTGAGCCACCGCACCCAGCCATATTTTATTATTTTTGATGTTATATAAATGAAATCATTTTCTTAATTTCATTTTCAGGTTATACATTGCTAGGGGATAGGAATATAGTTGATTTTTGTATGTTGATCTCGTGTCCTGCAACTTTGCTGAACTTGTTAGTCCTGATCATTTTTTGTAGGTTATTTAGGGTTTTCTATAAATAAGAATATATTACTCATTGAGTACCTATGGATGCAAATTGGGAACAGCCACCGGGGACTTCTTGAAGGTGGAAGGTGGGGGGAGGATGAAGATGCTTATTACTTGTGTTTGAAATGCTTGTTCCCTGGTGCTGTAAAGAAATAGCCCTTGAATATAAATTTAATTTCCTCAGCAAGGCCATTTTTATACTTTCTGCAGAAAGGGTACACTTGCCAGCAGTTTTGCCACTAAAGTACACTGGACAAAGGAGACAGGGTCGTTTATAACCTGACACGTCCACCCTACCACTGTGTCTGGTTTCCATTGGCTGGAATGGGACCTCACATTCTGCATTTGTCCCGACTGGCTAGCAACTTAGAACTTTTTAAAAGAGGCAAAGGCAGAGGAGAACAAAGGAAGGAGGAAGTAACTTGTGGAATGCTGAGAAAGGTAAAAATACCTTCAAATAAGGAAGAGGAATGGGCTACGACCTAATGCTTGCTTGGACCAGTATAAGCATGCCAGGGCAAATATTCAGGCTAAACTGTGGGAACTAAGAGCATAAAGTACATTGATTTCTTTATTACGGCTAGCAGATATTTAAGAATGTTAGCACAGGTCTTTGAATACATTTTGCTTCTAAGAGAAGTTACTATTTATTCCTAATTAGATGGGGAAGAAAGTCTTTGAAGAGGAACCTCTACTTTACTTTTTATACTTGGGTGACAAAATAATCTGTACACCAAATCCCTGTGACATGCAATTTACATATGTAACGTGTATACCCTTTAACCTAAAATAAAAATTTTTAAAAAGAATATGTTATCTACAAACAGAGAGTTCTGCGTCTTCCTTTCCAATTATGATGTCTTTTATTTATTTGTCCTGCCTAATTGCCCTGCTAGAACTTCCAACACAATGATGAATAGAAGTGATGAAAGCAGATATCCTTGTCTTTTTCCTCATCTCTGGGGGAGAGTTTTCAGTCATTCACCATTAAGTATGATGTTAGCTGTGAGATTTTTATAGATTTCTTTTATGATTGAGGAAATTCCCTTTTATTCCTAGTTTGTTGAGTCTTTTTTTTTTTTTATCATTAAAAGGTGTTGAGTTTTACCAAATGCCTTTTCTGCATCAATAGAGATAATTATGTATTTTCCCCTTTATCCTATTAATATGGTTTATTACATTGATTGATTTTCACGTGTTGAATAACACTTACTCCCATTTTGTAGGCAATAAAATTGAGATTCAGAGAGGTAAAATAGTTTGCCTGGATCTGAGATATAACCTCAGGGAATTTGATTCCAGGGGTTAAGCTTTTAAGGACTATTCTGTACATAGTCTTTAAATTGCAGAATGTCCCAAAACACAAGCTTAAATTTATTAATTATTTGCTTTAAAATGTACTGCCTATTTTAGGGTTTTAGTTAAGATTTGTTTGTTTTAGTGTGGCATCATAACCAGAGAACCATAAATGGTTAGGAGAACCAGAGAACCTCCTAACTGAGGGAGCTATATTCTAGACACGATGGTGGGAAAAGAAAAAAATGAAATAAAGGATAGTGTCCAAGGATAAAAATAAAATCTTCAGACAGAAAGTGCAAGTTACTCACAAAGCAAAAACAATCAGGCAGACCTTAGACTTCTCATCTGCCACACACTGAGTACATTGAGAGAATACAACTGCATCCTATCCCCTTTTCAAGGCCTAGCCACCATTTCTGGAGAGAAACATTTAAGAAGCTGAGATGAAACTATGTAGCTTTTTGTAGATGACATGATTATATTTCTGGAAAATTCAAATGTCTAAGTTAAAAAACTATAAGTAAAAAGATAACGTAAGGTCATTAGACAATTAGATACAGGATACATGTATAAATAACAGCCCTTAAAGCACTAGCAACAAATACTTAGAAATAATATTTTTTAAAAACTTCATTCACTGTGAAATATGTAGGAATAAATTTAAGAAGAAAGGGATAGAACCTACATCTTAAAATGTATAAAATATTACTGAAAAATATAAAACAAGATCTGAACATATGGAAATAGTTATGATAATAATAATAATTACTAGCACTAATACAACATTTATATGACAGATATTATAGTAAATGTTTTACTTATCATGTTTTGGATGAGGATACTTAATGTTACCAAATGTCCATTTTCCCTAAATTAATGCTTAAATTTATTGCAATCTAACTAGTGTCCCCACAGGCGTTTTTTTAATTAAATAAACTACTTTATATTTTCATTTGGTAGAATAAATGCATTTGGCAGAGAACAGCCAATAAAATAAGCGAGAGAGGCCTAGTGAGGAAAGTTGTCTTACCAGACATCAGAACATTATAAATTCAGTGTCATGAAACCACCATGGTGTTTTTATACAAATATACAAGCAGATGAGTGAAATCGAAATAAGAACCTGAATTAGTTCCTAGTATACATTTAACTTTGATGTGGTAAATGCAGTATTTTAATTATATGTAAAAGAATGGTTAATATCTAATAGGCATGCTTCCTATTGCTTGGGCATAGAGGAAGTAGAGTGGCAGAAAATATCTGAACAGGTCTGTCCCAAAAAGGCAGGTCTTGCCTAGGTCTCTTTATCAAACAGACAGAGGGAGCAAGGGTAAAGAATTGTAACACAGTGACCACTTCCACTAATGTCCATGGAACAAACAGTGTCCTGGGATTCTGACCTATCAGAATAGGGTCTCTTTTCTCTTTGTATGTTGTGGAGGTAGGGTTGGGGAGAAAAGCCACAAAGGGGATTGTCAGAAGTCTAACTGCCTGAGGTGTCCTTTGTGCCTGTTGCACAAATAAAGACTATGGCATTGCAGTAAAGAAAGAGTTGAATAGACATGAGGCCAGCCATGCCTTTTGGGAGATGGAGTTAGTACTCAAATTAATCTCATCCAAGGCTCACAGGTAGGGGTTTTTCAAAGGCGTTTTAGGGGAAAAGGTGGGGCTGAAATGTACCTAGGTAATAGAAGCACCTCTGTAATGGGTGTATAATAGAAGCACCTCTCTAATAGGTGCTTGCTGCTGATTGGTTGGGGCTGAAATAAAATTATAAGGAGCTGAAGCTGACCTCTTGAGCTGAATCACTTCTGAGTGGGTCCACAGGAGTGGGGTTGGCAGGTCCAGGTGGAGCCATGGGTGTCAGACATGCCAAAAAAACGAACAAACAATAAACCCTGAAAGGATGTCTTAAAAGGCCAATCTACAGTAGTGGTGTTATCCACAGGAATGGCTGGCAATTGTTTATGTCTACACCTTAGCAGAATCGCTTCTCTCCTCCTCCTAGCCTGATTAGCTGTACAAAGCCAGCTGAGTTTTGGTGAAGGCCTATTATCATTTAAACTATAAACCAAATGTCTCCCAAAGTTAGCTTAGCCTAAGCCCAAGAATGATTAAGGGAAAGGCAAGATGGAGGGTGGGTTAAATCAGATCTCTTTTACTGCCATGATTTTCTCACTGATACAATTTTTGCAAAGTCAGTTTCAGAAGGAGAAGCACGAAGAAAGGATGGAAATTTCACCTTTTTCACTGAGAAGAGGAGGAAGTTTGGGGACAGAGGCAGAATCATCACCTCACTTGCAGTCCACACTATTTTTTATTTTCTTTTAAGCCAGCGGCTCAACACACAATCCATGGTAAATAGGAATATGGTTGTTCCCACAGGAAGGTAAGCAGTTCCGTCCCCACTTCCTGAGCCTACTCCTGGGGAATCACTACCCCACCTTTGTACCATCTTTGAAACCGTGAGAGGAGCAGTATATCTATGGCCCATGGAAGTCTCTGAAGGAGGTACAAAATATACTTTAATCAAACATTTTCCAAAGCCGTAGAATACAGCACACCAAATACTCACATTCTAGTCTACTTTTGTGATATTGTGATTTATAATAAGATATATATGTATTTTATCTTCTTTCTTTCCTAAAACCCTTGTAACCTCCAGAGTGATAAGAGAGTCTTTTATATGCTAATGAGTAGACTGATGGCTGTCAGCCTCTAGATAGCTTCAGGATGGGGCTATTCATCAGAAGTACCAACCATGGCAGGATTAGAGAGAGGGCTTGAAGTTCCAGCCCAGCCTCCAACCTCCAGAAACGGAGAGGGGCTGAAGCTTGAGTTGAACACCAATGCTCAATTATTTATTCAGTCCTGCCTATCAAGAGAAGCCTTTATGAAAATCCAAAAGGGCGGGGTTCAGAGAGTTTTTGAATAGCTAAGCATGTGGAGGTTCCTAGAAGGTGACCCAGAGAGGGTGTGAACCCTCTGTACCCCTTCCCAGCTGCTTTGCTCTACAAATCCTTTCCATTGGCTGTTCATTTTTATCCTTCATAATATCCATTATGATGAATGGGTAAATGTAAGTAAAGTATTTCCCTGAGTTCTGTGAGCCATTCTAGCAAATCAACCAAACCTGAGAAAGGAGTTATAGGAACCTCTGATTGATAGCCAGTTGGTCATAAGTATATATGACAACCAACTAGTTGCTACTAGCATCTAAAGTTGGAGACAGTTTTGTAGGACTGAGCCCTTAACCTGTGGGAACTGGTATAGATCTACTCCAGGCAGATAAGGTCAGAATTGAGTTGAATGAGAGGTCACCCAGCTGGTGTCTGCTGGAGGATTGCTTGGCGTGTGGGGAAACAGGCCTCCACACATCTGGTGTCAGAAGTGTTATGGTGAGTGAGACAGTGAAAGCAGAAAAAAACACTTTTTTTTTCTTCCTGTCTGTGATAACTTTCCATCTCAAAGTACGGTGCAGCCTATTTGACCAATACAGTATCCCCCAAGATTATAGCCCAAGTAACAAAATAAGGATGTCTAAATTTTTAACAGAAAACCAAAAAGAAACCAAGGTCTAAAAATGAAATCCTCTTTCTCTTCTAGAAATAAATGGTCTCAATTTATTTATAATGTCAGATTCTCTCCTATCCAATTTCTCATTATGCTTTAACCGGCAAAAAGGTCTCACTCTAACTTCTTGGCCATACACTGAGTTTCTTAGTTTCTTTGGTACTTCTAAAGTGGAATTGTTAGAGTAGGCAGATAGCTAGACATGAGCAGGATGGAGAGTCCCTGAGAAAAGTGGGGTCTGGAAAATCTCACATCCCAGAGATCACACAAAACAAGCATACTAGATATAAGCAGAGAAGAGGGGAAATATCTATGCAGAAAAAAATGTCAGTAATCTTTCACTCTGCAGTTAACCTGTCAGAATGTAGCTAGCTATATGCTAATAGGGATGGAAAGAGGGCAAAGGAAAAAAAAATCCCAGGAGATACACAGGTGCAGTATGTACAGGTTTAACCACTATATGACCTTACTGGGGTGGCAGTAATGAGCAACACTCTCATTAGGTAGAATTTATATCCAACACCAGGCCCGTGCATGCATGTGCATCAACTGACAGTAAGGGAGACTCCTACTAACCTGGGAGCAGGAACTAGGTGGGGAAAAGGCAGAGTCTTAGGACAGAAGCAGGAAAACTAGACAAACACAAAGGCAGAGACTGAAAACAGAGGTGGGAACTTAAATAAAAAAATCTGGCATAATAAAAACCACAGTGGAGAACTCTTACTGCTGCTGGCTCACTCTCTCTTTTAAGCAGCCCACTCTGACTCATCTTTCAGAGTATACGGTCTCTTTAAATAAGCACTGCTACTGGTACTTTTCCAGCCACACAAGCTCGCTCTTCTCTTGGAGTGTACTCTTATCTCCTTAATAAACCTTTTGCTTTACGTTACTAAATGTCTCTTGGCTGAATTCTTTCTCCCAAGTTAGACGAGAACTGAGGATTCCCACACTTCCTGGTAATAGAATTAATTCAATCCTAAACTCTCACATGTCCTACTTGCCAAATGCATAAAAGGTCAGCATACAGAACAGGCATTCTTTCTTATGTGCTCTGCTTCCCTTCCTTTTGGTAACTGACTTCCCAGCCCTTGTGTGATGGGGCTGTCAATCCAGGTGGCTTTGCATCTTCTACCACAGAGTTAGGCATATCACGAAGAGGGGTCATTTGCAAACTCATTCCCACAATCCAAACACGTTGATTGGTTTTAGTTTGGACTCAAGACCCAAGCAAGATGAATCAAAGCCCTTTGGGGAGATTTACGTAAATGCATCCTATAAAACATTGCTTTTCTTTAGAAGGCAAAATTTCCAAAGACAACATAAGCTTACATTACATGTAAGCAGTGATGGAGCTACAGGTCTAAGATGAGGACAGAATTCTGTTATCATATGGACAAAGCTTAACTAAAAACAAAGACAAGCAGAGACAAATAGCTGAGTGATGGGGAGAGACAGACAGCAATAAAGACAGAGAATTCTGAAGATATTGTACAAACCCTGCAGACATTCCAACCTGCAGCTTGAGCCACCCTAAGATTCCCCTAGTTCCATGAACCAATCACTTTCCTTATATTGCTTAAACTGGTCGAGGAGGATTTCTACCTCCTTTAACTCAAAGAACCTGAATAGTTGAGTCAATGAGATATGCATGGTTTCTAAGTGCAAGAGACCCCACCACCACCTGCACCCCATACACACACACACACACACACACACACACACACATACATACACACAATGTAGACCATGTATATGCCTGCTGCAGAAATAGCATTTTCTATGTAATAGCAGTGGTGTCACATTGCTAGTCTGGAGCCACAACAGCAACCGTGTTGTCTGGGGTGGGGAGATAGACAGAGAAGGCTGGAAGGAAAGGATGGAGAAAGCTTGGTTTCAGTTTTGCCAGGAATCATCCTGTGGGCTTAAAATTGACTGGCAGAAATCCCCCAGGAAGTTAATTATGCTGTGATATGGTTTGGATCTGTGTCTCCAGCAAGTCTTATGTTGAATTGCAATTCCCAGTGTTGGGGGTGGGGCCTGGTGGGAGGTGATTGAAGCATGGGGGTGGATTTCTCATAAATGGTTTAGCACTCTCCCCGCTTGGTTCTGTCCTCACAATAGCCAGTGAGTTCTTCTAAGATTTGGTTGTTTAAAAGTGTGTAGCAACTACACCCTCTAGCTCTTGCTGCTGCTCCCACCATGTGAGATGCCTCACACCCCTTTGCCTTCTGCCACAACTGAAAGCTTCCTGAGGCGCCCCCAGAAGCCAAGCAGAGGCTGCCATGCTTCCTGTACAGACTGCAGAACAATGAGCCAATGAAACCTCTTTTCTCATTAGTTGCCCACTCTCAGGTATTTCTTTAGAGCAATGCAGGAACAGACGAATACACGCTGCCATCAACTTTTTATGAGATTTCTAGAAACCCAAAACTTTCTTAGCCTTATGTGCTGCTTTTGGAGCAACCAGAACCTGTCTTTAGAGACCCAGAAACTTCTGCAGGTTCCTCCCTGAAACTTTGTCTTTTCTGAGATTCTTCCAGCCTTATTTAATTCACTAGTCCAAAAACAGGACATATATTCCTTTCTCTCTCCTTTTTTCTTGACTGCTTGACCTCTTCTTAGACACCTAAGGGTCTCTCAGTTCTGAAAGAGAGAATTAATTCCAGGGCAGCCAGTCCTGAGCACAAAATTCATCCCTAAAATTTGTACTTTGAAGTAAGCCCTCCCTGCCTTTCCCCTCCAATACAAGTCCTTCCTTCCCCGCATGCACTCTATGTTGAGAAGAAATAAAGCCATTTCTTTTCTATATATATATATATATATTTTTTTTTTTTTTTTTAAGACAAGACTTCACTTTGTCACTCAGGCTGGAAGTGCAGTGGTGTCACCTCGGCTCACTGCAGCCTTGGCCTCCGGTTCAAGCAAATCCACTGCCTCACCCCCGCCAAGTAGCAGGGACTACCAGCATGCACCACCACGCCTGGCTAATTTTTGTATTTTTAGTAGAGACGGTTTCACCGTGTTGCCCAGGCTGGTCTCAAACTCCTGAGCTCAAGCGATCCACCTGCCTCGGCCTCCCAAAGTGCTAGGATTACAGGCATGAGCCACTGTTCCCAGCCCATCTCTTTTCACTCATTAAAGAATCTCTCTATTCTGGGCCATAATCAGAGGCCTGTTATTTCAAAGTGAGATCGAGGACATGCTTCACTTGGCCCCAATTATTCCTCTCTCTTGGTAAGTCTGTTTATCAGGTTAGCTGTCAAGGCTGGGCAGAGCTGAACTCTAGAAATGGTTCCAGAGCTTCGATATCTCCAAGTGGTGTTTTGTCCCTAAATCCTCATCTCTGTGCATTTGCCCACTTGGCTCTGGATGAGACACTAATACATTAGTGATCTGTTATAATGTTATCATATTATTATATCCAGGGCCCATAAATACCCAGATATTGCTGAGGGGCCTATAGTAGGAACAATAGCAGAATTCTAAGCAAAGGTACTTCTTACTTAAAAGATGAAAAGCATATGCTATGTCCACTGTAGGGCTTTCTGACACAGCTAAATAGAAAATGCTGCATGGGCTCCTTGCTTCTTCCCTTTCTGAACTCAATATGATCAGAGTTTCAGAGCCATCCCCAAACCACTCACCCAATTGTAGGTGCAGAGGAAGTAGATGAGAAAGAGAGATCTGGTTAGCCCTCCCAGCCCTGTCTGCTTGCCACATGCACCCTGGAAGGGTCAGCTCCTGCATGCTGAGCCTTGCGCTCATAGTGATTCTGCCTGGTAGTAACGCTGGCCTAAAAGTATTTATTTATTTGTTTATTTATTGGTCTAGTTATTATTTACTGATCACCTAATACATATTAGGTACTGTTCTAGACATTGGGGACGTAACAGGACGATAAAGTTGCTCCTACCACTGAGCTTACATTATTATGGGAGAAATAGACTACAATCGAATAAGCTAATGAAAAATATTAAAATGTGGGAGGTGATTTAAAGGAAATTAACACGGTACTACACTGGTAAGTAAATGACAAGGGTGCTGGAATGACTTGGATGAGTCATGAAGGCCTTTCATAAGAGACATCTGAACTAGATTTGATGAATGAGAAGGTGCCAGTTGTGCAAGAAGTCAGGCGAAGCACACTTGAATAGAAATATCATGTGCAAGAAAGATGTTAGCACATTCTCAGAATAGTCAGTGGGGCTGGAGCATGGAGGGTGAGAAGGAGGGTTCTATGAGTGAAGTGGGAGAGGCACTAAAGACAGACCAACGTGGAGCTGACAAGGTCATTATGAATATGGTGAGAACTTTGGAGTTTATTCTAAGAGCATGGGGAAACCATTGGAAGGTATTAAGCAAGAGAGAGAAGGAGAAAATCTGATATATCTTTTAAGAGGATTACTATGGCTTCTGTGTGGATATTAAACTGAGAAAGATGAAAGAGGATACATGTTTGAAAACTAAAGCAAAAGTCCAACTGGGTTCCAAACTCTGAGAAATAAAATCAGCAAGTCTTTCTCCCTTGTGGGTAGAGGAGATGGGAAAACTGGTGGTCAAAGAAAAAAGTATGGGGAGAGGGTACAGAAGTCCACTGTCTACTAGCCTACAGGATTATATGCAAAACCCTTACCCTAATATACAATGAAAAGATATTATGTGCTTTGTGCTTGTGATTTAGTTTCACAAAATCCCTTTGCAAAGATTTCCCTATCTTACAGATAGGAAAACTGAGGCTTAGAGAGGTAATTTTTTTTCCTTCTGCTTTTATTCTTTTTTTTTTATTATACTTTAAGTTTTAGGGTACATGTGCACAACGTGCAGGTTTGTTACATATGTATACATGTGCCCTGTTGGTTTGCTGCACCCATTAACTCGTCACTTACATTAGGTATATCTCCTAATGCTATCCTTCCCCCCTCCACCCCACAACAGGCCCTGGTGTGTGATGTTCCCCTTCCTGTGTCCATGTGTTCTCATTGTTCAATTCCCACCTATGAGTGAGAACATGCGGTGTTTGGTTTTTTGTCCTTGCGATAGTTTGCTGAGAATGATGGTTTCCAGCTTCATCCATGTCCCTACAAAGGACATGAACTCATCATTTTTTATGGCTGCATAGTATTCCATGGTGTATATGTGCCACATTTTCTTAATCCAGTCTATCATTGTTGGACATTTGGGTTGGTTCCAAGTCTTTGCTACTGTGAATAGTGCCGCAATAAACATACGTGTGCATGTGTCTTTATAGTAGCATGATTTATAATCCTTTGGGTATATACCCAGTAATGGGATGGCTGGGTCAAATGGTATTTCTAGTTCTAGATCCCTGAGGAATCGCCACACTGACTTCCACAGTGGTTGAACTAGTTTACAGTCCCACCAACAGTGTAAAAGTGTTCCTATTTCTCCACATCCTCTTAGAGAGGCAATTAAATGGTCAAATATCACCCAGTTTATGTGCTACACAGATTTTTTTTTTTTTTAGACTGAGTCTCGCTCTGTCACCCAGGCTGGAATGCAGTGGGCAATCTCGCCTCACTGCAACCTCCGCCTCCCAGTTTCAAGCAATTCTCCTGCCTCAGCCTTCTGAGTAGCTGGGGTTACAGGCATGCACCATCACACCCGGCTAATTTTTGTATTTTTAGCAGAGACAGGGTTTCACCATGTTCGTCAGGCTGGTCTTGAACTTCTGACCTCGTGATCTGCCTGCCTTGGCCTCCCAAAGTGCTGGTATTACAAGTGTAAGATACCGTGCTGGGCCCTTTTTTTTTTTTTTTTTAGATGGAGTTTCACTCCTGTTGTCCAGGCTGGAGTGCAATGGCACGATCTCAGCTCACTGCAACCTCGCCTCCCAGTTTCAAGCATTTCTCCTGCCTCAGCCTCCTGAGTAGCTGGGACTATAGGCATGCACTACCACATCGGGCTAATTTTGTATTTTCAGTAGAGATGGGGTTTCACCATGTGGGCCAGGCTGGTCTCAAACTCCCGACTTCAAGTGATCCGCCTGCCTTGGCCTCCCAAAGTGCTGGGTTTACAGGTATGAGCCACTGTGCCTGGCCAACACAGACTTTTTAACACCTTGATTGAGCTATCATTGGCATCCAAACATCCACACATATTTAATGTGTATAATTTGGAGTTTGGATATATGCAAATGCCTGTGGTACCATCGCCACAATTAAGGTAAAACATATATCCGACACCTTTCAAAGTTTCCTTGTTTCTCTTTGGGTTTTGGATGGGCGGGGGTTGTTTGTTTGTTTGTGGTAAGGAACACACTGAACATGAAATCTTCCCTCTTAACAAATTTTGAATTTCATGACACTGTATTGTTTACTCTAGTATACTATATTACAGT
Source organism: Homo sapiens (assembly GCF_000001405.40). Taxonomy (NCBI): domain Eukaryota; kingdom Metazoa; phylum Chordata; class Mammalia; order Primates; family Hominidae; genus Homo; species Homo sapiens. Next base: position 11,033,612 of record NC_000017.11, on the reverse strand, counting down.
GTAACCATAGGCACTATATTATACAGCCGATCTCTAGAACTTACTCATCTAGCATAACTAAAACTTTTCCCCATTGAACAACAAGTTATAATTTCTCCCTCCCAGCAGTCCCTGGCAACAACTATTGTATTCTCTGCTCTGTGTCTATTATAGATACCTCGTTTAAGTGGAACCTCATGCGGTATTTGTCCTTCTGTGACTGGGTTTTTTCACTTAACATGATGTCTGTACGGCTCATCCATGTTGCTGCAAATGACCAGATATTTTTGTTTAAGGCTGAATAGTGCTCCATAATATGTATATGTCACATTTTCTTATCTATTCATCTGTGGGAGACACTTGGTGATTTCCGTACCTTGGTTATTGTCAATAATGCTGCAAAGAACATGGGTTTTGAGGGGTTTTGTTTGTTTGTTTGTTTGTTTGTGGTAAGTTTGTTTGTGAGTTTGTTTCTGGGAGTGCAGTTATTTCTTCGAGATATTTATTAGATTTCCTTTGTATGTAAGGAAAGGAAACTACTTTACATGGGGCAGGAAAGTCAGAAGCAGGATTGCTGGATTATATGGTAGCTCTATTTTTAATTTTCTGAGAAACCTCCATATTGTTTTCCGCAGCAGCTGGGCCATTCTGTATTTCCACCAACAGTGCAAAGGTTCCAATTTATGCAGATGTGTTTTGAAGCAGGATCATCGAATAGCAAAGTCCCTGGTCTTTCAGCTCCATTACTCCCTCTCCTCATCATCTGCTCCCGTAGACATTCAACACTCTTTCCTAAAACGAGCTTACCACACAAATGGCCTGTGATGGAGATTTATAGTGCTCCCCAGTGGTCCCAGCTCTCCACTCCTTCCTGGGCACCCAGCACAATACACTTCTTAGCTCCGTGGCAAGTTGGAAAGGGCCAGTGACCAGTTTTGGCCAATAAATGTAAGTGGAAGTGGCAAAGGTCACCTGTGCAAGGATGGAGTGAAAAACCTCTGTACTCTTTCTTCCCTAACATAGGAAATCTGCAAGCCACCAGTACTGCCTTACAAAAAAAGGTGCTTCCCCTTCCTCCAACCCCATATGCAAATCCCAACATACCAGATGTGAAAGCAAGAAGGAATGGAAAGAGAAGTCTACTCACAGGTCCCATTCTGAGGCCTCCAGCCAAGGTCGGTGGAGAAGTTGGGAACAAATGAGAATGAGATTGAAGCTCCCGCTGTGTTCTTTGTATTCTTTAATACCAGAAAACGATGAGAAGACTGACGGGTCTGACAGAGATGTTCATAAGGGAGAGAAAGGAGAAACGGGGTGGAGCATTTTGAAGAAGTGATTGGACAGAAAAACAAATTTTTGGTTATTCTAGGCCCAGTTTGGTTCAAATTAGAGTAATTACAAAGCCAATGACAGTTAATATCTACGGGGGGCTAACTACGTATCTGGGGCTGGACGAAGCCCTAAAACTGTCACCTTACTTTGCAGGGGACGCCATGGTGAAAACACTGCAGAGAGACCATTATGTGAGTTGCCACTGTCATGTTGCTGTGTCTCAATGAGCAAATAGAAGTAGCCCTGCCTCAGAGGCCACATTCTTCACAAGGGTCAAGATTCACACTTGCCATCCCAAAGCTTCCCACTAGGTGTGCTGTGGCATGCAGACAGCCTTGGCTGGTTGCAGGCATACCGCGTAAGCTGAAGTCTGGGTCAGCTGAAACCTCTGGCTTGAAGAGCCTCATCTCTTTATCCCAATGGGTTGTAACATTTTTTCTCTAAAATCTATGGTGTGAAGAAAGTATAACAAGCATTGCAACAGGGGTAAAGCAGGAATAATAATTATTTAAGCATCTGCTCCAGAGCAGGTTTTCCATATTCCAGTCACATGAGTTATCTCTTTTGATCTTCCTAATAACCCTGGGAGGGAGAGACTAGTTCTTCTCCTTGCAATAAGGATGTTAGGCTCAGAGAAGTGAAGTAACATGCCCATGGTCATGAAGCTGGAGAGAGTTGGAGCTGAGATTCAATCCCAGGTCTTCTCACTCAATATTATTAATGCCATGAGATTGCCCACAACAGCATCAGCTGGAGGCTCACAGCCAGGCTCCTGGGGTTGCCTCCTGCTGAGGCTGAACAATAGCTCAGATAGATCTGAAGAGCGGAGGTCAGAGTCAGCCGGCAATCAGCACCACTGTAGGCACATAAACAACAACTACAGCAAGAAGTGACATTAATACTTGTAATTCCAAGCAAATATCCAAAGAGGCTGATAAGGCATAAGTGAAAGAACTTGAAGGTAAGAAATGTCCACAGCTCATACCCATTAGGAACCCCCTTTGTCTTGTGCCTGAGATTTTCTGTGGTTTACATGGGGCAGAAGCCAGGTTGAGAAGAGGGGATGAGAGTTCCCAAGAGGACTTTCTTGTAGGACTTGCAGGACCAGGTAATAGTGGTTCCTGCAAAAAATTTGCAGCAGTTTCTGGTTAGCAAACCTGACATGCTACATGAAGGGAACATGAGGATAACAAATTAAGCCATCTCATGAAGACCCTCAAGGGTAAGCTTCCTAGGATCTTCTTCTTCTTTTATGTACTGATTCTAGTGAGAATAAGAAGTGAGCAGCCAGGCCGGGTGCGGTGGCTCACGCCTGTAATCCCAGCACTTTGGGAGGCCGAGGCGGGCGGATCACGAGGTCAGGAGATCGAGACCATCCCGGCTAAAACGGTGAAACCCCGTCTCTACTAAAAATACAAAAAATTAGCCGGGCGTAGTGGCGGGCGCCTGTAGTCCCACCTACTTGGGAGGCTGAGGCAGGAGAATGGCGTGAACCCGGGAGGCGGAGCTTGCAGTGAGCCGAGATCCCGCCACTGCACTCCAGCCTGGGCGACAGAGCGAGACTCCGTCTCAAAAAAAAAAAAAAAAAAAAAAAAAAAAGAAGTGAGCAGCCAAACGGAAGAGGAAAATCAGAACCTACTCTCTCCCCCTTCATAGTTATAGATTAAGGGACAAGATAATGGTCCTAGTTAGGGAAAGAGTGCACTGAGTTTCAAGAAAGCTATTGCATATGCTGTCTGATATGACTGATAATGAAGGGCCATTAACTTCTCTTTTGTGATTTTGGACTCAAGTAGAAGAGGTTGGGTGAGCCAGATTAAATTAATTAAAGAGTGCACACATTCAAATACACACACACTTTATTTACACACATTTGCACCACCATTCTTACCACCCCAAATCTTGCAGTTACCATGGAGGACCAATTGAGGTGAGACCTACATTGCTGGATCAATTTACAGCTTGAGAGTAATATGGATTTCCACTAATCTACTCTTTTTGTTATTTTATTTTTTCCTTTTTGACACTTGTTCTCACCCTTCTGCAGACAGCTAATCTGTGTTCTTTCCTCTGTGTGTTTGTCACTTATTAAACGATACATTCGTGCATTCTTTAGACACCAGTTGAGTACCTTTTATGTCTTATGCTAGTACCAAAAAGATGAATAAAATGCAGTTCTCCTCTGTGGCTGCAACACTGGTGTTTGGTTTCACAAATGCTCTACTTTCTGCCAAGTAAACATGATTCTAATTGGTAGATGCTGTGTTGTTTGTCATGCAAATGTGATTTCACTTTGAACAGGATTTCGAATTGATGATTGAAGTCATTTTTCATCGTAAAAGCATTACATGCGCATGTGCACACACACAATATTTTCTTCATCCTCAAATGCAGGCATTCTGCCAAACATTGATGGGGATGGCCATCTTCTTTTGAAATTAATTAAAACCACTTATAATTAAATAAATTGGATGCATAGCAATACTTTTCATAATGCCAGTATTAACTTTCATGGTTTGGCTCATCTTCCTTTCATTTCATTTCTTTTCAGCATCATTTTATGCTTCGAGGCTCTGGAATGACAGAAAAGCCAGAATATCAATAGCCAACATTTAAGAAGCACTCATTTTTTTTGCCAGGCTCTGTTCTTAACATTTTGTATGAATCTAATCATCTAATCCCCACAAGAACCCTAGCAGGTATATAATGTGTTATCTCTGCTGAATGGAGGAGGAAACTGAGACACACAGAGTTTAACTTGCTCAAGGCCACGTAACTAGTGATTTGTTAGAAGTGAGATTCAAACCCACATTGCCTGACCCCAGAGCCCATTTCTTGGCTATTATGCTACATTGCATCACAAAGCAAAATTGAACACTGCCAGTGCAAAGGCTGAAGGAAAAAGAAGTCCCCAGACAGGCAGAATTGAAAGCTTTCTCCTTAACATGAGCAGAAAACTGAAATGAGCATAATTTGACAGATAGGGCCGAAGCTTACTCGAAAGTTATTCTTACTTGTCAAAATAAAATGCTTCCCCGTGCACAAGCACGCTTACTGCAACTACACACACCATATGAACCTATGTATAAGCATCCCACATTATAGGTATTTTTAAATTATAAAATTTAGAAATCAAATAGCAAAGAATATAAAATTTAAAAACTACAGTTACTAACATAAACTTCATTGGCTAGGGACATCTTGCTGAAACTAAATTGCCATATCCAGTGTGACAATGGTCCTAACTGCCACAGGGAGGTCCTTCTGAGCCCACACATCTAGATTGCCTTGTGCTGTATGATCACTCCATCCTCCCACTGGCTTTCTTGACTGGGACTATCAGGAAACCTTTGTTCACATAGAGAGCCAAGGCACCACTTGGCCTCACTTGTTGGAAGTGCCTCCATTTTGTATAAAAGTATACTGTCGTTCTTTACTTAGTAATCTACAAAATGAAAGAAACACTACTTATGGGGGCATTGAAATCGCATTGCTCTGAGAAAGGGAAAAAATGCAGAAAAATGGGTTTTGCTCAAGTTCTCATCAGGCTTATGTGATTGCATGTTGTGCATAGTTTTTACAAGCTTTGTTATCTGGTTTCTCAGTCGATAGCAGATTGGAAGCAGCAAATTAGAAGAAGGGAGAGATATCATCATAGGCACAAAGATTAAAAATCATGGCAAATGCCAGCAGAGAACAAGAGAGAACAATGTCAATCAATAGGACAATTTAGCGTCAGCCTAAATTGCTTCAAATACAACTGGTCCCGTTATAGAACAATGCAATTAACTGACACTCCCAGTGATGACTGAGTCATACAGGAAAGCTTAAATGTTTTCCTTCATACTATGTAAGATGTCAGAAAATGTAAAATGCATGTGTGAAAGATATTCATTAAAAATGATTAAAATAAGAAATAATTTTAATGTTTTAAAGGGTAAGCCCCCCAAACTGGTCCATTCAAAACAGGCCATTCTTGCAACATTGTAATTGTGGGGAACTGTTAAAATTATAGTGTCTCATCTGCATGTATTCTTTCTTATGTTAGAATGTAAAGAACTTGAGAATAGGAGCTCAAGACATGTTTCTGGCCTCTACCATATCTGAAATAGACTGTTGTTCACAGTGGAAACCACACGACATCATCATCATAATCACTGTGTATTTTCTCAGGCTGCACACTAACAGTACACTAATTACAAGTCTACAGAGTGGTCTGGTTCACCCCACGTGGTATCTGTGTGACCTGTCCACCTTGCAAGACTGAACTACATTTCTCAGAATCCCCTTCACGGTGTTTCTGGGTTGGGTCGACTTTCGTGCCAGATTTGGAGCACAGAAGTGAAGTGGGGCCATTTTGTTTTTGTGCTTAGGCACTTTTTGCTTGTCTGCTGGCTCACCTCGTTGACCTGGGCTAACAGTCAAACCCACAGCTGCTCCACCTTCCCCTGGATACAACTTTGGTTTCTCTATCTCCTCAGCTGGGTGTATGTTTAGCTCTTTGATGAAGAATGTCAGCTTCTCTTGCAGGACTCGTCCCACTTCATGGAAGTTGGAAGCAATGAGAATTGACACAGGTTCTGATTGGTCCCTGAAGGCTCTCATTCATGCCCATGCATCCCAACTTGCCCGTCCTCTGCTCCACCTTATATTCACCTTTCCTTCCCAACTGCCTGCCCTGAACGCTTCAGGAACCAGCATCCGTCACAAAGACAGGAGCTTTGCAGACAGTGTTTAACAAGTACCTATAATTGTATAAGGCCAAATCTCCTAGTTCTGCTTCTCTGATTGAATCCTAACAGATGAACCCCTTTTTATAGGTTAGGAAATTAAGGCTCAGGGAGGGTAAGCAACTTGTTTAAAGCCTAAAAGCAAGTGAAGGGGTAGAGCTGGCCTTAGAACTCAATCTGACTACAACACTTGTGTTCTTAGTTATTAGGCCTTATGGCCTCTCTAATATAAATTTGTTAAATAAACAAATTCAAATATATATAATATCTGACATGGAGCCTCAAAGTCAGGAAGTCATTTTAATTTCTTGAGTGCCTACTTGGTGCCCAGAGACAAGTCCTGGCATTGGGCAAACCAGCAGCTCTAGAATCCATTTTATGAACTATCACCACGGGCTCTTTCAATCCCATCTATGACTCAACAGCCGCCAGTCAAATCTAGCTAGAGCTACAAGCACAGCTTTCTCCTTTGAAAACACTTTTAAAAGCTTCCTCACAGACACACCTGTCTAGTGGAATATGAAGGCAAAGATAAACATGCATACATTAGTGTCAGAAAGGGCTCTAGGGCAGTGATTTTATTTTCTATTCAATGTGTTTCAGTTAGTGAAATACATGACTAGTCATTTCTACTTAAAGTAACAATAGAGAAGATTAATCCAGACATGCCATATCTTCTGAATAGAGGCATGCAATATGCATACACCAATGTTTCTAAACTCTAAAAAACATCATGACATTTACTTTTACTTAGGATTTTTAAATAGAGATATACCTCAGTCATCCTGCTTTGGGAATTTCTAATGTCATGGTAAATGTTTTGACACGGAAGTCAGAAGATCTGGGGTCTAATCCTGGATGTACCATTAATAAATAGCTTTGCAACCCTGGGCAAAGCACTTCATTTCTCTGGGCCTCAGTTGGCATATCTGTAAAAGAAGGCTGTCAACTACCTTCACAGGCTTTCTGACTCTTTGCAACATCTTTCAGTTTGGCTGTTATTAGCATTTGCCATTTAAGCATAGAACAATCAAACATTAACTTAAAGTTTCATAACATGTGTTCCTTGCAGGAAGTATGTAAGAATCAAATAAAAACAATTTCATCATACATAAATCCAATCCCAAAGTAATAAGAATACTGACTCTTCACTTGAGTCTGAATATCCAAAAGTTGCTCCTCTGCCAACTTTACAGAATATTTTTCTGGAAAACTGAATAAGATCTTATCAGTTTCTTTTCTTTTTAATTGCTATTTTTAAAAATTTGCGATGAGATCTTGCTATGTTGTCCGGGCTGGTCTTGAATTCTTGGGTTCAAGTAATCTTCTCACCTCAGCCTCCTGAGTATGTGCACATGCCACAGTGCCCAGCCCCTATTTGAATACTGAGCTTCAAGGAAGGCTCAGGAAGGGCAGGAAATAAAAGGGATGTCAATCTGTAATTTGAAGATGGAATTTCAAGTCTTTTGAGGTGGTCCAACATCTGAAATTATACTAATGGTTTCTTCTTATGAATCTAACAGATGCCAGAACTGTGAGTCTCTGTAAGAAACCATGAAAAATAAAAGGTGTGATTTCTGCCTTTGAGGAGTGTATGGTCATGTGGAATATGTATTAATGAAATAAGATCTCAGTTAGAAGGGTCCCTAAAAGTGGTCTAATTCAGTTGTTCTCAAACTTTTACTTGTATCAGAATCACCTAGACATCTTACTAAAACACAGATATCTGAGCCCTACTTCTGAGTTTCTGATTCAGTAGGTCTGGGAGGAGCTCAAAATTTTTAATTTTTCACAAATTATCACGTAATGTTGATAGTGCCAGTCTTCTGGAGGACATACTGTAGGAACCACTAGTCTTAGAATCTTCTCCTTCTCCTTCCCATGCTCATGAACCTCACATAGAAATTGTAAACATTCCAATACTGCTTATTCATGCTTTTCTAATCTGGCCCTAAACTCTTAGAAGTTTTACTAGAAACCAACCATTGGAATACACAAAATAAAGGATGTTTTTTATTAATGCATTTCCTATAGGGGTTTTATTTTTCATAGGTTTGGGTCCATAAATTTCCTATTAAGTTGAGCCAAAATTGATAAGATTTCTAGATTGCTTCAAACATTGAATTATTATTCCTTTTAGGGATCTGCTTCAGTTAAGATTGAACCACATGTTTTCTACCTTATAAACATTTTGAACCTGATACAGCTCAAGTATTTTCTACCAAGCTTAGTGTGGGAGAGTTTACAGTTCATTCTATGGTTGAATAGCTTTTTCCAAAGTGAACCCCAAACCCACCTCACCGTTGGTGCCCGTTCTCCCACCTGGAGCATCATGGATGAAGTCTTTACCCTATGCTGCTTAGAAGTTTTTTCAATATCCAAAGGCAGCTATCATGTCCTCTCGTAGACACATCAAGCTCTTTCTTGTCTGTTTTTATCACCTCTGGTTATGACTTCACCCCTGTTCCTGAGTTCATAGAGGTTTAGGTGTAGACTCAGACCTAAGGCTAATTTTTCTCTACCAATTCAAAAGTATTTACTCAATATTTCCTACATGACAAGTCCGATGGAAGTTTTAGATAGAGATGAGTAACAGATTCTGCATTAACCTTCATGGGGTTCACAGTCTCAAGGGGAAAACCCGAATATGTTTTATACTGTCTTTCTGAACTTTTATTCCTTTCTTGCTGAACATATTACATTTTTCTATACACTTTGCCATCTAAATAATTCAACTCCTCCAAACATTTTGCATTATTTTATCTAAAAAGATTCTGATCATCTTACATGAACTCATTTATTTTACTCACCATCTACTTATTGTGAGGTATTGAGATTCACTCAGTAGTGAAGCAAACATATATAGTAAGATCCCTGGATGAAGCCTTTAAAAGCTTAGAGTAGGGTAGATGAGGTGAATTACAAAACTGTGTTCGTTTCAAAATATGTCCCAAGCTGGGTGTGGTGGTGTGTGTCTGTAATTCCAGCTACTTGGGAGGCTGAGGGGGAAGGATTGCTTGAACCCAGAAGTTCCAGGCTGCAGTGAGTCCTGATCATGCCACTCTGCTCCAGCCTAGGCAACAGAGCGAGACCCTGACCCTGTCTCCAAAGCAAAACAATACAAAACAAAATATCCTACAAATTTTTTGACATGATTCCCATTAAGAATTAGGGCCAATGTCCCATCCTCTTGAATCATGTGTCACATGTCATAGACCTGTGACAGCTTTGACCACAAGAATACAACAGAAGTTTTGTTCCGCCTTCCAAAGCAATATCATAAAAATCAATGCAACTGCCCTTTGTTCACTAGAACATTCATACTTGAAACTGATTCCATATAAGAAGTCTGACTACCCTGAGGCTTCTGTATTGTGACGGAGTTCAGGCTGTGTGTAGAATACCTGTGCAGGAATTCCAATTGAGGTAGGCCCAGCTGAGGTCCTAGTTGATAGCCAACATCGACTGCCATGCATGTTAGTGAAGATAGTTCCAGATAACTCCAGCCCCCAGCTATTGAGTCTTCCCAGCTGGTCCCAGGTATCTTAGAACAAAGACAAGCCATTCCTGCTGTGGCTGGGGCTGAGCCAGAGAATTTGTGAGCATAGCATAACAGTTGTTTTATGTCACTAAGTTGTGGGTAGTTTGTTATGCAGCAATAGTGCTTTCAGCCTTTCTAGCATTGCTATAAGGAAATGCCTGAAGCTGAGTAATTTATAAAGAAAAGATGTTTAATTGGCTCACATTTCTGCAGGCTGTAGAAGCATGGTGCCACATCTGCCTGGCTTCTGGAGGGGGGAGGGGGTCCTCAGGGAGCTTTTACTCATGGCAAAAGGTGAAGCAGGAGCAGGCATGTCATGTGGTGAAAGCAGGAACAAGGACGAGGGAGTAGAGGTGCAACACATTTAAACAAACAGATCTCGAGATAACTCACTCACTGTCAGGAGAACAGCACCAAGCCATGAAGGATCTGTCCCCATGGCCCAAACACCTCCCACCAGGCCTTACATTCAACATTGGGGATTACAATCCAACATGAGACTATGGTGGGACATCCAAACAGCATCAAATAGTAACCAAAACAGAAACATACAAACATGTCTGTTTTCATTAATCTTTATCCTTATAAGCTAGAATCAGAGTTTTTCCATGTTTTCAAAATCCCTGTCCCCAATCCTTTTCTACTTCTATTTGCTATCTTATAATTATCTCTCTCCCTTTTTCTCTCTCTTTCTTTTTTTGAGAGCAGAATTTTTTTTTCTTTCTTTCTTTTTTTTTATTTTTGATGGAGTTTTGCACTTGTTGCCCAGGCTGGAGTGCAATGGCACAATCTCGGCTCACTGCAACTTCTGCCTCCCAGGTTCAAGCGATTCTCCTGCCTCATCCTCCCAAGTAGCTGGGATTACAGGCATTCCCCACCATGCCCAGTTAATTTTGTATTTTCAGTAGAGATGGAGTTTCACCATGTTGGTCAGGCTGGTCTTGAACTCCTGACTTCAGGTGATCCACCTGCCTCAGCCTCCCAAAGTGCTGGGATTATAGGCATGAGCCACCATGCCCAGCCTCTTTTTTGTATTATTTATTTCAATAGCTTTTGGGGACCAGGTGTTTTTGGTTACATGGATAAGTTCTTTAGTGGTGATTTCTGAGATTTTGATACACTCATCACCTGGGCAGTATATGCTGTACTCAATGTGTAGTCTTTTATCCCTCATCTCCCTCCCACATTCCCCCTGAGTCCCCAAAGTCCATTATATTACTTATCCCTTTGCATCCTCATAGCTTAGCTCCCACTTATAAGTGAGAACAAACAATAGTTGGTTTTCCATTCCTGAGTTACTTCACTTAGAATAATGGTCTCTAACTCCATTCACATTGCTGTAAATGTCATAATTTCATTCCTCGTTATGACTGAGTAGTATTCTATGTGTATATATACCACACTTTCTTTATCCACTCATTGGTAGATGGGCATTTAGGCTGGTTTTATATTTTTGCAGTTGTGTAGTGTGCTGCTATAAACATGCATGTGTAAGTGTCTTTTTCATATAATGACTTCTTTTCCTTTGGGTAAATACCCAGTAGTGGGATTGCTGGATTGAATGGTAGTCTCTGTCTTTCTTGAGCATGTGTGATAACCACCTTATCTACAAATATACCCAGTTTTGCCCAAACTTTGCTCAATCCTGTTGCCTCCTCCAGCTTTTGCCAAACTGGGCAGTAAACATGCTACAGCAACAAAACACAGAGTAAATTACATTATAATTATTACACCTATAAGAATCTTCCCCTGGTAAAAGGATTTCCAACCCCATGGATGACCTGCTTGTTTCAAACAGTATTTGTAAAACAAGCTTTATGGTTCCCTGGAGAAATGACTCTGTCCTGTGTATCAAACAAGTGATCACAAGGTAATTTGAAGACTGTATGATTCTAGCCTGATTTCAAGTATTTTGTCTGGGAAAAGGGAAATGAATTACCCCTTTTCAGGGGGTGGCAATCTGAGTAACAACTTTCTAGTCTGAGTTAAGATGCTTTCAGCTATGCTTTCAGATTAAACCTATATGACAGCCTAACAACCTTTTTCTTTTTCATTCCAAGTGTGCAATGCTTCCCATATTAGTGGATATCAGATGAGAAATCTCATGTTGGAGTAAGATCACCACCAGAATCCTGTTAGCATGTTAGCTAAAACCTGAAGACCCTACAGCTATCACTGACTGGTGAGTGAAGAAACTATGATTAAGAGGAAGGCAGAATTGAGCATCAACATGCACAAAGGGTTATGAAGCCATGGGAACGATTCTCCCATGGGGGAGAAGGTGGTAGAAATACTCACTTCCATCCACATGGTTGGAGTAGTGGTCAGAATGTGGAAGAGGGTCTTCAAGGGCTCTGGAAGAAGACCCAATCAGAGAACTGTGATTCAATGGGAGAGAGGGCAGAACCACAATGAATGAAATCCTTTTTCCCTGACACATACAATGTTAGTGGATACAGACTAACCAGCATCAGTGTCAATGGAAAACAAAAATCACTCCGATGTAGAAAGCTAAGATGACAGAGAAAATAAAACCTAGGCCGAACACGGTGACTCACGCCTGTAATCCCAACACTTTAGGAAGCCAAGGCGGGTGGATCACAAGGTCAGGAGATCGAGACCATCCTAGCCAACATGGTGAAACCCTGTCTCTACTAAAAATACAAAAATTAGCTGGGTGTGGTGGCACGTGCCTGTAGTCCCAGCCACTTGGGAGGCTGAGGCAGGAGAATCGCTTGAACCAGGGAGTCAGAGGTTGCAGTGAGCCAAGACTGCACAACTGCACTCCAGCCTGGTGACAGAGTGAGACTTCATCTCAAAAAAAAAAAAAAAAGGAAAAAGAAGAAAAGAAAAAAGAAAAGAAAACTTGAGAAGAGCTTAAAGGCCAGGTGACAAGAAAAAAAAAAATCAAATCAATGTCTGCAACAGGTTAAAAACTGACAAAATGTATAAGCCCTTGTGGATGTAGAACCTTTGATCCTGATGTCACATAAATCCATGAGATTTATACATATGCATGTACACTACTTTGATCATGGTCATATTTTTACAGGTGAATACATACATCAAATTGTATACTATAAATATGTGCAGGTTTTCACATAGCAATTATACCTCAATACATTGCAAAAAAGAAAGAAAAAAATCCACAGATTGGACAAAAAACCATGCAACTCTCATTTATTGTAGATACTTTCTGCATCTAAAGATATAACTGCACCACGGCCCCCATCGTCTCCTAGCTCCCAAACATACAACTCAATTCTAGAGAAAACCAGAATATAATTAGCACCAGGCTCCATCTCAATCTTCCTTCTAAATCATCAGACAGGATTTCCTTAAAGACAAGACATTCTCCTGTCTCTTCGACATTTGGTTGAAATATTGAAAGTAAAGCATACCTAGCAGAGAGAGCTTGGCATATTCAATTCTACAGTTTTGTCAGGAAAGAGAGACAGGCATCTTGCTATAGACGTAGTGTGATTTATAGCAACAAGAACTTGAAAAAGTGGGTTGTCTTGTTTTTAGAGTTAAAGGCCTCTTCCAATTAACAGTTAGCATGGCTTGTTTTTGAAGAGTTAGAGAAAGGGATGCGGTGGTTGCAAACATTGTGTACCTGTTAGGAGTGGAAGACAATGTGTTTGGAGTTTTCGGCTGTTCCCTGGTTTGCAAGCCAGGAGGGAGGACTGTCACAGACAAAATACACAGTCAGCACAGACAGATGTGCTTAGGAGAATTGCAATTCCAACATTCACTCAAAACTGAGCTCCCACACAGACCACCAAACCAAAGATAAAGGAAGTGTTCAAGTCTCCTCACTCAATTAGTTCATTTATAAACATTTACTAAGCAGTCTGTTAGATGCCAATAACAAAGAAGGGATAACAGAGATGAATAAAACACATCCTTGACAACTTAGAATTCATATGCTAACTAGGAAGACGGAAGAATAAGCAATTAAAACACAACTTACCAGGTGCTGAAATAGAGATATGTATAAGGTACAATAGGAGAAATAACTCTGGCTGGAGAAACCCAAAAGTATTTGGCATGGAAAAGGACCATTGAGCCAGGCATTCAAGGAGTAGAAATTGCAAGGGTGAAAAATATATATTGACATATTCCAGGCATAGGAAAGAGCACTGAGTTAACACATGAAGGGCTATATGTCAGTTCTGGGTTGTATGTGGAGTAACACCTCACAAATGAAAATTTGAACACTAGGAAGTTCTATGTGTCAAGTATAAGACTATTGGTGGCAGTTATGGGAGATGGGGAGTTTCTTCTTCATGTAGAGGGTAGCAGTGCAATGGGGCAATGGGAATGTCATGGTTAACTACCTTGGTAGACCAGGGCATGGCAGCTGCACCAAACAATGGGCTGGAGGCTGCAGCACACACTCCCCCACCCCCCACCACACACACACACACACACACACACACTCCGCAGAACACTATGGCTCATCCAGCTATGGTGGGCCAGGAACACGACAATCTGACAACCAGGATGGATGCCCAGCTCAGTGGCTTTGCCACAGAAAAGACACTACCCATTCATGAAATTGCCTTTCTGCTCCATGACTGTAGATCTCTCTCCAGTCCTCAGACTGCCCTCACACTTAAGACCTCAATGAGATGATCTCAGAAGAACCCACTCATCTATTTTGGGGAACAAGTTCTAGACGCAGATAGAAGCTTTATTGTTCAGATATGAAAAAATAGAAGCAAAGTAAAATGAGATACAAGAGGAGATCCTAAACACAGATGGATAGTATACTATTTCCATAGCAATAGAAGAGCATTCTTTTTTAAGAGATTTACTGCAGGAAGCAGACATAAATTTTAGACATTTGTCTTGTATTGTCAACAGTATTAAAACAAAAGACAATACAGTGAGATCAAAAGGCAGCTGTTAAGAAGGAGTTATAAAAAGGGAACTAGATGAGATAAGCAGAAAACAATATTAAACATGTGAAAAGAGACGTTTTAACGTACAAAAAGAGTTAAGAAAAGAATCGACAGTGCAAAAAAAATTACATCAGCAATATGATCAGCAACTCACTCACAATCAAGAGGAAAAAGAAAAATAAAATAAATTCATGAAAGGGGTGATGCTACAAATAGATAACAGAAAAGAGAGAGCCAAAATGTATATTAATGGTGTATTTGATGGGAGGAATAGAAGAAATTGAGCAGAAGCAAATAAAATTATCCTAAAACTGAACACCTAAACTTGCAGATCAAAAGGCTTCAATAAATGGCTGGGCACAATGGCTCACACCTGTAATCCCAGCACTCTGGGAGTCCGAGGCGGGTGGATCACCTGAGGTCAGGAGTTCGAGACCAGCCTGGCCAACATGGTGAAACCCTGTCTCTACTAAAAATACAAAAATTATCTGGGCATGGTGGCAGGCACCTGTAATCCCAGCTACTCTGGATGCTGAGGCAGGAGAATTGCTTGAACCTGAGAGGCTGAGGTTGCAGTGAGCTGAGATCACACCATTGCATTCCAGCCTGGGCAACAAGAAAAAATAAAAAAAGCCTTCAATAAATATTAGACAGAGTTCCTACTAGATAGAGCTATACTTTGAACTCAGGGTAAAGTATAATAAGATAGATTTAACATGTTACCTACCTTTCTATTTTGTTGTTGTTGTTGTTGTGTTTGTTTTTGTTCTTTGAGATGGAGTTTCGCTCTGTCTCCCAGGCTGGAGTGCAGTGGAGCGATCTCAGCTCACTGCAAACTCTGCCTCCTGGGTCCCCGTTCAAGCAATTCTCCTGCCTCAGCCTCCCTAGTAGCTGGGATTACAGGCGCGCATCACCATGCCCAGCTAATTTTTGTATTTTTAGTAGAGATGGGGTTTCACCATGTTGGCCAGGCTGATCTTGAACACCTGAACTTGTGATCTGCCTGCCTTGGCCTCCCAAAGTGCTGGAATTACAGATGTGAGCCACTGCGTCTGGCCCTACCTTTCTATTTTATAAAAATAGATTAACTTCCAGATTATCCTCTATAATGTTAAATGGCAAAAGTCATCAACAAAGTTTATGAAGGAAAGAGGATGAGATCAAAATATTCCATATATACCTATTTTAGTTAAAATGCTTCTCATTGCAAGAGACAGAAGCCCTGGGGAAGAGGAGCAAAGTAGTCTGATGGCAATCACGCCACTATCCCGTAGAATGCGAAAGAAGTTCCCCCAAAGAACTAGGGGAAAAGGAGATGAGAAATCATGCCAAAAGAACACAGCCACAGCTACCACATTCCACTCTCTTCAGTCTTATGATCTGACACTCAAGCGCCCTTCTTTCTTTTTATTCATTCCCACAAATTGTTCTCAGCCAACATGATGCTATAATCTGGGACATAATCAAAACACTCACATAGCTTTTCCTCAAAGGAAGACAGCCCAGCATTTCATCTGGCCACTGCATCCACCTGCAAATCCATCTGGAAGGTGCGCATCCCTCTCATTCAAGGTCATGTGTGGGTCCCCAGCCTGGTGCAACTTGAGACACATGGGTAGATTTAGCCACATTTGACAAGCCCGCTGTTACAGTGATAGTGAGAAAATAGGATTAACACACTAGTAACTCTGATTTAGAAAAGGGAAGGAGAGGAATTGACTTCAGTGGCCAAAGGGTCATAACTGCTCCTGCAGGGGAGAAACAGAAGGGTTTCCTGCCTGGTGGTGAGAGAAGTCCTCAATCGGTCCATTGGGCTGCCTGTTTTCTGCTCTCTTGGCTATCATGGCCCATTTCTGAGAGGGGTGCAAAGGAGAAAGGGTAACAATACCTGCTTAGCAGTGCATTTCTATAGGCCAGGTGACACAGACCTCAGATCTTAGAAGAGATCAATAAGCATGGCCCCTGTTGGCCAGGCTTTGAGTTTCTCTCCTTGTACAGTCTCCTTAAAACTGAGTTAACAGTTGATCAATTTGAGTTCTCAACACTCTGGATAACCATCCCTCATCTCCATGAGTGCCAGGATCTCTGCATCTGAGTTCTACTGGGATGCTGTTTCTGGCTTTTAGCAACAGGCCAGAATCCTCCTCCCATCAAGGCCTAGAACCAAACCTTATAGCTTCACTTGCGGCTGCTGCCTCTGCCCATCACCAAGTGCTCAGGCAGAATTATTGTCCTTTTTGTCCCCATGTGGAGGGAAGGTTTTGACTCTGATAAAAAACAGGCCAGACGTGGTGGCTCATGCCTGAAATCCCAGAACTTTAGGAGGCCAGTGGACAGATCTCTTGAGCTCAGGAGTTCAAGACCAGCCTGGGCAACATAACAGAACCCTGTCTCTATATTAAAAAAAAAAATACAAAATTTATCTATGCATGGTAGTGTGCACCTATAGTTCCAGCTACTTGGAAGGCTGAGGTGGGACAATCAATTGTGCCCTGGAGGTAAAGACTGCAGGGAGCTGTGATCACACCACCGTACTCCAGCCTGGGTGACAGAGCAAGACTCCATATCTACTTTTTTTAAAAAAGGATAGACAGCAGAAGTCATTTAGGAGGGACTTGGTATACCTTCAAGGGTTGTAATCTTACTTCTCAATGAGTTTCTGTGGTAGACAGCTTCTAAGATCACCTCCAGTGAGCATTACCTCCTGATATTCACACCAGCCTATTGAGCATGGCCTGGACTTATTGACAGGTTTCTAAGACATTGGGTTATAAAAAGACTATGGCTTCTGTCTTGGGCACCTCCTCTTTTGCTCTCTCCTCAATCATTCACCCTGGAGAAGCCAGCTATCATGTTATGGGGCAATCAAGTAAACAGGCCTACATAGCAAGGGATCCAGTCTGCCAGTCACATGAGACAGCTTAGAAGCAAGTACTCCTGCTACCCCAAGGAGAGTCTTCAGATGAGAGCATAGCTCCAGCTAACACCCTGAGTGTAGCTTTGTGAGAGGGGACTGTGAGCCAGGGTCACTTATCTATGCTTTGCTGGAATTCCTACCCTACAGATACTGGACAGGAATCAATGTTTGTTGTCTTAAGCCACTACATTTCGGGGTAATTTGCTATGCAATAACGGATAAGTAATGCAATTTCTCACTCTCTCTCTCCTTCCTTGCATTAACTGGAATTTCATACAAAGAATTTGTCAGGCTGTGTGATGATATGACTGGATACTGTCTTAGCTGATTGCACACACCACAGTTGCATGATATTCTTTTTCTGCCTTCAGACAGGTAGCTGAAACTAAAATTTAGTAATTTATTCAGAATATTTATTAGTTTCCAAAAAAAGAAAGAAAAAGACCACCTACTTCAACATTCTGACATCTTTGTTTTTTGTCGTTTTGTTGTTGTTGTTGTTATTTGTTTTTTTGAAGATCTTGTTGCTTACCAACATTCTGACATTTTTCTAAAGCTGCAGTTTCAATATGCACCTTGGACAAAGTCCTAAGATGGAAAGAGCTTCAACTCTATAGGTAACAGCTTAACCAGTTGCTTCACTGTTGCATAATAAACATTTCCAAATTCCCAACCAGAATTGGTAACATTCTCACCACCTTGGAAACCACCTTAACTTAGCCCATTAGGTTTTTAACACACTTAGGTCAGCCTAAAGAGAAAAAAGTGGCATGGGTTTATCAACTAAGGTAACTGGAAAACTCCGGGATAAATCTGTAGGTAGTTAAATTCAGAGGCTCAAATGATGACATCAGCCATCAGACCTTTCCGTCCACCTCTCACTTTGGCTCTGCTTGGCGTTAGCAGACAGTATCCCAATATAACAGGCATGATGTTCCCTGGCTGCTCCTCCTAACACACTTCTTAGTATAACCTCAGGGAAAATGGAACTTCTCCAATAACATGCTAGCAATCCCTGTGGTTAAGGATGGGGTTCTC
Organism: Homo sapiens; assembly: GCF_000001405.40. Taxonomy (NCBI): domain Eukaryota; kingdom Metazoa; phylum Chordata; class Mammalia; order Primates; family Hominidae; genus Homo; species Homo sapiens. Next base: position 11,015,168 of record NC_000017.11, on the reverse strand, counting down.
AAGAAAAAAGAAGATACATTTTTATAAAAGCCCTTGACAAAATGAGGCAGAAAGTCTGGTGGGAAAACAGAAACTGTAACACTCCACTTCACTCTTGCTACTCAAACTGTGGTCCCCCGACCAGCAGTATCAGCATCAACTAGAAGCATGTCAGAAATGTGAATGTAGCATCTCAACCTGTACCCAGATCTTCTCAATTAGTCTGCACTTAACAAGTTCCCTAAGTGATTCACACTACAGTTCGGGGTGCTGCATTTATACCACCAAAGTGGCCATCTGAGTAAGAATGCAATGGGAAACTGCTTATAGGCCAGAAGGTAAAAAGTTTAACACCATCTCTCCTCTCTGAAAGAAGAAATTCAAAGGTGTCCAGCCATTTGGGATATAAATAAAGAATCCAAGAATGAGGATGCTGAGATTCAAAAGGACAAACTGAGCTTTTAAACCATTTAAAAATAGAATTATGACCAACAGGATGTCTGTTAAGCTACAGATTTGCTCTCTGAGCCTCAATTTCCTCACCTATAAAAGGAAAGAGATGTTCCATCAGAAATAGTCAGAGCTGGATGCACATTAGAATCATCTGGGTAGTCTTACAAATACCAATGCCGGGCCCCATTCAAACAATTAAACCAGAATCTCCAATGATGAGGAAGACCTGGGATACCACAGTTTTCTAAACTCCTCAGTGGTTTTAATAAGAGTCCCTGTTTTCATTAAGGTCACACCAGAGTGATGTCCCAGAAAAGGCTAAGAACTAGCTCTAGTGTTGTTTTTATTAAAGCATTCTAGATTCTACCATCTCTATGTTGTAGCTTGTTTTCATGACTGGGCAGTGGGCAGATTCTCTTACCCTTTATAATGCTGAATGTTCTTTAAGGAGCTTATATCATACTAAGGGCAAGGGCTTTTGTTCTCAGGTTCTACATGGGTTTCTGTGTGCAACCTTGGGGAGAGAAGCTGAGATCTTTCTCCAATCTGAGCATTGAGTGGCATCAAGATTGCAAAGGAACAAGGAAAGTGATATGTATAAAAAAGGGAGAATTTGGAGAGCTCTGGAGGTGGGGAGAATGGAGAGGCAATCCAGGAAGGAATAGAAGGAAGAGCAGAGATGGGGAAAGGTGAAGATAGTAAGGCTGTCTTCCAGGTGACTCCTCCCCATGAGTGCCACATTTTAAGGAAATATACAACATGGTTGGTGGGAGTGTATTTCTTGTGGAGATCTAAAGAGGGGCTGAAGTTAATGACGTTCAGGGGCAGCAGATAGAGCAAACAGGGGTAGCATCTGTAGATGAAGTTATCGGACTCTGAGAGGAGCCTAGGCTAAGACCTGCAGAAGTACGTTGGGAACAGAGCAAAACTCACTGCTGTCAGGCTATTGCACCCAGTTCTCCAAGGGCAATGGATTCCCCCTTGTTTCTTCTCTGAATGAACTCATCTTGGCTATACTCAGCCTCCTTCACACTGTCATTCCTTCTTTAATGTGGCAGCTGTGGAGATGCAGCTGGGGACACAGTGGAATGAAAAAACAGACAGGTCATGGGACTTTCTGTCCAGTGGTAAAGACAGATATCAACCAAACCATCGCAGTATGAAGCTCATCATTCCAAACTGAGGTAAATGCTGTGAGGTGAAGGAATGTGGCTTTGAGAGAGCAGATAACAAAGGCATCCATGATCCACAGGGTGGTCCGAGAAGGTTTTCATGAGAGAATGATGTTTCAGTTTAGATCAGAAGGAAGGTGTGAGCAGGGGTCATGCTGTGGAGTTCGGTCTTTATCATAAGATCAATGGGAAACATTGAAGGGTTCTATGCAGAGGGTGAAAAGATTGTACTGCAGCATGGAAAGCAGATCGGAGGGTTCAGAGTAGAGGTGGGGAAACCAATTAGGAGTCTCTATCAGTGGAGTCCAGCCAAGGCTAATGGTGGCTTGGATCCTAGCAGTAGCAGTGGAGATGGAAAGACATGATTAAGTTTGAGAGATACTTGGGAGGTAAAACTGCCAAGACTTGGTGCTAAGTCCAACATGGGGAGTGAGTGAGAAACAGTTTTCCTGGCTAGCACCACCAGATGGATGGTAGTGCAGTTCAGAGGCAAGGCCGGCATGAACCTCATCACAGACGATTTACCTCTCCTATTACACTATTTACAGGAGAGTCAGCTGGAGTCAGATTAAGAGAGGGAAACCTCCTGAGGCACAATTCTTCCCTTCTCTGTGCATTCTATCTTGGAAATAGATACCCACCGAGCTATATCTCCCAATGTCAGTCATTAATTAAAAATAAGAACTGGGAATATGTTTTCTGAGGGATTTTCTTGGAGCCTCAGAACTTCTAGCTAATCAAAGAGAGACCTTTATTCTGCTCAGCCGTAACTTAATCCAGGCTGTGATGGTTTACAAGGCCAGGACTTCACCTTCTGGAAAGGTACAAATACTTGCTTACATGGTAAAGCCTTCTAGCCCTTGGCTGCATCATCCTCTACCTTCTGAAAGATGCACATCAGGAAAATAGAAGCCAACACCCAACTCTTTGTGTCTCTGTGAAGGGTGTTAAGGTCCTCCTCAGTCAAGCCACCAGAAAGAGCAGAATTGCGCTGGCTCTGCTCCCTATTGGTACTGTTGCTGACCCTCTCAGGCCTCTCCCCTCTTGGGAATGCAGAAAAGGAGATCTGTGGCATGAGTTAAGGGAAAGGGCACCCTGGTATGTAGTTGTATGCTTGGTTCTGTTTCCAACAGTTTGCATCCCTCTAGGCAGACCACCTCATTTCTTTAAGGACTAATTTCCCTAGCTACAAAACAAAGACCATGTTTTGTGCCTTATAGTTTTGCTGTAAGGTGCACAAGGGTTGACATCATTTATCATGCCCTCCTTGAAGTGTTTTCCTCACTTGGATTCCAGGAGCCATTACTCTGCTGATTTTCCTCCTATATGACAGGCTGCTGCTTCTAAATCTTCTTTGCTGATTTCCACCTTCCTTCTTAACCTTTAAAATTTGAAGTTCCCTATGGCTAATAAGTCCTTGCACTGCTTTTCTTCTCCCTCTTCACTTCCTGGTGATCTCACCTGGTCCTGTGACTTTAAACATTATTTCTACCCCAAGTCCATATCTACAGCTCCATTAATTATTCAGTTGCTTTCTCCCATATCTCCATTTATCTATTAAGCCTAATACGTTTTAACCTGAACCCGTAATTCTTTGCCACACGTTATTTCTCCACCGTTTTTCCTACCTCCTTGATAGAAGTTGTTCATCCAGTTTTACTGAGGCCAGAAACCTAAGGGTGGTCCATGGGCCTCTCTTTCTTCGTCCCCTAAGTGCAGCCTGTGAGCAGTTACTATCAGCTCTACCCTCATGGTACGTCTTGAATTCATTGCTTCCCCTGATCTCCAGGTTTCCATCCTATCCAATGGACTGCTATCTTTCTTGGACTTCTGCAATGGCCTCCTAAATGAACTCTCTTTTTCCATTGCCATATGCTCTCAATTCTTCCCCCAGAAGTCTGATGAAGTCTCACTCTGTCATCGTGCAGTGGCACAATCTTGGCTCACTGCAACCTCTGTCTCCTGGGTTCAAGCGATTCTCCTGCCTCACCCTCCCAAGTAGCTGGGACTATAGGTGCATGCCACCACGCCCAGCTAATTTTTGTATTTTTAGTAGAGACGAGGTTTCACCATGTTGGCCAGGATGGTCTCAATCTCTTGACCTCACGATCCGCCTGCCTTGGCCTCCCAAAGTGCTGGAGTTACAGGTGTAAGCCACCGCGCCCGGCCAGAGTTGTCTTTCTAAACCATGAACCAGATGATGTCACCACCTACTTGTCACTCTACAGTGCATTTTATCCCACTTAGACCAACTCCAAGGTCTGCTTATGACCTAGAAGGCCCCCACCCACTTCTCTGGCCCCACTCTTGCCCCTCTCACCCCACTCATCAAGCTCAGCCACACTGGCCTCCTTGCTGTTCCTTGAATGTACCAAGTGCCTTCCTGCCTTTGGGCTTTCCTGCATGGTGTCTCCTCCTCCTGTAGGGCATGGCTGCCTCCATTGCCTCATTCAGTTCTCTTCTTTAACATCACTTCCTCAAAGAGGTCTCCTTAACCCTTTTTTAAAACACTTGGCCCCCATCACCTTTTATCAACCTACTCTGTTTTATTGATCTTCAGAGCATGTATCACTTTCTGAGATAATGATTCTTAATTACTTAAATCTTTGTTAGTCTCCCCTATAAAAATATAAGATCACATGGGCAGGGATTATGCCTATCTCATTCGCTGCTGTCTCCAGTTCTCCAGTACCCAGAACAGTGTCTAGCACATAGTAGGTGTTCAATAAATATTTCTGAATGGTTATATGAATGAGTGAATGAGAAAATGAATGAATGAGTGCCTAGTTTTATTTTAAGGAGGTTAATTAAGGAAGAAAACACCTGTAGAACTCAAAGAGCGTACAAAGGAAAACACTGGCTATCTGAAAATGTTACGTAAGTTTTGGAGCAAGTTGAAAAATATTAGAGGTGTTAACTAAAAAATCGTGAGTGTTCACAAATTTGGAAAGGAGAGCTTTATTTCTTATCAAGTGTTATAGCCTGCAAGATGGCCATTTTGAGAAGCTGGGAAGCATAGTCTCCAGTCAAAGCCCAGAGGCAGGCAAATTTCAAGGGAGGGAGGGAAGGGTTTGACAGGAATTTTAAGCGGAACAGGTTGGCCAAACATACATATTCAATAGGTTATAGGAGGAGCTATGTTCATGAAGGGGTCCTGATGCATGTATGTTGAACAAAAAAATGCATGTTACATACAACCCATGGCCACCTTGGAGTAGAGATTTAACATTTTGATGAATTACAATTAGACCCTATATGTCAAAAGGTCTTTTCAGGACACAAAGGCACTCAAATGTGCAACCTCTGTAAACTAGCCAGAGCCCAGTCCATGGTCGGTGGTCTTCTTAGCTGGAGAAAGTTACTGAAATCAGTCTCTTGTCCAATCAAAGCTATAGTCATGGCTGATAGAACAGGGGGTCAGTTAGTCAGCATCTGTGAGCTGGATGTGTTGTCATTGTTTTAATATTGCTTACCTTGAGGCCAGTGCTTGTTTAGCTGCTAGAGAAAAAGAAAATCCCCTGGGAAGTTAGAACACAGTTTATTCTTTGAGTGTAAGGTACATGACTTAACCCTTGCCTGGCATGGCCTTAGGTTTTTTTGTTTGTTTGTTTTTGTTTGTTTGTTTGTTTGTTTTGAGACGGAGTCTTACTCTGTCACCCAGGCTGGAGTGCAGTGGGTCAATCTTGGCTCATCGCAAGCTCCGCCTCCCGGGTTCATGCCATTCTCCTGCCTCAGCCTCTCAAGAAGCTGGGACTACAGGCGCCCGCCACCACGCCTGGCTAATTTTTTGTATTTTTAGTGGAGACGGGGTTTCACCGTGTTAGCCAGGATGGTCTCGATCTCCTGACCTCGTGATCCGCCCGCCTCGGCCTCCCAAAGTGCTGGGATTACAGGCGTGAGCCACCGCGCCCGGCCGGCCTTAGGTCTTGTTTGTAGTTTGGTATCTTATTGCCACAAAGAGTCCATTCTCTCAGTCCTGTGATCTCTATTTTAACATTAGTGCTGGTCATTTGTTATGTCTAAAGTGCAAAAGAGAAGATATATAACAAGGTGTGTCTCACCTCCTGTCTTTTCATGGCCACAAACTCAGTTTTTAAGGTTTCCCTAGGGTCCCATTGGCCAAGAGGGGATTTGTCCAGTCAGTTGGAGGGCTTAGAATTTTATTTTTAGTTTACTGGGGGAGAGCAGACTGGGAAGAAAAAAAAAGCAACTGCAATTTCCAAAAATAAAAATAAGGATTTCCAGTGCTTTGTTGAAAGAAAAGAGAGTAAAACAAGAACAAAGAATAAGGATACTGGGCTTAAATACTTCCTGAGATTGCAGAAGTCCTAAAGTGAGAATGTATATAACACAATCAGAAGAAAGGCCTCCTAAAAGGGTAAAATGCATTATGGAAACGCAGAGGGAGAAAGATGAGATGGAAAAGAATAAAAATATGTGTCTTTTTTATTTACAAAAAGCCATGCTGTCCTTAACTGAATGTTTCTGTAAGTGGTTTTGGTTTTCCTGGTGGTGATAAAGGAACTGCAGATACTATACTTACATTATGGAAATTCATTTTTCAATTCTTGAAAGGCCTGTGAGAGGTGAATGCAGTAATAACCGTGAAAGTAGAAAGAGTTCTAGAATGAAAGGTATTGTTGTGAAAGGGATATAAAGCATCACTGCTAGGATGTAAGGGTAGATTTGGTGGAACCTGCTCAGAATTTCAGTTGGCCCAGAGTCCAGAGCTGGGAGCAAACCCAGAACTCCAGGTAAGTGAGGTGGCCAGTAATGACTTGCTGATGTCACAACCAGTGGGAAGTGTGACAAGGAAAGGAGAGAGATGTACCCCCTGGAGAACCCCTAGCCCTCCAGGATGCTCAGAGCTAATCTGACTTAAAGTAGGAATTTTTTTTCCTTGCTATCTCACTTATCCAAAAAGCCACCACTTTGTCAGTATTGATTGTGAACCACGCAAGTGAGCAGATGCAGACAGGTGGAAGCAGGGCTGTGACCCAGAAAGCACCTACACAGGGATTCGCTGTTCCTGAACAACCAGCAGATGACACTATGCCCCCCTCCCCAATATTAAAAGCAATAAAAGCTCCTGCCAGAAAAATGGTTTCTACCCTTGACCTGCATTGTGCCCTCCTAGAGATAGGAGAAAGCTATACTTCCTGCCTTCTCCAAGTTTTGGCATTGAACTCTGAACTGCACAGCCAGCAGCCTTCTGGAAATGAAGCTGGAGAGCTCAACAGCAGTGGTGAAGATGCTTTGAAGAGGGTCTCTTTGAGGCCTGGGATTCTGCAATGCAGAAGTCAGTGATCCATTCCCCTTGTCCATCCTGTGCATCTATAGAGCAGTCTGAATACAGAGCTACATCAGAAACACCAGTCCTGATACCCCTCCCTGCTGGGAGAGAGAAGGAGGTACTCTTTGACTCCAACAAGTGGCCGCTAGGACATGCCCTACCTGGGGCTAGGTTGGGACAAGGAGAGAAGGCCCAGCCTTTCCTCCGCTTGTGTTTTGGAAGCAGTGCCAGGGATAGCCTCTCTCACCCATACATTGGGTGATGCCCTGCTTTCTCTGTCCCCTCCTAAATCCCTAGAACACACACCTACTTCCCTACTGCAGCTCCTGTGGGCTCAGCCTCCCAACTTCAGCACAGGCTGGGACTCAGAGACTAAAGTTGCTTCCTGGAGGAACATGAGGTAACCTCGTGTCCTCATTCAAACTCTCTAGGCCAATGCTACAGGCAAAGCTCCACCATATGTCACTTTCCCAAGCCTGACACCTTTTCTAGACAAGTTTCCAGGATGAGCAAATGAAACAGGCAGTTACACCTCCACTTGAGTCCTGAGACATTTCCAACTTACTCTGTGCTTTCTTCCCTGAGATCAGAAGTTTCCTCAGGTCTGCTCTGCTTGGAAAAAGAACATCAGTGGGCCCAGGAAGATGCCTCATTTTTCTGTGTGCTAGGACTCTTCTGGAGATATAACCGGAAATCTCTCCAGTGTTGCAGAAGCAGCCATGCTTAACCAGAAGGGCAACTTTTAATTCTGCAGCATGGTTTATATGGTTATTTTAGATGCTTAGGGCAGGTGAGAGGTTCAGTTGGTATTTTTGCCTTTCTTTTAGACGTCTGATTACTCTGGAGCCTGTATCAGTCAGAATAGGTTAGGTCTATGCTGCATTAACAAATGACTCTCCAAATGTCAATAAATTCAACAATAAAAGTGGATTTTTTGCACATGCTATGTGTCCACTGAAGATGGCAGAGGGCTCAGTTCATTGGAGTCACTCAGGGACTCAGGCTGATGATGAAGCCACCATGTTTAACCTTCTGGGTCGCCATATCAAAAGGAAAGACATGTCAAGAGGGTCTTGGATCAACAAGTAAATGCTCCAGTCTGAAAAGCAAACCATGTCACTTATGTTCACAGCACATTGATCAAAACTAATCATTTAGATGCATTCAATCACAGAGGAGTCAGGAAGTATAGCCAGGAGCCAGGGTGCAGCCACCCTGCACCAGATGTGGAGAGAATTGCAAATGTTTGGCAAACAGCACCAATGATAACCACAAAGTTTCTGGGGTTAGGATGCCAGCTTATGGGCGCCCAGCCCTTCAGGAAAAACAAACAAACGAACAAAAACAAAACAAAAAACAGTATGCTTTGCTTCAGGCTCAGAAGCAGGCTCTCATCCCTTCCTATTAAATTTGAACCCAGGGGAGCCCTATGATGATTCCAATGGGAGGATCAAGAGAGCACGTGGTGGCCAAAAGGTCCTCTGCAAGACAGAGTTTGTTACCCTCTGTGGACATTTATTGAGCAGCAACATTTACCACGACGGATGGCTCCCGGAAGCATGACATTTCAGTTTATTGATTCGCTAGTGTGCTAGACAGGACCCAGGACATGCTCAGAGCTGGGCACATGGCCAGATGGCCAGCTGCAGTGCAGAAAGTGGGGTTGACAGATGCCCCTGAACCCAGCCCACTAAGGGCACAGCATCCTCCTCCTTCCTGCAGGACACATGTGAAGCCTTAAAGTTCAGTTCTCCCCCGATTAAAGACCAGGCTGCCTCTGCCCACAGGGATGAGACTTGTGTCCAGCTCTTCTCTTGTTTCTCTTCAAATTCGCACTGAGGGTTTCTTGTCTTGCTCACTTTTCAGTTGTGTGATGAATGTCAGTGGCAATAGGTACAAAGCCTCCTATCTGTCCCTCCCCAGTACATTTTGCCAGGATCCAGAATCATGTGTCAATTCCGATAGCCGTCCGTGTTCCCAACTCTCTTAGATCCCTCAATAACCTCCTGGGGACCAAAAGCATAATTCTAGCAAAAGCTCTGTACGGAATTCTCTCTTCTTTCTGAGCCAATGTCAAGGAGTGAGGGAAACAAAAGTACAGTGGAGTGTGGCATGCTGATGTCGTGCTGACGTCATGCTGACTTTCAGAGGGAAAACCAGGAGCTCTGGAGAACCCAGGCTGCAGTAGGGAGGGCTGTTTGCGATCTCGCATGGGTCAGGAATGTGAGTTCCCCAGGAAGGGAGCTGCCATTGGGCAAAGTAACACAAGGACTCAAAGGGGGTCTTGAGGGGCCTCATACAGGAAGAAGCTGGCATCACAGATTGGACCCCTGGAAACCATGCCAAAGCTAGCCTGGCCACCTTGTTGTGGGGCATTTGAGAAAAGGGGTAGCAGTGTGCCATTCCCAAGATCACACAGCCAGTTATCAGGAATCCTGGCCAGCACCCCTGGTGCTGCATGCCAGATAGGAGTGGCAATGTTTACAGACTCCAGACAGCCAAGACACAGCTGAGCCATCTCTGGACCTGTCATCAGAGAAGTGCCTGAGACGGAAGCCACTGAAAGGTCATCGCCCAACTTCTTGAGGATTCTGAAGGCTACAAGTGCCCCAGGGCCATGGAGGAACAGAAGCAAAATGTTGGGTTATTCCTTTCGTAAGATTCATCCTACCTTGATTTATCATTCAGGCTTTGCAGGGAGCTTCAATTAAGTCTTTACTTTTTTACTACTTGCATATGGTTGACAATAAATAGTAAGTCATCTTTTTTTTTTTTTTTTTAAGAGAGATGGAGTCTCACTCTGTTGCCCAGGCTGGAGTGCAGTGGTGCCATCCTAGCTCACTGAAGCCTTGAACTCCTGATTTCTGGGCTCAAGCAATCCTCCTGCCTTGGCCTCCCAAAGTCCAGGGATTACAGGCATTGGCCACCATACCTGGTCATTAAGTCATCATTTTTTTTACCTTGATAATGTTTTGTCAAACATTATATTTGTAAGGAGTCTTTGAGTTGTGACACAAATTTCATTAAGAAGGAAAAAAGTGAATTATTAGCCAAATAAACTAATAGTCAAGGATGTACCTTGATTCAGGTATCAACTCAACTGTTGGCATCAGGAACCTCTCTTTCTCCCTCTCTCCTCTGCTTTCCTTTGTTTTTCCTTCATTCTCATGAAGCTGACTCTTCTCATGAAGGGGAAACATAGCTGGTGACAGGACCAGATACTCATGTTTACAACCCAGCACCACCCACAGAAAGATGGCAGCTCAGAAAATGTCCCAAGATTGACCCTCAGTGGCCCAGCCTAGGTCGTTTTTCCATCCCAAGCCAACAACTGTGGCCAGATAATGCAGTGCAGTTGACCAGCTGCCCATAACTAGAACTGGGTGGTGGTGGCTCATCCTTCCTCAAATGGCAAGGATTTTCCTAGTCCTGGCAGGGGACTGGTTGCTAAAGAAAATAAGGATGCCACTCTTGGAGGCAGAATTCATGGGGAAGTAGGCAGAAGAGACAAGTGCTCACTGCAAACCCCTGCTAATCTTCCTTGTGTCTCGTTTTTAAATGCTGTGCTGCATCTTGCTCCCTCCCTAAGCAGCCATCAGTTACTGCTATTAAAGGGCTGTTTAGTTTAATTCAGTAAGTTTATTACTGGGTCTGAAGAGGTTGAACCCAAACAAAACACTGGCTGTCCCCTCCTGAGTTCCTCTTCTGTGCTCTTTGCTGCTCAAAAAACAAGCCAAAAGAAAAAGTGAGCTTCCCTATAGGGTTAAATTTCTGTTCCCTAGGAGCTGAATTCTAGTGATTTTAGGAGAACATGAAGACCCCATAAACTATAGGACAGACTCAACTGAGGTTTTTAAAGCCTTCCAGTTTTTGGTAAAATACAGTTACTTTGTCCAAATTGTCTTCATTCAAATTAAGTCTCTGCTTACCCAGTTGTTTACAGAAACCCTCACAAATGAGATTAACGTTAAAAAACAAAGAAGAAAAGACAACAAGATAATTAAGTCTGATTGCTCCAGAGCAGGTTGGTGACAGCCCTAGAAAAGTGCCAAAGCTAATTGACTGAAGATATTTCCCATACAGTTAATTGCAAATGGTCATTGAAAGCCCTTGAAATTAACTCAGGTTCCCTCATCTGAAGTGTGGAGAAGGGATTTAGAAGTGTGAAGGAGGCTGGGGCTTTAAACAGGAACCCACCAGGGACATCGGCTCTTCCTGTCCCAGACGAGATGAGACTTGGCAGACTAACGTTGTCAAATCTCATCACTTCTCTGGGCCTCAGTCTTCTGCTCTGTAAAATGGCCATGGTGGGTAGGGGTGGGGTGGTCATGTCAGAGCAGGATGACCTGACCGTCTGTGATCTCGAGCTTTCACCATGTGCAAGGCCTCTGCTGGGACTGACAGGGACAAAAAAAAAAGGCTCATTCTTCAAGTCACTTTTCAAACCTGTAATGGGTGACTTAAAAAAAAAAAGTCATAGTGAAAGGTAGAGAGCCACTGGCCACAGGATAGGTCTGAGGGAAGATGCATTACTGGTCAGGAAGAACAGGAGAAGCAAGGAAGATCTGGGAAGGTTTACAAGTGGGAAGTCTTGAAGAGTAAGATTTAGGTGCATGGGGGTGTGGGGACCAGTCCAAGCTGAGCCACATGTGGGTGGTGTGTGTGGGAGCCTCCCACGCTGGTAAGGCCAGAGTATCCGTGCACTGAGAGACGTCCTACTCTTGCTGCCAAAGAACAGTCACTATCCCTGTCTACCAGCAGGACTCCCATGGGGCCAGGGATCCTGCAGGAATTGGGACCCCCTGGCTCAGGAGGCAGACACGTTCTTCAAGGCACAAAGCAGCTTAGTGACCAGGTCTTCCTGCTGCCCCTTCCATGGAGTGTTTTCTGATCTCCACCCTAGTGCTTGGCTGTTAACTCAGCTCTCCTCTGCCTCAGGACAGCTGATTGCCCTTCACCCTCACAATGTCAGCATCCCCATGGCTGCTTCTGCCTTGTGATAGATGTGCATTGTCCCCTCTCTCTGCATTTTTTATTTTACTTTAGCACCTGTTAACCTAAAAAAAAACATGTATACATTTGGAAAAGAGAGGGGAGACTATTTCTTGTAAGGGGTTACATCCTGCGAGGTGGCCATCCAGTAGGCTGGGAAATACAGCCTCCAGCCAAGACCAGAGACAAGCATTTCAAAGGATGAGGGGTTAGGGCAGGAGCTTTATGCTGACCGGGTTGCCTGAACATACATATTCAACAGGTTATAGGAGAGGCTATGAATATTCATAAAAGTGGTCCCCACACATGCATATTGAACAAGCATGCATGTAACATACGACCCATGTTCACCTTAGGGTGAAGACTTAATATTTCAATATATGACAGTTAGGCATAGTATGTCATAAGGTCTTTTCAGGACATGAAGGCACTCAACTGCACAGCCTCTGTAAACCGGCCAGAACCCGTCCATGGTTGGTGGTCTTCTTATCTGGAGAAAGTTCCTGAAATCAGTCTCTTGTCCAACCGAAGCAGTAGTCATGGCTGGTGGAACAGGGGCTCAGTCAGTGCCTGTGGGGCTGGATGAATTGTCATTGTTTTCATATTATTTAACTTGAGGCCAGTGCTTGTTCAGCTGCTAGAGAAAAATAAAACCCTTGTGGCAGTTAGAACATAGTTTATTATTTAGGTGTAGCCTGCATGACTTAACCCTTGCATGGCATGGCCTTAGGTACTGTTTATAATTTGATATTCTATTGTCAGTCTGATGATCCCTACTTTAACATGAATGCTGATGAGTTGTTGTGTCTAAACCACAAAAGGGTGGGGTATAAGGAGACATGTTTTGCCTCCCATTCCATCATGGCTGGGAACCCAGTTCTTAAGTTTGCTGTGGGGTCTCCTTGGCCAAGAGGGGATCTGTCCAGTCGGTTGAGGGGGCTTAGGAATTTTTTAGCTTATACTCTCTGCAGCAATGAACAATTGCCTACCCACATAACTAGTTAAGATCCTCATAAAGGTGAACCTGATTAGCTGTGAGGAGAGACACACGTCACTGACCAGACCTTCGATCATGTGTCCAGTACAAGTCAAATTAGACACATGTGGCACAGAACAAGGACACCTGTCAGTAACTTTCTGCAGCCGTTTCCCTCAGCAAGCAGCCGTAGGCAAGGACTTCTCAGGGGGTTTTATGGTGTCAGGTTGATTGGCGTCGCTAATGTGAAAAAGATATAGAGACAAAAGTAAATATTGTGTGTGGGCCCCACGGTCTCTCTCACAACTACTCAACTCTGCAATTGTGGCACAAAAGCAGCCACAGACAACACATAAATGAATGCACGTGGCTGTGTTCCAATAAAGCTTTGTTTATGGATACTGAAATTTGAATTTCACATAATTTGGATGTGTCACAAAATACCCTTTTTTTCCCAAACATTTAAAGATGTGAAAACCATTCTCAGTTTGTGGGCCACATATAAACAGGCAGCAGGCCAGATTGGCCCACGGGATGTAGTTTGCCAACTCTTAGTTTATGTCAGTTGTTTTCAAAGCATGGTCCCTGGAGAAGCAGCCTCCACATCTCCCAGAAACTTGTCAGACTTGAGATTTCTCAGTTCCAACCTCGGGTCTATTGAATTAGAAAGTGAGGGTAGCCCTCCAGGTGATTCTGATCCACATTCAAAGTCTGAGGATCACTAGTCTAGAATTTTAATGTCTACCAAAATTGCCTGGAGGGCAATTTTGCCCAGGTGAGGATCTGACTCTAGGAAGTGGGGATGGAAAACTCAATTGCTGGATTGTCAGCACAGCTGACTTTTCCCCAAACCACAGCTTCCCTTCATATTAACTGGCTTAATAAATTATCACCTATCTATGAGTTTAAAATAATTAGTAAGACTGTGGCCCATTCTTCCCAACCCCAGGAAAAGGCTCAATGTGACCAGGATGTTTGTTGATAATCTGGACTTTCTTATTTATTTATCCCCAAATATTTTTCTTTATTTATTGGAAGCTTCTGGCTTTTGTACTCTGACAGTTTATGACCCATCACCTAATTTAAGAGTGTTGGGTAGAGATAAATGGCTTTCTACCCCTTTCTTCCATTCTCTCCAACATTTGCAACACACTGATTTCCCTCTCCTTCTTTCTCTCCTCTTCCTGCTTCTTCTTGCCCTTAGCTTGTTAAAATAAGCCCAATAATAATAACTAACGCTTAGTGATGTTTGTTTCATGCCAGGTACAGTTCTCAGCCTTGTATTGACATAATGGGCCCTTACCAGAAAACTATGAAGAAGGCAGGATTATTACCCCTGGGAAACTGAGGCACAGCAAGCTTAAACAATTGCCTAACGTTAAACAGCTGATAACTGGAAGAGCCTGAAGTCTGATTTTGGCTCCTTGCTCCTACCATTATGGATTTATTACCCCTCAGCCCTGCCGTAGATTCACTGAGCCCGGGAAAAAATATCACTAGAAGATGCAAAGACGCTTCCTCAGATTTGTATTCAAAATGTGACAGGTAAAACTTTTCAAGGAAAACATCTTCGTGACCTTGGGGTAGACAAAGATTTTTTAAATAGGACACAAAAGGGCTAAGCATAAAGACAAGAAAAGTTGATAAATTGGTCAACACTAAAGTTAAGAACCTCTACTTATCCAAAGACACCAGTTAGAGAATGAAAGGACAAGCCACATGTTTTAATGGTCAAAATATTTGAATAGTCTGGTCACAGGTGAGGTTATCCAAATGGCCATTAAATATATTTTTTAAAAAGGCTTTGACTTTGTCAGTCTTCAGGAAGATGCTAATTAAATCAGTGATCTGATACACTACCACCACTAAATAAAAATCTAAACTTTTCTTTTTTAATAAGTGTTTATGCGAATGTGGAGTGACCAGAGCTCCCATATGCTAGCGGCAGGAATGTAAATTTTTGCAGTCACTTTGTAAAGCTATTTGGCAACATTCACTAGAGCTTAACGTATGCATACCTGATGACCCAGCCATTCCATTCCTAGGCATTTGTCTCAAAGAAATGTGTGCATGTGTTCACCAAAAGAAGTGTACTGGAAGTCTCATAGCAGCATCCCAAATGGAAAGTACCCAAATACCCATCAACAGAAGAATGGATAAATAGTAGTATATACACAGAATGGAATACTTAGAGCAATGATACATGACAGCAACACAACTACACACAATATGGATGAATTAATCTTACAAAGAATGTTGAGAAAAATAAGGCACACACTACACCACTCCACACACACACACACACACACACACACTCACACACACAGATAATCTACACTATTGGAAGTTGGAATCGTGGTCCCCCTCGTGGCATGGAAATAGAGAGGTTAGTGACTAGAAAAGGAGGCATGAAGGGCTTCTAGAATTCTAGTCATATTGTTTTTTACTTGAGTGCTGGATACACAAATATGTTCAGTTTGCAAAAATTCCTTGTATGGAATCCTCCTCTGTGCTTTTCTGAGGTATGTTGTACTTCAATGAAACATTTATGAGATACTTCTATTAGATAAACAGGTGCCTACACTTTGTACCTGTTCCAACTGTCCTGAGATTGCAGCATACTTGGAACTTCTAACCCCATGTGTAGGTAAATACTGGAAGCCTTTTATGGATTTCTCATTAAGGGAGCAGTTAAGCTCATAAAAATCCCCAGGTACTTGGCTTGGAGTAATGAAGATCCCCATACTGAAGCAACTTCCAAGCGTGTTCCAAGCTGAGTTAAATCTTTCAAACATCTCTTATTCTGGTTCCGTGGAGAGAGAATTTTGTAGTCCAATTCATCTCCCACATCCTAACTGTTAGCAAGCTTTCCTTTTTTTTTCTTTGAGATGAAGTCTTGCTCTTGTGGCCCAGGCTGGAGTACAATGGCATGATCTCAGCTCACTGCAACCTCCACCTCCTGGGTTCAAGCGATTCTCCTGCCTCAGCCTCCCAAGTAGCTGGAATTACAGGTGCCCACCACCACGCCCGGCTAATTTTTGTATTTTTAGAAAAGACAGGGTTTCGCCATGTTGGCCAGGCTGGTCTCAAACTCCCGACCTCGTGATCCGCCTGCCTCACCTTCCCAAAGTGCTGGGATTACAGGTGTGAGCCACCATGCCTGGCCTAAGCTTCCCTTCTTAAAGAAGAAACTCTCTTTCTGACTAGGCTAACAAGGAAAGTATTTCCTAAGCCTTGGCACTGCATCATGACATCCAAACACACTGAATGAACTAAGATCACTTTTTAATCCCTGACATCCATGAAGATCAGAGGCTGAAAACAAGTTGCCTAGACCACTTGTCTTGTTTGGTGATGTAGCATCCTGTTTTAAATTTGAATTAGCTGCCAATAGTTTTAAATGAAATTTCACCTACCTCTAGATTTCTGGTTTCTCTGGAAAAATCAAGTGTCATTTATCTCCCTAAGGCCCACCCCCAGCCCTCTCCCCTTGGCTACATTAGGTCCTCAGCCTCTGTAGACATAGGGTTGCAACTCCTCATGTAGAAAGTCTCAAAAAACAATGACAAAAAAGGTCCTTGTTCAGATGGACTTTATAAGATATGATACTGGCCATTTCATTAATTGGATCAATCAATACTGATGGGTCAGTCCCTATATTAGGTGCCAAGCGAGTAACTTAAGCATTTGGACCTGGTTTCAGCATCCCTAAACCGACAGAATGGTAGAGATTTTCTAAAATCTTCTTCAGCTTTACATTTTGATTCTTCTGTGATTGCAATTAACTGGAGAAGTATTATGTAATGATTTTTCAGGAGTAGGCCAAGCATTCCAGAATAGCATATGAACATATGCATGTGTAGCCAACCTCTGGCATGGTTACTGGGGTCTGCCCTGGCCTCCGTTTAGTAGCCATAGGAAAAGAGAGACCATTTAGAAAGCATTCAACCATCAGAGCTTTATTTGAAGAAGTCGAGGATGGCTTCATTTTAGAAACCTCAACAAATTTCCCATTTTTTACACCAGAACCTGGAAGTCCCCAACTAGCCTCACCCAGATCTACTGAATAAGTTGGCTTTTTTTTTTTTTTGAGATGGAGTCTCGCTCTGTCACCCAGGCTAGAGTGCAATGGCATGGTCTCGGCTCACTGCAACCTCTGCCTCCCAGGTTCCAGTGATTCTCCCGCCTCAGCCTCCTGAATAGCTGGGATAACAGGCACCCACCACCACACCTGGCTAATTTTTGTACTTTTAGTAGAGATGGGGTTTCACCATGTTGGCCAGGCTGGTCTCAAACGCCTGACCCCAGGTGATACGCCCACCTCAGCCTCCCAAAATGCTGAGATTACAGGTGTGAGCCACCATGACCCGCCTCAGTTGGCATTTTAACAAGATCCTCAGGTGATTTATATGTCATTCATATTTAAGACATGCTGTTTTGGAAGATACCCTGGAAATATCTATCCACGACAATCCACCTTCATCTGCCTATCCCAACCAACAGTCAGGAGGCTGAGGACTGACAGCAGACTTGTTCCCAATCCTCCTCTGACAGCAACCAATCTCATGGATGACATTCATTCACACTCGTGTTCCCAGGGACAAACCCAAAGCATGCTCTCCCAGCTCCTGGTGACTCTACCTTTTCTCTCCTACCCAAGAAAGCACCTTGGAATTCTAGTGAGTGAAGGTGACTGTTCCAAATTTTCAAAAGTGAATAAGGTACATCCTCTCCTGGTGTCACTACTATTGAGCAACAAATTACTGGAACCCTCTTCATAACTACTCACGACACACCAGTGGAAGGGGACACACAGCTTAGAGCTGCAACCAGGAGCCTGGGAAGAAGAGCATGACCCTGGGAGGAGGGAAAGCGAGACTGCCTGGTGCCCTTCCAGGTAGATGCTAATGAGTCACTCCAGCCCTTAACCTCCCTGCCAGAGAAGCAAGCTGGTAATATGATGAACTGTCACTGTTCATTATGGGGACAGCCAATGAGTCCAGAAGTGTTTGCAGGCACAAACAAGCGTGGGACAGCATTAGAGGAGCAGTGCTGGGGCAGAGGGCTGGGGAAGGAGGGCAAGGGACCAGGAGCAGCCCATCCCACATCAGCCTCTGCCCAGCGTGTCTGCTGGGCAGCCTGTCCCTACACAGGCTGTAAAGGGCATTGCTTCCCGCACAATGACATAGGTGCTGGCCTAGGGGGATCATGAGCCAGGCAGGTTCTACATACTATCCACCTAGAAGAATGAACCTGAGCGTCTCTCCAAGTGCCCCAGCAGCTCCAAGACAGGTGCTATGGGAGAAAAGAGAAAATAGATGGGACTGTTGGGCAGGAGGAAGGACCAAGGGCTTCTGCTGGTCCTCATGAGGATTCTATTCTCCTCCAGGTAAATCAGAACCAACCCCCCAAACCCATGTCTCATGTGAGTCCTGGATCTGACAGCAGGATGGAACAAGATTTGATCTGTTCAGATCCCTGTAATTGGGAATAGGGTAAGTATCTCTTTGTCACAAACCGAGGCCCCAAATGGTCAAATGACTCACCCAAGGTCATTGTACTAAAACTGTGTGGAAAAGAGAATAATCAGAACTCTGTTGCATTTCTGCCCTCTGATGTTGGATGTTTCCATAGCCCAGAGGCTGATGACAGTGGCAGCTTTGGGGCAAGAAGCAGGAGGGTGAGCCGTGTGCACATCTGGCTAAGTTTCCTGTATATTCCTCTCTTGGGATGCATTCCCCCCATTCCCTAGGTCCAGGCCGAGCCTCCTTCCCCATGAAGCTTGCCCTGACCCCACTCACTCCCATGGCAGTCGCGTCTGTCGTACAAATAGTGTCTAAGAAATCAGCCCATCAACCTGTCCCATCACGATTCTATTCCCTCCATCATGTATGTAAGTATCCCCTCATTAGCTTGTAAGGTCCTCAGGGGTAAAGGCCCTAAAGAATATGCTTCTTTTCTCTCACTGCTCCTAGCAGAGTCCAATGTATGATGTAGATTCTCAGTGTTGCCCACTGACTGAGCAAATCGGTAAGAAGCTGCCCTAAGATTTAAACAAAAAGAACTCCAGTAAGGGAAAAGTGGAGGGAACTTAAAAGGACTCATTTCTAGAAGCTTATCTTCCCGCCTCCCCAAAAAAAAAAAAAAAAAAAAAAAAAAAAAAAAAAAAAAAAAAACTGTGAGAGGGGTATTTCTGATCTGTAAGCAGCTTGAAAACAGGTCACTGCTTTTATATTTCCAAATCCACTCCTCTTGTCCCCCCAATTCTAGCCCAATTCCTGGCACATGTTAGGTGCTCAATGAACGTGGGTCAATTGCATGTAGTGAGGGAAGGAAAAGAGCAATGTAGAAGAATTAAGAGAAAGCAAGACTGAGAGGTGAACGGATTGAGGGAATGTGCCTGTCATTGCCTATTTGGCCTCAATGCCATTCCTGCCATCTCATGCTCTGCTCCGTCCCAGCTGTGGCTGCTGTGGGTGATGGCCAGAAGTGGCCAATACCTACAGGGCCCAGAGATGGCTCTAGACCCAGCAGCAGCAGCAGCAGCAGCAGCAGCAGCAGCAGCAGCAGCAGCAGCAGCAGCAGCAGCAGGTAGCTGCAGCTTCCAATGGCCTCTTGTTGCTATCTACAGTGCAGCAGTGATTTCTTTGAATAGCAGCTGCAGCCTCCAGCAGGGTCAGCCACCACTGTGCTACTGGGCTCTAGAACCCCCTTGTTTGGTTCCTTCAGTCCTAGGGAAAATCACAGCTTCCTGGAATTTCCAATCTCTGTGGTAGCTCATCTTCCTCCCCTCTCCTCGTTATGGCTCTCTCAGCCCTCCCAGTGCTTTTGTAACATGTTCTATCTAGTAGTCCCCCTGTGTTTGAAATATTTAGCATGGTTTCTGTTTTTCTGGCTGGACTTTGACTGATAAAGGATAAAAGACAGAAAAGAGAACACAAAAGAGGGTAAAGGTGATAGAAGAAAAACATCGTGTGACCAGAAGTAAATGTCAGTTCTGATAGAAAATGTAAACAAATTCAGAAGCCATCTGTATTCAGTCCCCAGGAGTCTCTTCTGCCCCCAGAGCACTGTGACACAAACAAGACCATCCTTCCTTGAGAAAAGCCTTTGAGTTTAGCCTTTTCATCTCCCGCTTTCCAACTTTTCTTGATAATCCCACAATCTTATGCGCAGCCAGGCACACAGTTCTCTCTGGTGTCACCTCAAACTCTTGCACCTGTTCTTCCTGTTTGGAAGGAGGGCTTGGCTATCACCTTGAGCTTCTTCAACTCTGAAATCAGATCTTGAATTATTGACTCTGTGTGTCATGAGAGATGCCAGGAACTCCTCACAGCCTTCCCTGGCATTGCTGCAGTTTATATCATTTGCTCTTCCTGTAAACTAAAAAAAAAAAAAAAACAAAAAACAAAACAAAACAAAAAAAACACAAACAAAACTAATGAAGAAGCAGTCATCTTTTACGTGCAGATGTCTGCTTCTGCTGTAAGTATCTTTCATTTTCAACCAAAACCTGGGGCCAGGGAGATCACAAGGTCAGTGGGAGGAGATGGAGCTAGCAGGGGGCTGGCAAAAGCCCCTCGGGACTGAGTAAGGCAGCTGGCGCATAGAAGAGCATTTCTTCCTTCTTCCATGCCATGAAATGGGAAGATCATTCTCCTCTGCCTGCCTGCTACCAAAGCACCCCCTCTCAGCCTGTCTCATTTTCTCACTCTGTTCTTTCTTGACTTTTTCCCTTTGGTGTTCTTCCTTCTTTCCCCTCTGCCCTACTTGCAATGACTTCTTCATAAAGCAAGAGTTGAGGTTATCAGCAGAGAATGTGAGAGTGGGAATGAAGTCAGGGGCTTGGGGGGTGTGGAGAGTGAGCCCCTCATCAGGTGGTGAAGGGAAGCCTTGAAAAGTATCAGTGAAAGCCCCATTGAGATCCAATTGTATGAATCTGTGGGTGACCTACAGGAATTGACTCATAGCTCTTTCTAGAAAGACCCTGCAGGCAAGGAGTGGAGAAATATGGCAGTGCAATTTATTCAGAGCAAGAGCCCAGCAGAGCCAATGGTCAAGGAGATGAAGAATTAGATGAGGGTTTTGCAAGCAGTGTTGAAATAGCTGATCAAGAATTTAGTCTCTATACAGGACAAATTGTTTGTCCACAAAATTGACAACAGAAATAGCCTCTAATACAGTCCCAACCTAACAGCTGATTCTCTCCCATAATTTGTTTGGAAAGTTACTAAGAAGTTTAGGAAGTTAATATGTTTGATTGTGTGCAATAAAAATGAATAAGGGGCCGGGCATAGTGGCTCACACCTGTAATCCCAGCACTTTGGGAGGCCAAGGTGGGCAGATCACTAGGTCAGGAGCTCGAGACCAACCTGGCCAAGATGGTGAAACCCTGTCTCTACTAAAAATACAAAAATTAGCTGGGCGTGGTGGCAGGTGCCTGTAATCTCAGCTACTCGGGAGGCTGAGGCAGGGAGAATTGCTTGAACCCGGGAGGTGGAGGCTGCAGTGAGCCGAGGTCATGCCACTGCACTCCAGCCTGGGCGAGCCAGACTCTGTCTCAAAAAAAAAAAAAAAAAAAAAGGTCGGGAGGGGGCGGAAATCTAAAACCGCCCTTGGCCCTATAGTTCAGCTAGTTTTTAACTTTAATATGGAACATTGTGCTGACTCCTAAGTCTTCCAGCGAGCTGTTTATGCAGGGAAGATTGCCCCCAACTCTCTCCCCACATCCATACCCCCAATTCCAAATTAAGGGAGCTTGCCAGTTTGCCACAGTAGGTTTCTTGGACTCTTACTGGGTTTTTACGAGGAGGCATCCTTGCATCGCTCATGTCCCTTAGCTTCATTTAGCTCCATTTGGGGAGGTCACAAGAGACAAACCAAGTCCCTGGAGTTAGCTCAACTAAAGAAGGAAGCTCACATCTGGATTCTGACGGGAGCCAGGCCCGGAACTAGGGTAGGACAGGACTTCCTGGGAGGAGCAGCACAGAGACTGGAAATCCAGCTAGGCAGGCAGATGTCGACAAGTGCTGAGGCAGCTGTTTAAATGCAAGAGGTGAGTTTCAGGAGAACCCAAGGAGCCTGAAAGACTCCAGGAGCACCGCAGGGCCAGGTTCAAAGAGACACGAACACAGACATTAGCTGGACTAGGATATGTCCTGCAGGGTTTCATGAGCCTGGACAAGCAAGACTCCAAGTCTATGAACTCAGAGAGGTAGCAGGAGCAGCAATGGGCAGGACCCCAAGGCAGAATCAAAACTGTGGGTCTTTTCCCTTGTGCCAGAGGAGGCGAGAGAGGAGAGCACTGTCTCTGGCTAAGGCAATATGGCTGTTGTCTCTTGGAATCTGTCACCCAGGAGTCAAGGAGAGAGTGAGACTAGGCAGGCTGGGAAGACAAGTAGAGGTGCTGACTGTGGAAAACAGCATATCTCGTTTAAATGTCAGGACAAGTTGTTTGCGCTGGTGGGAGTGGTAGTGAGAGGTGTGGAAAAACACAATGTGAGGGAAACTTATTTTGTTTGAGAGGGAACAAAATACAACTTTCAGTACGTAAAATACTGACCCATCCTGGTGATTAAAGAGCCGTCATCAGGATGAGGTCAAAATGCAGGAAAGAGCTTGAAACCTGATCAGCCCCCGATTTCCTTAGGTAGCTTTGGAAAGGACTCACGTGAACAGTGTATGCAGGAGTGCAGGCTAAAGACTAATTTTCTCAAAGCACTGTGGCTGACAGAGCAAAGAAAAAGAGTTTGGCTAGATTAGGGCAAAGACAGATGAGTATAAATGATGTGTTAGGTAGTTTATCAGTTTGAGTGGGAGAATTAATCTACGATATGTGTGCGTCTGGATGTGTGTGGATATATAATTCAGAAATGGCAAGGAGGGAGCATTAAGGTTGAGAAATGGTGCAATTAAAAGAGTCAAGAATCACTTCTGTGAACGCTCCTGCATCATCATTAATGCAGCCACATTACCCTCCACAAACATTGCACAAGGTCCCGTTTACAGCCTCCAACCACTCACAGAGGAGGGCCAGCTGCCAGCAGCATCTCTGAGGCTCCTTGGGGAAATTAGTGATTTTCCTACTTGACAAGCCCCTGATTTAACCAAGTCCTGCCCAGAGCAACTGTAACTGTTTACATAATATAACCCTGAAGGTGCTGATAGGAAAAAAAAATGAGAAAGCAATTAGCCAGCTACCTAGTGGTGGCCAAAATTTCTGTTTCTATAGGTCTGGGATGGGGCCTGAGAATCTGCTGCTTGGGTTTGTTTTTGTTTTAAGAGACAAGGCCGGCTGGGCATGGTGGCTCACGCCTGTAATCCCAGCACTTTGGGAGGCCAAGGCAAGCAGATCACGAGGTCAGGAGATTGAGACCATCCTGTCTAACACGGTGAAACCCCATCTCTACTAAAAATATAAAAAATTAGCCGGGCAGGGTGGCAGGTGCCTGTAGTCCCAGCTACTTGGGAGTCTGAGGCAGGAGAATGGTGTGAACCTGGGAGGTGGAGCTTGCAGTGAGCCGAGATTGTGCCACTGCACTCCAGCCTGGGTGACAGAGCAAGACTCTGTCTCAAAAAAAAAAAAAAAAAAAGACAAGGCCTCGATCTTCTGCCCAAATTGAAGTGGAATGGTGCAATCATAGCTCACTGCAACTTTGAACTCCTGGGCTCAAGCCTCAGCCTCCTTAATTCCTGAACTCCTGAACTCCTGCCTCAGCCTCCTGAGTAGCTGGGATTACAGATGCACACCACCATGCCGGGCTAATTTTTTTTTTTTTTTTTGAGAAGAGGTCTCACTATGTTACCCAGGCTGGTCTCAAACTCCTGGCCTCAAGCCATCCTCCCACCTCACTTCCCTGAGTAGCTGTGATTACAGGCCTGAGCCACTGCACCTGGCAGATTCTGCATTTCTAAGAAGCTCTCAGGTGGTGCTGACCCTTCTGGTCCCTAGACCACCTTTGAGTACCAAGGATCTAGACGCCTTAGAATAGAAACCTCTGAGCTTGTTAGAAATGCAGATCTCAGGCCCAGCCCAGACCACCTGCATCAGGCTCTGCATTCCAGCAAGATCTCTGGCTGATTTATAGGCTCATTCATGTTTGAGAAGTACTCTAATGGCTCTCCTTGGTTTCCTTAGAGAGATCTGTGATCCCCCTAAAATTACATGTGTGCACTTATTTGTGTTTAGGGTGCACATGGCATTCTGGTACTCGAATACTGGCACAAATTTCTCCTTCCTTCCAGGTTCTTAACTGAAGGAGAGATAGTCAAGGAAAAATAGTCAAATGGGAAACTCAATACAGAAAAGAAAAGAATAGCTGTGAATCAGAACCTCTGAGCCAGCATCTGATGCTTCTTAAAGCAGAGTTTCTCTAATAACATGGGCTGGTTGGTGCAGTCTCAAAGCCCAGAGAGCTGAGCAGGACTTCCTCTTCTAATAGAATGCCTGAGTCTGTGGGGCAAACCTAATGCTCTTGTCCCATGAGCAAGGATGACCCATCTCCCTAACCCTCCCAGGTGAGCTGGAGATTCTGGAACGAACATTCAGTGCCTGGCCAGCCAGCCCAGAAAGCCAGGTGGGGTCTTAGGTGTGCTTGACTCCTGGGGACCCCCAGGAAGGGGGAAACCCACGTTGTTGAGCACCAGAAATAAAAAGAAATGATCTTGGCTCCTGTCGTTATACTTGCTAAACACACTCAGAGAATGCAGGACACTCATATGAGCAATTCCTCTTGCCTTTGTGAGAAGCTGGTGAGTGAAGTCAGCAAAGAGACAAAGTCCCCTCACCTGGCCCTGCCCAAGATGAGTAAAGGAAGCAGGGTTCTCCATTCTCTCTGAGCCAAAGCAGAAACATTAGGAGAGAAATATTGAAAAAAAAAATAGAGGAAGTTTTTTCCTATTGCAAAAATGAAGAAACAGTCTATATTCCCAAAGGGACCCATCCATGCACAAGAAAAGCTTAAGCTGCTCTAACCTGGAGCCTTCCCTGGCCAACACTTGAAGTCTGGAATGAAGAGGTTTCCAGGGACTTGCAAGGTGCCTTCAGCCAGCTCAGGCTGTTGCTGGATCCACAGACTACTGAGCAGAGATGACCAATCATTCAATGTGTGATCAGTCGTGGAGCAGCAGCTACTACCATAGCTTCCTCCCCATAGCTCAAAGATGCTCCCAGGATGAGGGAAGGTAATTAATCCCACCAATAGGCTCCCTTCCCTGCAATCCACTGGCACCCACCATCTCTAATGCCTCCCTTCACCTCCCATCCTCCTGCAACACATTTTCCTTAAAGCTAATGAAGCTTAAGTTTCAGAGCACCTGCCTTGCACAGACCCTGAGAATGCTGGGAGTCTCTGAGGGTTGCAGAGCATCCCAGGATCAGTGGAAACATGAGGTTGCAATCAGGAAGTGTTCTTAATTCAGCTTTTTTTCCTGGCAAATTATCTGAAGAGATTATAAAAGATAGTGACTGAATTCCTAAGGTTCCAGTCATTTATTTTGACATTTTTCTCACTCTAAATATCTACTTTTTTAGACAATATTTTTCTTAAAGCAGGCAAATCTTATAAGCTTCAGCCCCCTACCCACCCCTGAACCTACACCCAACCACGCTGCAATTAAGAAAAATGAAAAGTGGCCTCTCTACACCAACAGCTGAGAAGGTCAGCTCCAGAGTCCCCGCCTCGCCATTCCTGCTTTGAAAAGAATGAGCTTTTTCAGAAGCATCTTCACTTCTCAGCTGTGCTAAGAAGGATGGAAGTCAATGGCATCCTTAAAGGCTTCCGAAGATGACATCAAATTCTCATCTTCCAGAAGATCAGATTCAGATTCTATTAGAAGCAGTGTAGGTTCCCTCCAGCCCCTTGGAAAATGTCTAATTAAAAACAAAACAAAACAAACTCCAGCACTATCCCCTTCGTCTTGCTCATGCTTTGAATGCCTCATGCTTGTTCTCTTCCTCAAAGCTCGAACACAAAACTAACTCGCACCCCCCGTCAAAGTCACCTGTAAGTTGGCTTGCTCTTGCCCTAGCCACCCCCCTTTTTTTCTTTTTCCTTTTTTTTTTTTTTTTTTTTTTGGTGAGATGGAGTCTCACTCTGTCACCCAGACTGGAATGCACTGGCGCAATCACTGCTCACTGCAACCTCCATCTCCCGGGTTCAAGCGATTCTCCTGCCTCAGCCTCCCGAGTAGCTGGGGCTACAGGAGCGTGCCACCATGCCCGGCTAATTTTTTGTATTTTTAGTACAGATGGGGTTTCACCATGTTAGCCAGGATGGTCTCAATCTCCTGACCTCGTGATCCACCCGCCTCGGCCTCTTAAAGTGTTGGGATTGCAGGTGTGAGCCACCGCGCCCCGCCTGCCCCCAGCACTTTCTAAAGGCCCATCTTCCTGCCTAGGCTTCAAAGGGCTCCTTTATCTCCAGGAGATGGAACCAAGAGGCAGGATGCACTGAGGGCAGTAAAGCTATGACCCCCATGATGAGTGTCCAGGTGGGGGAAAGGGGAGAAATTGCCTTAAGTTGCCATTTGAAGGAAGCCCAGATCCACCAATCCTGGGATGCTCTGCAACTCACAGAGACTCCTAGCATTCTAGGGGTCTGTGCAAGGCAGGTGCTCTAAAACTTAAGCTTCATTAGCTTTTAGGAAAATTGCCTTAAGTTGCCATTTGAGGGAAACCCAACAATGGTTGGGCATTTGGAACTGACAGCCATCAAGGCCAGGATTTTCACCTGGGAGTGAATAATGCAGTGAACATAGGCAGGAGAGCTGCATTTAAGCCCCAGCTCAGTGCAGCTTTTATCATCTATTATCTGTATACTAACCGTAGCTAAGTCACAGCATCAGCATGAAGATTAAATGAGATTATGCACATGGACACTCTTTATTAACCCCAATGGTTTTAGATTTATATAGGTGTAACCATTCCTCATAATTTTGGGCTTCCTCAGTGACAAAGCAAACCTGGTAGAGAGATTCTGCTGTTTGGGGTATTTTTTTTTTCTCAGACTTAACTTCACCATTCAGTTAACTATTCCACGTATTTGTCTCAGAAGAATGTCAATATGGTCTAGTCTTGCTTTTGAGATCAAAAATCTCAGGTCTCTGGAGGAAGGGCAGCAATGTGGGCTCCAGTGATTGATTTAATGAAGACTGTGTAGAAGAGGAATAAGGAAGGAAAGAGGAAAGGTGGGTTCTGGACAGCACCTAGAGAGGGCACACGGGAAGGTGTGGAGACAGTGTGAGGAGCCTCTGAGCTTCACCTGTGTCACAGAAAAGCTTTGACTATTGCCGGGACTCAGGAACAATATGGAAGCCACGTGAGGCCCCGCAGACCACCCAGTGTTCATTTGTACAAGCACCATGGAGAAGCTCTGTTGCTGTCCTCCGTTTTGATGTCCAGTAGTGCCCAACAGATCATTTGATGACCATCTTGCAGAAGTGATACCTGGTGTTCCCTGATTAGCACATACATATTATATAAAAATATAATATATATATTTTTTGGTTGCCATATAACTTACTCCAAATGGACAGTCCTCCTTTGAACACTGCAAGACTTTTCTAACACCCCAACTCAGAAGCTGGGACCATGGATATCCCAGTGAGGTGAGTGAGGGCATGGAAAGGCATGGCCCTGCACCTGTGCCTCAGTCAGACATCACAGGACCAGCTTGAGATGTGCCTTGGAGAGAATCCAGTGGTAAGACAGGTACCGCCACCCCACTGCAGCAAATAAAGGAATCAGAGGACCCCCACCACCGCCTCAAAGAATGAAGTCTGGAGAAATACAAAACCAAGGGGTAGCAATAACGTGAATTACCCTAGTAACAAAAGGGAGCGTGTTTGGAGATTGATCCTTTCTCTCTGTGTGTCTCTGAAGAAAGGAGGAAAACATTTTCATCTTTGTTAGTTTTTCTTTTTCCAGACACAGCATATGGCATACACTGTAATTATTCCTGATCCCATCCAGTCTCAATACCGTCACCACTAACAACTCTATTCCAACCAGGTATATTTTGGAGATAGAGGTGGCAGAACTTGCTGAAGGATTGCACAGAGAAGGTGAGAAGAAAGCAGGAGTCAAGAATGACTTCAAGCACTTTGGACTCAACAACTAGCAAAAGGTGGTGTCATCTACTGAGATGTAGTGGGGAGGAACAGGTATTTCTGTCTGAAATTATTTATCTAGTTAATTGGAATTTTCTGGTTCTCCTACTAAACTATACACTTCACAAAAAAGGGGGCTTTGTACTTTGTCTTCTTTATACAGTTCACTGCTGCCTAAAATAATGCTTGGAATAATGATGGCACTCAATAAATATGCATTGGATGAATAAATTGCACAAAATAAAGGTAAGTGCAATAGGTTCAGGGGAGAGATGAATTTGGGATGGAAGAATTACAGGGTTTTTTGTTTTGAGATGGAGTTTTGCTCTTGTTGCCCAGGTTGGAGTACAATGGTGAGGTCTCAGCTCACTGCAGCTTCCACCTCCCGGGTTCAAGTGATTCTCCTGCCTCAGCCTCCCGAGTAGCTGGGATTACAGGCACCTCCACCATGCCCAGCTAATTTTTGTATTTTTAGTAGAGACGGGGTTTCACCACATTGGCCAGGCTGGTCTTGAACTCCAGACCTCTGGTGATCCATCCACCTCAGCCTCCCGAGGTGCTGGGATTACAGGCGTGAGCTACCACACCCAGCCAAGGAATTACAGTTTAATTTGGGAAATGTTCAATTCAAAAAGCCAAGAAAACATCAAATTGTAGAAATCATATAAATTCTTGGATATTGGAGCTTGGAGTTTAGGGAAAAGGTCAAAGCTGAAGATAAAAATGTTCAGGGCTATCCATGTGAGATTGGTACCTAAAGTCAAGAGCCGATGGGATCACCTAGGAAAAGTTCTCTTTGGAGATCTGAGGGAAGAGCACAGAGGACCACCAATATTTAAAGTTCTGGAAAAGAATGAAGAGCCAGCAAAGGAGACTAGAAAGGAGTCTGTGTTTATGTAGGAAAGCAAATGGAGAGACATCATTGTCTCAGAAACCACAAGAGCAAAGGGTTTCAAGGTGGAATCCAACAGCCGTGGGTTCAATCCTGCTAAGAAGATGCACAAGATGGGTGTTGTTCCTGTGTCTCTCACTGAGTTACCAACTCATTGAGGGCTGAGCTTTTGCTATTGCATCACGCTGTGCCCAAGATAATATCACCATGCCCGGCTGTGACAAGAAGCACCAGGGAGGCAGATGTGGGATGGTGCAAAGGGCCTACGGAGAGACATGGATCCTTATCCCTGCTGATAGCACTGGCTACCTTTGGTTGAGAATCTACTCCATGCTTGGCACAGTGATAGGCACATAACATGGTATCTCCCATTTAATACTGACAGCAACTCCATAAATGGAGACAACTCTGTGAGGTACTTGTATGATGGCCATTTGACAGGTTTCCCAAAGTCAGGATGCTGATCCATGCTAGAGACCAATGTGGCTTTTATTGTGGTGGTTAAGGTGGTGGACTTTGGATTTGGACAGATATGAATTTAGTTCCTGGTGCTGCCACTGGCTGAAAACATGGTATCAGCTGTCTGGATCTCAGTTTCCTCACCAGTAAAATGATCCAGTTGGATGAGGAGATCACAGTCATCACCTTAAATACCACATCCTACAATCATAGATTTTGTTCTTCAAGGGCATAGTGCAGAAAAAGAGGTGAGATTCCAGAAACTTTAACCCATGCCTGACACTTAGGCAAAAATGCCCAATAGGGTATCTCATCTGTCACTAAATTGTCTTCTCAAAGTCAGCTCGAAGACAGATGGCCTGTTGTTGCTACTGTTGATGCCACCACTTCTGGGACCAGGGGACCAAGTACAGCCTTGTAGGTCATTCCTCACCCATTGGGCACCAGGCTGTGCATAAGCCAATGGTGTAGTGAAGAAAGTGTATTTCATCTCCGCTGGCCTAATGATGGAGTGAGTGGCTGGAGGAGCAGCAATTAAGGATTTTCTGCCTTTTTCTGGAAAGAAGCTAAGATAGGTGCACTTGTTTGTTGAGAGTAAGGAGCAGGAACTCTTACACATTTTAAGGGAACCCAGAGAAGTTTAGTTTGGAGTTGGGAGAGCAAGGGGAGGCACAGGGCTGCCTCCTGACTGTCATTCGTCACAATGGCCCATGGCACTCTGAGTTCACTGAAGATGTCATCCACATTCTGTCCAAGGGAAAGGGCTGTGAAATGTAAGGGGATTGACTCTGCACTGCTTCAAAGAATGAGTGAGGACCAGTGAGTAGAAGTTACAGTGAAGGCTATTTTCAATTTACTGTAGGAGACAGAATAGCAGACGGGCTGAGTGCATCAGCTTCGGAGTCAACAGCTGCACGATCTAAGGCATGTAACTTGTCTTTCTGAACATCAGTTTTCACATCTATAGAGTGAGAATAAAGTAGAGTGCTTAGCATTTGCCTAGGCCATATTATCTTTGGTTTCATTAGCATTAGAAAGAGCATTCTGACAGCAGTTAGAGGTCAGCCTCTGAGACTAGAAGGATTTGGGTAAATGACCATCTGACAAGGAAAAAATATCTCAGAATGGAGACAGGCCCTGTCCAACCCAAGGACCTGAAGTCTGGGCAATGCCTCTCTAAGCAGTTCACCAACTGCAGGTCCCCTCTGACTTATGTTTCCAAAACAGAGTTCTTGCTTTGTTTTGCTTTGTTTTTCTTTGTTTTGTTTCCCAGAAGAGGATAAAAGAGCAGAACAATGTACTGAAAGTAACTAGAAGTTTTTTTACATGTATCCTCAGGGCAGCAGTTTCTGAGGTCTCTGAATAGGAAAAGAGCAGGCTGCATGTCTTCAGCAACATGCCTGCTTTGTGCTGAATGAGGATAGGGCTTCTGGTGCAGTTGCCAAGATTGTTGAGTATCTCATGATTGTCTCTATGGCAACCCATGGCTGACAGTCCCAGGCAGCCCAATCGCAGATAGACAAGGTTAACCTCTCCCTCACTGAGGCCAGAAGACCCCGCCACCTCAGTGAATGCAAAACCTTGGTCTTCAGTCCTTCAGAATGAAAGTACCTGACGGGATACTGCAGCTTGTCAAAAGAATTTTTGTTATAGCAGCAGAACCTGTTCTTTGTATATTGAAGTGCATAAATTAGGTTACATTGTTTTAGCTGTTCTGGTCAAAGTCAGGATGGGGCATTTGTACATCCTCCCTCCTCTGAGATGAGATAGCTCATGAAATACTTCTGGTGGGGGGTGATGTGGACTCCAGGACCCCACAGGAAACCCACTGGTCTAGACTCTAAGTACTGTAGAAGTTGGAAGAAGAGGGAGACCCTTGAAGACGGAATGAGTCAAGGAAGGCTACATGGAAGAAGTAGGATCTTGATGAATCCTTGGAGGACAGATAGTAAGTGGTGGGCAAGAAGGTTTCCAAGGCACCCATGTGAGAGGGATACGTGGAAAGCCCTTTACTCTGGACTTCTCCATCCATCCACTCCCTGTGTCCAGATTATTTTTATTTGTCCTTGGCTCTCTTGAGAAGTCTGTGTTTTCTTCCACATGGTCTCCATCCCTGGTCTAAGCTGATAATTTTTTGAGCTTCCTAGACCATTAAGATAGGGGAGTCTTCATTTACGTCATTCATTTTACATCATTCATTCGTGCACCGTCTGTGTGAGACAATTCTGCCTGAGAAAAACAAGAGGCAAAATTCAAACCTCCAAGAGCTGGCAGCCTCTCAAGTGACCCAGCCTGGTGGGTACAGCAAGAGAAACAGAGAGAGTGCAACAATTTGTTAAAAACAGCACTTTGGTCTCTGTAAGAATAACATATATTCATTGTGAAAAAACTAGTAAGACATTGAAAAAGTAGCCTTATTTAAAAATTATACAATATAATATATTTTATATAATATATATTTTATGTAATATCTAATTATTTATATACAAATATCTCATAATATATACTAATACTAATATATGCATCAGATATATTTCGTGTCTCATATTTAGGGTCCTTTCATTGTGCAACTTTTTTCCTGTTATTTGAACCTAACATCATAGTATATTCCCATGTTCTTATACTGTTATGACTTGAATTGTGTCCTTTCAGAAAACTCATATGTTATCCATTTGTTTAAGTTGTAACCCCCAGTACCTCAGAATGTGACTTCATTCAGAAATAGGACTGTTGCAGAAGTAATTAGTTAAAATGAGGTCATCTGTGGATAGGGTGATCACCTAACTCAGTATGAAAGATGTCGTAATAAAAGACGGAATTTTGGATACAGACATGCAAGTAGAAAGAAGAGCATGTGATGATGAAGACAGAGATTGGGGTGATGCTTCTACAAGCCAAGAGACACCAAAGATTGCCAGCAAACCTCCAGAAGTGAGGTGAGAGCCCTGAAACAGATTCTCCCTCTCAGCCTCAGAAGAAACCAACCCTGCTGACACCTTGGTCTCAGACTTCCAGCCTCTAGAATGATGAGACAATAAATTCCCGTTGGTCAAGCCACCCAGCCTGTGGTACTTTGTTACAGAAGGCCTGGGAAACTAATACACGTGCCATTAAAATCTCTTCACAACCATGCTTTTTTCCTGCTTGCAAAGTATTGAAGTCAGCATAAGTTAGGTTATGCTGTAGTCATAACCACCACCAAAATCTCGGTGGCTTAACCCAACAAAAATCTACGTATCACTGATGTTACAAGCCCCATTGTTGCGTGAGGGAGCTCTTCTCCAAGTAAACACTTTGCACCATCATTATGCCTCTGTCTTAAATCAGTGCTTCAGAGTTTTCTCTGATAGGGGAAGAAAGGAGTGGAAAGTTGACCACTGGCAATTTAATGCTTCCACATTTGTGGAAGCCATTGGCTCACATTTCCTAAGAGGGACTTGTTATTAGTGAACAGTCTGCCATGCATGTCCTTCCTTGGAAGGACATCAGGAGTATGAATATACCATGTTTGCTCCAGCAATGCCCTGCCCTTGAGAGAGCTTGTGATAGAGCTGACAGTTGGGACCAAACCTCAGGACACCAATCATGCTAGAGGTCAAGTGAGATCTGAAATGCCAGAGATGAAACAAGGGTCTGCAACTGAGGTTGGGAAAGCTGGGGAGTGTTTCTAGGGTACCAGAGTTCTCAGCTACACCAACAATGTTCAGGTAGTTGTGTTTCCTTCTGTGCTATCTCCACCCCTGGTCTAGGCTGATAATTTTTTGAGCTTTTCTGACCATTAAGGAGAGAGTCTTCATCTAAGTCACTTATTCTAAATCATGCATTCACATGCCATCTGTGTGAGACAACTTTGCATAAGAAAAACGAAAGGCAAAACTGAGGCCAGCATTACTAGGAAGGAAATAATCTCACCATCAGTTAACCATGAGCCCACAGAGTCTAGAGATGGTCCAAACATTCTTGTACTTGTCCATTCAGCCTCCTTTTGGTCCTTAGAGTCTACTGGAAGAATGTCAGGGGTCTGTGCCCTCTCTGGTCTCCCCAGCCCCATCTTCTTTTCTCCCTCCATAATCTCCTTGTTTTTTCTACACTTCTTTCTGACCCTTTCTCCCCTGCCAGTGCCCGTGCTCCATCCTGGAGAAACTCCACAGGCTTCTCAAATCCTAAGCATTTCCTCTGACACAGTCCTGAAATGGCAGGGACTGGTTCATATGGCCTAGAAGCCCACCATAAAAGAAGAATTTAGATATTTTTTGATTGTTCAAAAAAGGAAGCATTCACACTCTTTTATATAAACTACCTGTGAGGATGCTTACAGGGGACTGCTTAGTGGTGCCTGAAGATGAAGCTCCTCTCTTGGGTTCCAAATCAGAACATGGAAGTTGAATGTGAATGAGTCACCTTAAAAATCTGATTCTATAGATGTGTGGTTGGTGGTAAAAGGGTTAAAGTCATATTTGAAAGGTAAGTGGCCCTCCTTCCCTTTGCTCATATGATTGGCCAGATTCCAAGCCATTAACTGAGCCATATTTATGTATGAGTGGGGTCACTCTATTTGAAAAGGAAAAGCAATAGTCAGCCAAAACATCAATTTCTCCCCTCTCCAGCCCACCTGCTATGACTTGAATCTTTGTCCCTCCAAAACACATGTTAAAATTTAATTGCCATTGTAACAGTATTAAGAGATGGGACCTTTAAGAGATGAGGATGGAGAGCCCCATGAGGGCTCCATTCTCATGGGTAGGATTGGTGCCATTATAAAAGGGTAAGTTCCATTCCCTCTTGCTCTCTCTTACTCTCTGCTCTTCTGCCATATGAGACATGGCATTCCTGCCCTCTGGAGGCTTCAGCAACAAGGTGCTGTCTTGGAAGCAGAGAGCAGCCCTAACCAGACACCAATCATGCTGGCGCCTTGATCACGGACTTCTCAGCCTCTGGAACCATGAGAAATAAATTTCTATTGTTTATAAGTTTTTGTCTTGTTTTGTTTTGTTTTGTTTTTGTTTTTTTGAGACAGAGTCTCGTTGTGTAGCCCAAGCTGGAGTGCAGTGGCATGATCTCGGTTCACTGCAAACTCTTCCTCCTGGGTTCAGTGATTATCGTGCCTCAGCCTCCGGAGTAGTTGGGATTCCAGGCACGTGCCATCACACCCAGCTAATTTTTGTATTTTTTGTAGAGACAGTGTTTCACCATGTTGGCCAAGATGTTCTCAATCTCCTGACCTTGTGATCTGCCCACCTTGGCCTCCCAAAGTGCTGGGATTACAGGCGTGAGCCACCGCATCCAGTCTATTGCTTATAAGTTACTCAGTCTGTGATATTTTGTTAGAGCAACAAAAATGGGCTAAGACACCAACCTTCACATACGGTAGAATTGTTGAGTGAACTCAGAGCCCACCTCATCAGGCCAGGCCTAACAGTCTTTCCTCCCTCCAACACACCTGAATGCACTTATCATTGCCATGGAGACAGATAATAAGGCACCAGAACTTGGATTTTGACTTTAGGAGGAGATGAAAGCCCAGCTTGTGTTTCAAGCTAAATTTTATAATCCAATCCTACTCTTTCAGAGAGCTCTACAATGGGGTGCTGGGTGCAAAAGGATTATTTGTTCCCCATATAGCTTTTCCTTGTGAATATCTCTTTTAGGGAAGAGGTGTTTGATTGGAAATCAGAATTTGGATAGTGCTGAGACCCTTGCCCAGAACACCATCAAACCTGGCTCTTCACCTAACAATGTGCTCTTCAGAGCTGAGTGAAGGCATCACAGAGGAGGTGGCATCTGAGCAGTCTTGAAGGATCAATAGAAATCTGAAAGGCAGATAAAGGTGTTTATTTCTCTGGCTCACTGAGAGGTGGAAAGTGGGGGTTACTTGGGGCAAGGTTGCTCAAGGAATCAAGGAGTCTTCCTATATCCATAAAGGCAGACTCTGCTTCCTCCATGTTCTCACCATCTAATTTGAGTTGTCTAAGTGATGGATCCGCTGGGAAGGCTGTTTCTCAGTGGGTAAAGGATTCTCAGTCTGCTGGGTTGGCATGATTTTGGCAGGCTGTCTGTCTTGATTTGTTGCTTTGAAGGGCCATTGCTCAGAAAGCCTTTGTTATCAGCAGAGTCTGGGGCTGCTGGGTCCTGTCTGTTTCTGCGCTCCGGCAGGCACACATGCCAGGCTCAAGGCACTGTTATCTTTATTATCCAGTCTTTAGTAACTCTAAGCCTGGAGGAAGGGTGGGTCTGGCTGATTTGTGGTGGGCCACCCTGACCATTCAGTATTTGGTGGGCTGGGGATTCTGAGATGGGTCATAATCTTGGGATTCACTGCTGGGGACTTGTTGAGTAGCCTGTGAACTCAGGTGAAGAATGAGACATTTGATAGAGACAACAAGTAAGAATGGCAAGTAAGATTGCCATATATTATATTGCACCCATGCATTTAATCACTCATGCAGCAAACATTTATTGAGCTTCTATTTGTATCAGGTGCTGGGAAGAAATAAGAAAAGACATCTACTTTCCCAGGAATAAACCAATAAACACAGTAGCATGCAAATGTGCCATGTCAAAGGGAAGCTCAGGAAGCCTTTGGCATGTTTGGCGAGCATCCTCTCTAGGAGGATTTCTGCCTTCATCTATGGTGGGGCAGAGGATGATGAGGTCAAGGAAGATTCAGTCCACCAAATAGAATTGCTGCGAGGAGCAAATGACAATTTCAGAGGTGCATAAACATTGAGTAAATGGTAAAGCAAAAGAAAAGAACAGAATTATTTGTATTGCTGCTCTCTGGCTGCGCAGCACTATGGAGTCCTTCAAACAATTGTGGTGCCTAAGGATTTGATTCAGATTAGGCAGACTTCTGAACCCCAATATCTAGCATTTCCCTACATTATTTCATCTTTCTAGAATGCCTTTCTCCCAACCTTCTCCATTGCCAATCCCAAACCACATTTTCCTCAATAGTAGCCTTGATCCAACTTCATATAGAAAACAGTCTGAAGATGCTAATCACAATCCCCCCACCTGCTTCCACACTGGATTCCAAGTGACTCTGCCTTTCAACCACACTGCTGAGAGAGATGGTGGCATGTGAGGGAAAGGATCTGCTCACATTTTTTCCGACCTCAAACCTTAGACATTTCACATGCCTCCTACAACTAACATAGCTTTTAAATGTTCTTCACTTTGTCCTCAGTTTGTTTGGTGAATGAAAATTCTATCTTTCCCACTATATTGTAAGCTCCTCAAGGGCAAGGCCAATGCCCTTGGATGGTTTTCTTTGCTCTATATTGGCTGGCACTGTGTGAAACGCTCAGTGTTTGTCATCACTTTATCTGCAAGGGCTGATAGAAATGAGGCTGTTAATTTCATCCGTGGGACTTCATTTGCAATTAAATGGATGGTGATGCCTCGGTTATGGCTTAATTAATAAATTCAATAAACATGAATTAAGGATCTATGATGAGTCAAACACTGTGTTAAGCACTGGCTCTACAGAGATGAATGACAGCTCTCTGCTCTCAAGAAGTTCACAGTCTAGAAAGAAACGAACACGTGCAAACAGATATTTATAATACCGGGGTAATTGCTAGAGAATAGATCTGTTTAAAGGATTGTGAAAACACCAAGGAGGGAGCAAGAAACCACACTTGCTGACATGATGGATCATCTTGGTTTTGAATGATGTAAATGAAATTTCCAAAGAAGCCAGGGAAAGCATTCCAGGCAGAAGTAATAGGGGTATAAAGACACCGAAGTATGATGAGGTGGGAAGCCACATTTGAGGAATCTGAGCATCTCAGTGTGACCAGAACATGAGCTATGTAGTGGGACGTGGTGGCAAATTGTGAGGTCTTTTGTACCAGCTTGGGCATTTAGACTTTTTCTTATACCCACAGAGAGCAAAGAGAGATTTTTAGTGCATGAGGCAACATGATTCTATCTGCTTTTTGAAAAGATATCTCTTGGTCTAGTTCTACCCAGAGTGCCAGAGGAGGCTACACAGAGGCCAAGAGAGGCTTGAGGATCAAGTGGATTGAAGAGCAGCTAAGGGAAGAGACAAATTTAAAAAGCAGACATAAGGCCAGGCGTGGTGGCTCATACCTGTAATCCCAGCACTTTGGGAGGCCGAGGTGGGCGGATCATGAGGTCAGGAGATCGAGATCATCCTGGCTAACACGATGAAACGCCGTCCTACTAAAAAATACAAAAAAATTAGCCGGGCATGGTGGCAGGCGCCTGTAGTCCCAGCTACTCAGGAGGCTGAGGCGGGAGAATGGCGTGAACCCGGGAGGTGGAGCTTGCAGCGAGCTGAGATCGGGCCATGCACTGCAGCCTGGGCTACAGAGCGAGACTCCATCTCAAAAAAAAAAAAAAAAAAGCAGACATAATAATACCAGCCAGACATTACTGTGGCAGAGGGGGGAACCCCTTCAACTATGAGAGGAGGGATGGAAGAAATGGTGAACCGTTAACAAAAGTAGTGGCATGCTTTTACTAACTAGTCAGGCTTTTTCTACAAAAACAGTAAGATGTATTTAAACTAACTAAACATGAATATTAATTAGATTGGTTACAGATACAAACAAAATGCAATTTAGAGAGTAGGAATATAAGAAATACAAATGGCTAGGTACAACTTAGTACCTTTTGCACTAGTGTGTAGCTACAGTTGACCCTTGAACAATATGTATTTGAACTGTGATGTTCCATTTATGCAAGGATCAAAAATACAGTATTCCTGGGATGCTAAGGCTGTGTATACACAGATTTGACTTTTTACATAGGCGGGTTCTACAGGGCCAACCACAGGACTGGAGTATGCACGTATTTTGGTATACTCAGACGTCCTGGAACCAATCCCTGGTATATACCAAGGAATGACTGTTCAATGAATCATTGCACAATTTAAACTGGTCTTCTTCTAAGTATGTCAATACTTCTCTGTGCCAAAACCTGAAGGTTTTTCCAAAGCTCTTCAGTTGTGTCTAGGTCCTACGAGGAGCTGTCCTTCCATCCTGTATATCTTCTCTGTAGCAACACTGACAAGGAGCACTCTGATTCTCCACTATTGGGGGAGGGTAAATAGACAGTGTCACAAAAATAAAGCATATAGACAGGCCTCGAAGCGTGGCATTCCCCATTTGGATCACCAAGGTCCAAAATCTCAACCTCAGCTTTGCAGATCTCCAAATCCGATTTTCTCAGTGTTGCAAAGTTAATTGAGTTCAGAAAGGCTGAGCAAACAAAAATTTGCCAAGTCATTAATTTACCATGAGAAACATAACTGCCAGAGGGACCAGCTACTCATGCCCTGTAGCCTGGTTAGCACATTTGCTCTGTTTTGACATGTCCACAAGAAGCCCAATTACAACTTGAAAGTTGCATGGTGAGCAAAGAATCCCAACAATGGGCGATCAATATATATACAAACAACTAATGCCACTAGGTATTGTTGTCAGATGCCTTCATTGCTCCCAGAGGAACTTTTTAGTCCATACTCACAGGCAGCACTTGGTGGCAATTTACTCTAGTTTTTGACAAAGCATTTAGAAGAAAATATTATCCGAGGTGCTCATATTGTTTATCTTAGAAACTGAAAAATAGCAGGCAACATCAAATTTAAAATTATAGTTCCAACAGAAATTGTTTCACCAACCGAGGTATTAAACATTCAGCCAATGTGTGTCTGGAGTATTCTAAGTGCCAGGTGTCATGATACAGATGCATCAACAAACAAGGCAAGGACTTCACCATCAGGGGCTCAGAATGTAGTAGGAAGCAAATGTGTTGACTTGCAACTGCAATGCAGAGTAATGTTTTCTGTAATGAAAGCGTGTCCTACATCTGGTGGGAGCCAGGAGGAAGGGCCCTGATTCTGCCTAGGTGTCAGAGAAGACTACCTAGAAACCACGATGCTTACACTAATCCTACTGCGGTGTCTGATTTTCACAATTGTAGAAAATGCATTTTTCTGACTGTATATCACCAATAATGCAATCATACGGTGAGCCACTGCTAGTCTTGCAGTGTATTTCTTTTTAATTTTATTTATCAAAATGTGTATTTATAAATTAGGCTTCATACAGTATCATGCTGATTTCATGTAGCATCATATCATGAATTAGTTCCCATGCCTTGTAATAAAAACACATTTTTAAAAAATTACTACATTGTATTCCATCATCTGGATATATCATATTGATGTAACATTTGTTGAACATTTAGGTTATTTCCCATTATTCAATATTTTTTTTTAAACTGTAACTAAAAGGACTTTAGAGATAATGTAGTAAGTTGTCTCCCTTTGCAAATGAAGGAGCTGGGTTCCATTAAATTTAAGTGATATGCTCAAAATCATATAGCTAGCTAATTTAAGGGCTGGGTTTGGATCCCCGGGAAAATGCATTTTGGGAAGGAGGAAGCGAGGTGGGTTATCTGAGTTGATGAAAATGAAAGGCCCTGGAAAAATACAGTGGCCAGAAAGAACCACGACATCCAAAGTGGGGAGGACAGGGGCATGACAGCATTTTGAAGGTGCCAGGGCACTTGTGTGAAAACTGCCTTTCCAAGGAACTGACACGAGCCCTTCAGCCTGCAGGAGTGTGAGCTGAGGGGGCCCTCCTGAAAAACAACCTGACAATGTATCAAGAACCTTAAAAAGGCCAGGCACGGTGGCCCATGCCTGTAATCCCAGCACTTTGGGAGGCCAAGGCAGGTGGATCACTTGAGGTCAGGAGTCTGAGACCAGCCTGGCCAACATGGTGAAACCCCATCTCTACTAAAAGTATAAAAATTAGCTGGGCATGGTGGCAGGCGCCTGTAATCCCAGCTACTCAGGAGGCTGAAGTACGAGAATCGCTTGAACCCAGGAGGCAGAGTTGCAGTGAGCCGAGATCATGCCCCTGCACTCCAGCCCAGGTGACAGGGCAAGACTCCATCTCAAAAAAAAAAAAAAAAAAAAAGAAAAGAACCTTAAAAAATACCCTCCTGACCTAGAAAAGCAGTCTGGCCCAGGAAGAAGTCAACCACAGGAATCTGTCCTAGGAAGTTGCCCTATAGGGGAGAAAAAGTATCTTTTCTCAAGCTATGGCAAGGTTCACAGCTGAGGCCCCTATAATGAAAGACAGATTACCAAGATAAAAGCATACAAATTTATTTCATCAAAGTTTTATGAGACACAACAGCCTTCATAAATGAAGACCCAAATACACAGGGAAAATGGCGTTTTTTTTTTTTTTTTGCTTAGATTTGATGAAGAATAGTCAGGAGGAAGTATGATTGGAGAAAGGGGGTGTGATCTAATGGTAATAAACTGGAAGAAATAAGCAAGGCTTGTTGGTTCGGAGTCTCCTCTGTGTTCCTGTGTCTTCAGAGATAGGGATGTTAATGAGGGTCTCATGCCCTACTTTAGAGGAAAGGGGCTAGGTTTCATGGCCTGCTTCAAGGGATAAGGGGTGAGGAGAAGTTAAGAGGGTCTTCCAGCTTCTGCTGTTTTTTCAAAAGCCAAAGTGGCATATTTTGAGGTGTCTGCCTAAATCCCAGCAGCATGTACCTGAGTAGTCACTGAAACTTGTTTATAATACACACACACACACATGCACACACACACACACATACAGAAAACATTAAATGTCAGGGAAGGTTAAGTATATTATGGCACATTCAAAAGTGGCTGAGTAGTGTTCTGTAATCATTCTTTTTCTTTGTGAATGTTCTGCTTTTCCTGGAATTCATAATCACTTCTTTTTCTCATTTTCCTACTTTTCTATGCTCTCGTATATTTTCTTCTTCTCCTTTAGTTATCTATCACTGTGCAGCAAAATTTAGTGGCTTAAAACAACTATCTCATTGTATCTCATGAGTTGACAGTCAGGGATTTGAGGTTTGTGGGGTGAACCCTTTGATCCAAGTGATACTGACTGGGCACATTCGGTGGTATTCAGCAGCCCTGGTCAGGGCTGGAGGCTGCACAATAGATTTACCACGTGCTTGGCCCTTGGTGGGGACAGAAGAGAAGCATGGCTCAACTGGCCTCACTCTCTCTCTACCTACTCTCAGGGGCTCATCATGCAGTCTCTCAAACAGTGGCTTGTCCACTCAGTGCAATACCTTCCTTGGGGCTTCCAAACGTGTCTTGTGTTCTTTTTCCTCTTCCATCTTAGTGGGATCTCAGCAGAAAGGACAGATACACGCATGTGGCCAATCTTCTATATTTAATTGAAAAAACATTGTTTTTTATTTAAGTAAAAAAACAAGTCATGGCCGGGGGCGGTGGCTCACACCTGTAATCCCAGCACTTTGGGAGGCCGAGGAGGGCAGATCGCCTGAGGTCAGGAGTTCGAGACTAGCCTGACCAACATGGAGAAACCCTGTCTCTACTAAAAATACAAAATTAGCCAGGCGTGGTGGCACATGGCTGTAATCCCAGCTACTCAGGAGGCTGAGGCAGGAGAATCGTTTGAACCCTGGAGGCAGAGATTGCAGTAAGCTGAGATCACACCATTGCACTCCAGCCTGGGCAACAAGAGCGAAACTCCATCTCAAAAAAAAAAAAAAGTTATAAAGATGTTCATATCTTTTAACTCAGTAATGCTATAGAAGGTAAATAAATAATTTTTTAAAAATCAAGAAGCCAAAAGTATGAATATTGCCATAATGCAAAACAGTAACAACTTTATCCAATAGTAAGTGATTATTCATTTAAAATACAATGAA
Source organism: Homo sapiens (assembly GCF_000001405.40). Classification (NCBI taxonomy): domain Eukaryota; kingdom Metazoa; phylum Chordata; class Mammalia; order Primates; family Hominidae; genus Homo; species Homo sapiens. The sequence goes on along the minus strand of NC_000017.11, from coordinate 10,973,136 downwards.
TGCAGATAAGATAATACTTAGCTGCTTATAAAAAATCTTTAAGTGATAAAACTAAATGCAACTTGGGGAAACTCTTATGTTATAACATTAAGTGAAAAGGCTGGTTACCACTCTGTAAAAATATACAAGCCTGAGGGAAAAGCACAAAAACAAAGACAATTTGTGGAAATTGTATGTGAGTGGTGATATTTCACATGATATTTTTCTTTTTTTAAAGAAGACTAATGTTATTATATTGATATAATAATAACTAAGGTCAGCACATTGATTTTGTACTTAAAAAAATACCAAGCCTGTTCCATTACAATATGGTCATTTTAGTGTAATGGAACATTTAATGAAATGTATTTGAACCCAGGCACTGCATGGCTGTGAGACTTAGCCTTGGAGACTGAGGAGCCCAGCGCTGCTGCTAGCTTGCTGCACTGTTGGGAGAGCATCTTCCCATCTTCTGGCAGTTATATATATCATATATATATATCATATATATATGGACTCTTCTCATTCTAGTCTCTCTTTATATATATATCTCTCTCATATATATATATCTTCTTGGAGATTTTATATATATATATATAATATCATATATAAATATCATATATATACACCATGTGGTATCATATATATGATGCCTTTTCCAGAATGTCATCCATAGCCACAGAGCCCTTACACCTTTCACTAGCAAGATGCATTTAAGATTCATCCATGTTTTCAAAAGGCTTGAAAACTCATTTCTTTTTATTATTGAAAAATATCACAATATAGGTATGTACTATAGTTAATTCATTCAACCATGTATTGAAGAACATCATGGTTACTTCCATGATTATGAATAAAGCTACTATAAACATTCATGTGCAGGCTTTTGTGTGGACACAAGTTTTTAAATCACTTGGGTAAATACCTGGGAATGCAATTGCTTCCCAGCAGTTAACACTGTCAAGTCTTCTGGATTTTAGCCATCCTGGTGGGTATTCTTACAGTGATATCTTGTGGTTTTAATTTGTGATTCCATAATGACTGATGATGTTGAGCATATTTTTATTTGTTTATTTGCTATCTGCAAACTTCTTTGGTGAGGTATGTGTGCTCAGATCTTTTTTTAAAAATGTTTGAGTCATTTTCTTCCTATTGAGTTTTAAGGGTTTTTGTTGGAACATTTTATAAATATCATTTAGATCAAGTTGATTGATAGTACTGTTTGAGTCATCTGTATTCTCAATGACTGCCTGCCTGCTTCATTTATCAGTTACTAAGAGAAAGTCATTGAAGTCTCTAACTGTAATAGTGGATTTGTCTATTTCTTCTTTTGGTTCTATCACTTTTGCCTCATGTATTTTGATGTTCTGTTTACAGAGGCATAGATATTTAGGATTGCTCTCCTCTTGGAGAATTGAGCTCTCTTATCCCCAGTAATCTTTCCCTGATAATCTTTCTTGTTCTAAAGTCTGTTTTGTCTAAAATTAATATAACTACCTATTCTAGTTTTTGTTTGATTTGTAGTATAGCTTCCTCAATCACTTGTTTTTATCTTATCCTAGTCTTCATAGTTGTAGTAGATTTTTATAGATAATACATCATTTAGTCTTTTTTCTTTGAACTAACTGTGACAATCCCTGTATTTTTATTGGTATGTATTTTGTTGGCATATTTAAGCCATGCACATTTTTAAAAATGTTTTTCAGTTTTGTGGTACATGTGCAGGATGTACGGGTTTGTTACACAGGTAAATGTGTGTCATGGTGGTTTGCTGCATAAACCATGCACATTTTAAGTTATTATAGATTTAAATGGATGAATGACTACCATGTTTTTACTGTTTTCTATTCATTATATTTGCTGTTTGTTTCTTGTCACCTCTCTTTTTCTGACCATTCTGATTTCAATTAAGCATTTTGTATGGTTTCATTTTTATCTTCTATCTTAATGCATTCTTTATATTTACTTTTAAATTTTTAGCAGTTGCTCTAAAATTTTACAACGTATGTTTTTAAATAATCTAAATCCATCTTGAAATGGACTTTCATTTCCAAAGTTATTTGGTCAGCACCTAAGTACTGCACAAGCAGTGCCGGTAGCTTATAATGAAATATTCCGAATTCCTCCCTGCTGCCTCTTGTGACATTGTTGCCAATCGTTTCACTTATCCATAAGCTATAATCACCCAATATATTATTACTATTATTGTCTAAGTAAAAAGTTATCTTTTAGATCAATTAAGAATAAAAAAGATATTTTATTTTATCTTTATTCTTTCTCTGCAATTTTTTTTGTTTCTTTGCATAGATACAAGTTTTTTATCCGCATCGTTTTTCTTCTTTGTGAAAACATTTTGACATTTCTTACAGCACAAATCTGTTAGTAATGAATTCCCTTCAGTTTTTGTTTGTCTGAGAAAGTCTTTGTTTTTCCTTCACTTTAGAAGGATAATTTCACTGACTATAGAATTCTAGAAAGATGGGGTGCCAGGGTTGCCTGGTTTTTGTCGTTTTTAAACAACCTGTTAAAGATTTCCATACACTCTTTTCTAGCTTGCATGGTTTCTGATGAAAAACTCTGCTGTAATTTTCATCCTAGTCTCTCTATAGGTAAGATATTTTTCTTTTTTAGAAAATTTTAACTTTTATTTTAGACACAGGGGGTACATGTGCAGAATTGTTACATGGTTGTATTGCATGATGCTGAGATTTGGGGTATGGATCCCATTACCCTGATAGTAAGCATAGTACCCAATAAGTTGTCTTTCAACCTGCACCTCACTCTTCTGTCCCCACTCTAGTAGCCTGTAGTGTTTATTGTTCCCATGTCTATGTCCATGTGTGTCTAATGTTTAGCTCCCGCTTTTAAGTGGCAATATGCAGTATTTGGTTTCCTGTTCCTGGGCTAACTTAACTAGGATTACGGCCTCCAAATGCATCCATGATGCTGCAAAGGACGTGATTTCATTCATTTTTATGGCTGCATAGTATTCCATGGTGAGTATGTACCACATTTTCTTTATCCAATCTACCACTGATGGCAACTGGGTTGATTCCATGACTTTGCTGTTGTGAATAGTGCTGCAATGAACATACAAGTGTCTGTGTCTTTTTGGTTGAATGATTTCCTTTCCTTTGGGTATATACTCAGGAACGGTGTTGCTGGGTCAAGTGGTAACTCTGCTTCAAGTTATTTGAGAAATCTCCAAACTGTTTTCCACAGTGGGTGAACTAATTTATATTCCCACCAACAGTGTAGAAGTGTTCCCTTTTCTCTGCAGCCTCACTAGCATCTGTTGTTTTTTGACTTTTTAATAATAGCCATTCTGACTAGTATGAGATGCTATCTCATTGTGGTTTTGATTTGCATTTCTCTGATGATCAGTGATGTTGAGCATTTTTTCATATGTGTGTTGGCCACTTGTATGTCTTCAAGAGAGAAGCCCATGTCATTTGCCCAGTTTTTAATGGGGTTATTTGGTTTTTGCTTGTTGAATTGCATAAGTTCCCTATAGATTCTGGATAATAGGCCTTTGTCAGATGCATAGTTGGTGAATAGCTTCTCCCATTCTGTAGATGTCTATTTACTCTGTTGGTAGTTTCTCTTGCTGTACAGAAGTTCTTTAGTTTAATTTGGTCCCACTTGTCTATTTTTGTTTTTGTTGCAATTGCTTTTGGGGACTTGGCCAAAAATTCTTTGCCAAGGCCATCATCAAGAAGAGTAAATCCTAGGTTGTCTTCTAGGATATTTATAGTTTGAGGTCTTACATTTAAATTTTTGCTCCATTTTGAGTTAATTTTTGTATATGGTATAAGGAAGGGGTCCAGTTTCAATCTTCTGCATATGACTAGCCAGTTATCCCAGCACCATTTATTGAATCATTTCTCCATTGTTTATTTTTGTCAGCCTTGTCAAAGATCAGATGGTCGTAGGTGTATGACTTTATTTCTGAGTTTTCTGTTCTGTTTCATTGGTCTATGTGTCTATTTTTATACCAGTACCATGCTGTTTTGGTTACTGTAGATTTATAGTATAGTTTGAAGCTGGGTAGTGTGATGGCTCCAGCTTTGTTCTTTTTGCTTAGAATTGCTTCAGCTATTCAGGCTGTTTTTGGTTTCGTATAAATTTTGGATTTGAAAGTTTTTGGTCATTATTACTTCTCAAATATTTCCTCTGCTCCCTTCTCTTTCTAGAATTTAAATTATACGCAGACCATTTTTTATATTGTCCCTGAGTTTTTGAATATTCTGTTTGCTTGTTGGGTATTTTAAATTCTTTTTTCTCTTTACCTTTCAGTTTGGAAGTTCTGTTGACCTACCTTCATGCTCACTGAAAAGTTCCTCTGTTGTGTCAAGTCTACTGATGAGCCCATCATTTTTATTACAATGTTTTTAATTTCTAGCATTTCCTTTGATTTCTTTTTCTTAAAGTTTCCAATTATAGGATTAAAAGAAAATTCCCTATCTGATAATCCCAAAGTGTGTGCATATCTGAGCCTGGTTCTAATGATCACTTTGTTTCTTCATACTGTGTTTTTAAAATATTTTCCTTGGAGCCCTATCGCATGTTGATTATTTTCCCCTTAGGGGACTGGAGTGGGGGAGAATTCTTTTTCCCACAGTTGGAGAAAGTTTCCAGAACTGTGAGTAGGCAAAGCCCTTTCCCCTGGGGAATGGGCCTTGGTTATTGAGAGGATGCTCTGTATATTTGACCATAGCTAATCCTTCCCTCCCACTGCCAGGGCCCTGAGGGTATCTGAGTGAAATTTTCACCATGAGAAACCTGGTGGGGTTTCTAAAGGGAAAGCTCATAACAGTGTGGAGGCCCCAGGAGTTTCTCACTCTCACAGTAGCCCTCCAGCAGTTTCTTGAATTTACCATGTAAACATTCCTACAGGGTTATGACTGCAGGCTTCTGTTCCAGATAAACAGGTCCCAGTTACTGTACCTCCCCAGATGTACTCAATGTTCCAGTTTCAGGTTTGCCCAGGTTTGGCAGTTTACCCTGTGATCTCAGTTCTTTGATGTTGTCAAGAAAAGTCATTGATTTTCCATTTGTTCAGCTTTTTCTTATTTTAAGGATGACAGTGACCATTTCTAGGCTTTTCATCCTGGAAGTCTCTTCATACTATTCTTACACCTCAATGAATATGAGTCATGAATCCATTTTTGTGTATTTGAGATACAACATCACATAATATGACCACAGAAAGGGAAATGTGGTGAATATCAATAATCCCAAATACCATGAAGTTATAGTGGCAAGATAACTTCACTCCCTGAATGATGTGTTAGTTGAGACAGACGGATGAGTGCACTCCTTGTGGGGCCCATGCAGCCTTCAAGGTTGTAATGTTTAAAAAGTCACAGTGCTTCTAAGAAAAAATAAAAAATCACACATTTCCCTTTTGTGAAATACATGTTTCTCACAAATAAAAAAGTTTTTTCTTATTAATATTTCCTGGGAAACTGCCAAAATGTCTATGGACTACTTGATAAAATCCCGGAAATTACACCATGAGATTCTCCTCGCTAGGTATATTTTAAATTTTCTTTTATTCTCCTCACTAGGTATTTTTTAAATTTTCTTTTAAAGTGTGATATCTTGTAAAAGAAGACAGCATTAAGGGGTGAGTCCAAAGAAGCAAGGTGATGGAGAGGCAGGTGTTTACTTGTTTATGAATTCATTCATTTACTACATTTTTATTAAATATAACATATTCCAAGTGCCCCATAGTCCAGATATATAGTCCCTTTTGAAGAGTGTTTTAGTCTGTTTGGGTTATTGTAATGAAAATACCATAAACTGAGTAGCTTACAAACAACAAAAATGTATCACTCACAGTTCTGGAGGCTGGGGAGTCCAAGATCAAGGTGCCAGCAGATTGAGTGTTGGGTACAGGTTCACTCTCTGGTTCAGAAATGGTACCTTTTCGCTGCATCCGCATGTGGTGGAAGGGGCTAACTGGGTGTCTGAGGTCTCTTTCATCAGGGTACCTCCAATTCCATTCATGAGGGATTAGCCCTTATGACCTAATCACCTCCCAAAGGTCCCATCTTATCGTTATCATATTGGGGATTAGGTTTTAATGTATGAATCTGGGGAGATCACAAACCTTCAGACCACTGCATATTATTGTGATTGCGAAGCTCTCCATATGTGTAAAGCTTGCTATAGAGAAAATTAATTTACTCTTCAAGGGTCAAATGAACATTCTCTTTGCCTTCAAACAAGATCACCTCTCTGGTAAAGCATCATGGGCCTATAATAATTGCACCAATTATGGCAAATTAACTCATCATTGGTGACCCAGAGGGTAGTCATCACCAGCATCTCTCCTTACTTCCACTTGCAGGAATCACATAAGAAAGAATAAGCATTTGGTCACCATCTCCATTCCCTATCTGACTTCATAGGAAGAAGGGTTATCTATTTGGCTAAAACTGGGCTCAGATGTCTTGTGAGAGAAGTGGAGACACAGAATCCTTAGTCATTTGTTAGTGTTTTCTTGGCTAGCCCCTGCTCAATATGAATGTGGTACATTCAAAGCCACCCACTTGAGAAGCTCCATGTTGGTCATGTCCATCCTTACTGCACATCCAAACCTTCTTCTTCTATAGCCTTGCTCTAATGTTGCTAGTTTACGTCTAATTTTTTCTCTGGCTCTCAACTTTCTTGGGAAAAGGGATACGACTGCTTCTAACAACTGAAATCCTTTTCAGATCAGGTGGGAGTGTATTTTTAGGCTTGTCTGTTAGTATAACAGAAGTCATCTTGTACTGATTTCATTTACTGAGAAGTTTGATTATATTCGTCTCAACATGTATATACCCCAGAAATTACAGTTGACATTGTCTTCTTAGGTGCGTGGTCTGTTGTCATTCTCAAGGTGTGCCCTGCACATAGTCAATAGGTAAAGCAAATAGGTCTTGTCCTTCTGTTCTGTTTATAATGTTGTGGCCCAGAGGATATATCAGGCTGAGGGAAGCAGATCCTTTTTATAATTTATCTTCCCAAAAAACAATTGATATAGCTGAGTAGATGTGACTCTTACTAGAACAGTGACATCAAAGGAACACGATGAGTGAGTGAACCTCATCCACTGAGTTTAAGAGAAATGGGTTCTGAAGAGAACAGATAGTGATTTCGAATATTAGAAACTGGGATGTGTGTCTTTCTCTGTCATTTTTATCTATACAAATAGAGAAGTTGACACATGTCTGCCCACCAATGAAAGCATAAAGTTAAGAGTACTTCTGTGCGCATTGATCTTGTTATAATCTAGAAGTGGTCTCAATGGACAATTTGGTAATCTCATCATTGACAGACCTAAAAATAAAAGCTTGACATCCATTTCTGTCATCATCTTTGACAGATGCACTTTCACTTATTTAGATTGCCTCCAACATCTATATTTAAAATTTAAATAATGATTTATTTAATCATTAGTTAAATGATGTGTATCTTGTAAGAGAAGACAACAGTATGGATTATTTGCATTTATCCTAGAGGGCTCACCATAAAGCTGCTTTGCTAAGTATTGAACTGCTTTTGGAAGCAGTATATTTTAATAGTGAAAAAATGCAGACTTTCATAAATACTAATTATAAATCTATAGTAATTAAGAAAGACTGCTATTTTCATAGAATATATTAAAATATATTGATATTTTAATTGAATACCCAAATAGAACAATGGAACAGAATAGAAAACCCAGAAACAAATCCATGTATACAGAATTACAGCTAGATAAGAGGAATTAGTTCTAGTGTTCTATAGAACTGTAGGGTGACTATAGTTAACAAATAACATATAATACAGTTTCACATTGCTAGAAGGAGGATATTGAATGTTCCCAACACAAAGAGATGATAAATACTCAAGATGACCTTGATCTGATCTCTGTACATTATATGTAGCAAAACATCACTGTGTACTCTGTAATTATGTACAATTATTATATGACAATTAAAAAAGAAAAAAACCCAAAAAATCCCCATGTAAAAAATGTGTGTATATGTGTATTTATATGCATAGTCATGGATTTCATACAGTCACAGATTTTGAATTAATGAAGGATAAACTATTCAATGAATGGGGCTGGATCAATTGATTATTCCTAGTTAAAAAATAAAATTGGAACCTGTGTTAGACCATTCTTATAATGCTTTAAAGAAATACCTGAGACCGGGTAATTTATAAAGAAAACAGCTTTAAATGACTCATGGTTCTGCAGGCTATGAAAGCACGGCACTGGCATCTGCTTGGCTTCTGGGGAGGCCTCAGGGAGTTTTACTCACGGCAGAAGGCAAAGCAGGTGAAGGCACATCATGTGGTGAAAGCAGGAGCAAGAAACAGGGTGTGGGAGGAGGTGTTACACTTTACATTAGAGAGAACACTCTACACAACTCATTCACTATCACAAGGACAGCACCAAGCCATTAGGGATCCACCCCCATGACCCAAAAACCTCCTACCAGGCCTCAGCTCCAACACTGGGGATTATATTTAAACATGAGATTTGGGTGGGACATCCATACTGCATCATAACCTACCTGACATCATATACATAGATCAGCAGGAATTTCAAAGTGTGATGATACCAAGTATTGGTGAGGAGATGGAACAAAAAATAGGACCTCTAAAACACTGTTGGTGGCATGATTTTTTTAATTGCTATGGAAAATAATTTGACATTTTCTAGCAAATTTTCAGATGGGCATGCTCTACAATCAGAAATTCCGTTCCCAAGCATCTACCCTGGAGCACTAGTTCACAACCCTATCAAGCCCAATGTCCTCTTTTGGTAATAAACAGTTGGTAACACTCTCTTTACCTTCTTTAAATGAAATTCACAAATAACACAACTTACCCACACACATGATTTCAAAAAGTCAACATAAACTGGAGAATCAAGGATCTGTTACAAAGCAAACTAAATTGTGAACAAAGATTGAGTACTTCATACAATATAAGAAAACTACACTTTCCCTTGGTAATAAAAACATTCTCTTTTGAGGGGCATTAAGCCCATGAAAAAGGAAAGGTAATTCTACAAGATGACTTAATTTTTCAATTAAAGATATTTCTAAGTCATAAAAAAGTTAATATGGTACCTAACTGTATTTTTAAAAGGAAATGGATTATACTAAAATATTATATTTCTTTTTATTTTTTAAAATATCTGATTTTATTGTGATAAAATATACCTGGTAATACCACTGGTAATATAACATGTACCTTTTTTTTTTTTTTTCTTTTTGAGATGGAGTCTTGCTCTGTCGCCCAGGCTGGAGTGCAGTGGTGTGATCTTGGCTCACTGCAAGCTCTGCCTCCCGGGTTCATGCCATTCTCCTGCCTCAGCCTCCCAAGTAGCTGGGACTACAGGAGCCCACCACCACGCCAGGCTAATTTTTTTGTATTTTTAGTAGAGACGGGGTTTCACTATGTTAGCCAGGATGGTCTGGATCTCCTGACCTCGTGATCCGACCCCCTTGGCTTCCCAAAGTGCTGGGATTACAGGCGTGAGCCACCGCGCCTGGCCCAACATGTACCGTTTTAACCATTTTTAAGCATACACTTCAGCAGCATTAAGTACATTCACGTTGTTGTGTAGCCATTACCACCCATCCATCTCCAGAACTTTTTCATCTTCCCCAACTAAAATTCTGTACACATTAAACAATAACTCCCCATGCTCCTTCTCTCCAGCCCCTGGCAACTGCTGTTGTATTTTCGGTCCCTATGAATTTGACCACTCTAGGTACTTCACATAAATGGAATTATGCAATATCTATCCTCTCTAGACTTGTTTATTTTACTTATCATAATGTCTTCAAGGTTCTTTCATGCTGTAGAATGTGTCAGAGTTTCCTTCCTGATATGAAACCTACTTGATCATGGTGGATTATCTTTTTGATATGTTGTTGAATTCGATTAGCTAGTACTTTGTTAAGGATTTTAGCATCTACGCTAATCAGGGATATCAGTCTATAGTTTTCTTTTTGGGTTATGTTTCCTCTTTCTCTATCTTGTGGAATAGTGTCAATAGGATTGGTACCTAGCTGTATTTTTAAGGAAATAGATTATAATAAAATATTATATTTCTTTTTATTTTTAAAAATGTATTATTTTATTCAATTCTTTGAATGTCTGGTAGAATTCTGCTGGTAAATCTGTCTGGTCCTGGACTTTTTTGTTGGTAATTTTAAAATTACCTTTTCAATCTCTGTGCTCGTTATTGGTCTGTTCAGGGTATCTAATTCTTCCTGATTTAAGCTAGGAGGGTTGTGTTTTTCCAGGAATTTATCCATCTCTTCTAGGTTTTCAAGTTTATGTGCATAAAGATGTTCATAGTAGCCTTGAATGATCTTTTGTATTTCAGTGGTGTCAGTTGTAATATCTCCCGTTTTGTTTCTTATTGAGGTTTTTTGGATTTTCTCTCTTCTTTTCTTGGTTAATCTTGCTAATGGTCTATCAATTTTATTTATCTTTTCAAAGAACCAGGTTTTGTTTCATTTACCTTTGTATTTTTGTTGTTGTTGTTTCATTTTCATTTAGTTCTGCTCTGATCTTGGCTATTTCCTTTCTTCTGCTTGGGTTTTGTTTAGTTCATTCTTGTTTCTCTGGTTCCTTGAGGTGTGACCATAGATTGACAGTTTGTGCTTTTTTGGTCTTTTTGATGTAGGTGTTTAGGGCTATGAACTTTCCTCCTAGCACCGCCTTTGCCCTATCCCGGGGGTTTTAATAGGTGTCACTACTGTTGTTCAGTTCAAAGAATTCTTTAATTTCCATCTTGATTTCATTTTTGGCCCAATGATCATTCAGGAACAGGTTATTTAATTTCCATGTATTTTGCGTGGTTTTGAAGGTTCCTTTTGGAGTTGATTTCCAGTTTTATTCCACTATGGTCTGAGAGGATGCTTGATATAATTTCAATTTTCTTAAATTTATTCAGCCTTGTTTTGTGGCCTATCATATGGTCTATCTTGGAGAAAGTTTCATGCGTGGTTGAATAGAATGTATATTCTGCGGTTGTTGAATGGAATGTTCTGTTGTATCTGTTAGGTCCATTTGTCCCAACATATAATTTAAATCCATTGTTTCTTTGTTGATTTTCTGTCTTGATGACCTGTCTAGTGCTGTCAGTGGAGTATTGAAGTCCCCCACTATTATTGTGTTGCTGTCTATCTCATTTCTTAGGTCTATTAGAAATTGTTTTATAAATTTGGGAGCTCCAGTGTCAGGTGCATATATGTTTAGGATTGTGATATTTTCCTGTTGGACAAGGCCTTTTACCACTATATAATGTCCCTCTTTTTCTTTTTTAACTGCTGTTACTTTAAAGTTTGATTTTTCTGATATAAGAATAACTACCCCTGCTCACTTTCGGTGTCCATTTGCATGAAATGCCTTTTTCCATCCCTTTACTTTAAGTTTATGTGAATCCTTATGTGTTAGGTGAGTCTCTTGAAGGCAGCAGATATTTGGTTGGTGAATTCTTATCCATTCTGCATTTCTGTGTCTTTTAAGTGGAGTGTTTAGGCCATTTACATTCAATGTTAGTATTAAGATGTGAGATATCATTCCATTCTTCAGGCTATTTGTTGTCTGTATAACTTAGTTTTTTGTTTTTGCTTTTTAAATTGTATTTTTGTTTTATAAGTTCTGTGAAATTTATGCCTTAAAGAGGTTCTGTTTTGATGTGTTTCCAGGATTTGTTTCAAGATTTAGAGCTCCTTTTAGCAGTTCTTGTAGTGGTGGCTTGGTAGTGGCAAATTATCTCAGCATTTGTTTGTCTGAAAAAGACTGTACCTTTCCTTTGTATATGATGTTTAGTTTTGCTAAATACAAAATTCTTAGCTGATAATTGTTTTATTTGAGGAGGCTGAAGATAGGGCCTTGATCCCTTTTGCCTTGTAGGGTTTCTGCTGTTAATCTGATAGGATTTTCTTTATAGGTTATCTCATGCTTTTGTCTCACAGCTCTTAAGATTATTTCCTTTGTATTAACTTTAGATAACCTGATAACAATGTGCCTAGGTGATGATCTTTTTGCAATGAATTTCCTAGGTGTTCTTTGTGCTTCTAGTATTTGGATTTCTAGGTCATTAGCAAGGCCAGGGAAGTTTTCCTCAATTATTCCCCCAAATATGTTTTCCAAACTTTTGGATTTCTCTTCTTCTTCATGAACATAAATTATTCTTAGGTTTGGTTGTTTAACACAATCCCAGACTTCTTGGAGTCTTTGTTCATATTTTCTTATCCTTTTTTCTTTGTTTTTGTTGGATTAGGTTAATTCAAAGACCTTGTCTTTGAGTTCTGAATTTCTTTCTTCTACTTGTTCAATTCTATTGCTGAGACTTTCCATAGCATTTTGCATTTCTGTAAGTGTGTCCAATGTTTCCTGAAGTTTTGATTGTTTTTTCTTTATGCTTTCTATTTCCTTGAATATTTCTCCGCTCACTTCTTGTATTGTTTATTGAATTTCCTTGCACTGGGCTTTGTCTTTCTCTGGTGCCTCCCTGATTAGCTTAATAACTAGCCTCCTGAATTCTTTTTCAGGTAAATCAGGGATTTCTTCTTGGTTTGGATCCATTGCTGGTGAGCTAGTGTGATTTTTTGGAGGGGGGGCCTTGTTCTCTCGTATTACTAGAGTTGGTTTTCTGGTTCCTTCTCATTTGGGTAGGCTCTGTCAGGGGGAAGGTCTAGGGCTAAAGGCTGTTGTTCAGATTCTTTTGTTCCATGGGGTATTCCCTTGATATAGAACTCTCCCCCTTTTCCTATGTGTGTGGCTTCTTGAGAGCTGAGCTGTAGAGGTTGTTATCTCTCTTCTGGTGTAGCCACCCAGCAAGTCTACCAGGCTCTGGGCTGGTACTGGCGGTTATTTGCACAGTCCTGTGATGTGAACAGTCTATGAGTCTCTCACTTGTGGATACCAGCACCTCTTCCAGTGGAGGTGGCAGGGGGTGACATGGATTCTGTGACAGTTCTTAGCTCTGGTGGTTTAATGCTCTATTTTTATGTTGGTTGGCCTCCTGCCAGGAGGTGGCACTTTCCAGAGAGCATCAGCTATGGTAGTATGGAGAGGAACAGGCAGTGGGTGGGTCCTAGAACTTCCAAGAGTATATGCCCTTTGTCTTCAGCTACCTGAGTGGGTAGGGAAGGACCATCAGGTGGGGGCAGGACTGGGCATGTCTGAGCTCAGACTTTCCTTGGGTGGGTCTTGCTGTGGAGTATTTGGGGTATCTCCTGGGTCCTGCAGAAGCAGTTCCCATCCTTCAGAGGGTCTGTCCTTTCAGAAGGTCCTCTCGGGATTCCTGATTTTTCCTGCAGTCGTTCTGGAGCTAAAATTCATGATACGAGCCTCCACATGCTGCTCTGTCCATCCAAGTCAGAGCAGCAATCTAGTCCTGCCTCTCATCTGCCATGATGATCCTGAATCTATGTTTGATTTTTTGAGGAACCACCATACTGTTTTCCACGGCAGTTGCACCATTTTACTTACCCAATTGCAATTACAATTCCCAGAGCAAAAGTGTTTTAATTTCTTCATATCCTCACCACTTTACTTCCTGCTTTTTGGGTAGTAGCCACCTTAATGGGTTGAAGTGGTATCTCATTTGAGTTTTGATTTGCATTTCCCTAATGATTAGTGATGTTGCACATCTTTTCATGCACTTACTGGACTTTTATATATCTTCTTTGGAGAAATGTCTCTTCAAATCGTTTGCTCATTTTTAAAGAATGTTGCTTGGGTTTTTCTGTTTTTACAGAGTTGTAAGAGTTCTTTATATATTCTGGGTATCAATCCTTTGTGAGTTATATGATTTGCAAACATTTTCTTCTAGTCAATGGGAAATGCTTAGGTAACTTAACTAGAACACACCCACCTTTGTGTAGTATGACCTTAATGCATCCATTGCTAAGGCAAACTTCAACAAGCGTGTTGAATGAGTAATTCAAGTACACCAGTAGAACTGCTGTTGATGATGTGATTTTCCAGAATAGTGAATACTTGGTAAAGTTCTGAAAGTGCATTTTTTAAAAATTACATGTCAGCTACATTCTTGGAAAGCTCATGTGGACTAAACCTATGTAGAGTATTTTGTGGTTTTATGTAAAATAAATTTATTTTATAGATTCAAATAATTACAAATTTTACACCTGAATATCTGGCAAAATACTTCAAAGTCACAAGATGTCAGGACACATTCCTGTTTATAAGAATGTATCATACACTGCAGTACATCTAGCTTCTCTTGACCTCAGCCGCTAAATGCCAGTAGTGCCTCCCAATTATTGTGACAAACAAGTTTCAACCCAGCTGGGCCCGGTGGCTCACACCTATAATCCCAGCACTTTGGGAGGCTGATGCAGGTGGATCGCTTGAGGTCAGGAGTTCGAGACCAGCGTGGCCAACATGGTGAAACCCTGTCTCTACTAAAAATATAAAAATTAGCTGGACACGGTGGTGCACATCTGTAGTCCCAACTACTCAGGAGGCTGAGGTAGAAGAATCGCTTGAACCCGGGAGGCAAAGGCTACAGTGAGCCGAGATCATGCCACTGCACTCCAGCCTGGGTGACAGAGGGATACTCTATCTCAAAAAAAAAAAAAAAAAATTTCACCCACAATTCTAAAATATCCCACTAACCTGGAGAAACTCTTAAACATATCCACCAGGAGATATGGACAAGAATGTTCAGAATGGGATTTTCATTAACAGCAAAATATTAAAAATGACTCAAGTAACCATCAAGAGAAGAATAATTGCAAGTCTTACAATGGAATGCTATCCAGCAGTGACAATGAATGGATATGAACTACATCTATGAAGATGGATAAAACTAAAGTATAGGTTGGGCACAGTGGATCGCATCTGTGATCCCAGCACTTTGGGAGGCGGAGACTGGTGGACCGCTTGAGCCCAGGGGTTTGAGACCAGCCAAGAAAACATGGCAAAACCCTATCTCTACAAAAAATTACAAAAATTAGCCAGGCATGGTGGCATGCACCTGTAGTCCCACCTACTGGGAAGGTTGAGGTGGGAGGATGACTTTAGCCCAGGAGATTGAGACTGCAGTGAGCTGAGACTGTACCACTGCACTCCAGCCTGGGTGACAGAACAAGACCATCTCAAAAATAAAATAAAATAAAATAAGTATATACAGTTAAACAAAAAATAAGTTAAAGAAAGATCCATACAATTTGGTATAAATTAGTGCTTTGAAATACACGAAACAATACTGTTTGGGGCTACACATAATGATATGTAATTATAAAGACATTCATGAGAGTGGTATCAATTTCAAGAATAGGGGCTATCTCTAGGAGGAGAGAATCAAGAAGATAATGAGATCAGGGAAGAATCTACGAGGGTGTCAACTTTATTCTTAATGCTTTATACCATAAGCTGGGCAACGGGAGCATGAGTGTTCAATGCATAATACCTTAAATTTTGTATGTTTAAATATTTTTAAGCAAACAAAGATTTGCAGATTTCTGATTCCAGAGAGACCTGATTTTGAATCCTGGCTCTAAGACTTACAAGCTTGTAAGTTGAACAAATCACTGAACTCCTCAAAATGTTAGCTTTTCTGTAAAATGGGGATGAAAATAGAAGCCACAATAAAGGGATGCTATGGGATGTTCAAATGACAGAATATATCTAAAGGTCTCAGCACAGCACCTTCTTCTAGAATAAGAACACCTTGCACCAAGGAGGAATAACCCCTATTCAAACACACCTTATATAGTCTTCACGATTTTCAATTAACAATAATATCCTACCTTCTGTCTGATCGGTTGTCAAAATATGTGTATCAGCCCTTAATGGAAACACTGAATAGATGTATTCTAGTTACGTGTCAGATAAGTCTCTGTTGTCCAAATCCTATCAAAACCCCATTTATGAGAATAGATATTTATGGAGGATTGTCTGAAGGACATGCTATTTATCTATTTTCTAGAAATGATAAATTTTGCCCTAGGATCAGAGCACACCATCTGAGAGCTGTGTATCTGGATGGCATCACTCTGACTGTTGTCAGATTTACTTGACATAATGGAGCTTTGCTGTTCCAATATTGACTTGCATTGAGGGATGCTGCACGAAGCAACCAAGCAAACTTTGCTCTTCTTGTATTTATTGCTGGGATGGAAGCCAGGAAGATATTCTCTGAATCAAAAAGTGGTTTCTTTATGAAGACCCAAGGGAGAAATCTTTTCTCAGCTCAGCAAGATGAAAACCTTAAACAAGTGGGTTGTCTTTTTCTTCTGGACAATATGGGTTTTTTAACCAAACACATTTCCCTACTTACTTTAGCCTCCAGAAAATATACAGCCCAATCTCTAGTATCTCTATAAAATAATCTGGTATACATTCCTGGGGGGTAAGTAAATTTACCCCTGGATTGTTTTGGGTTTTTTTTCTCATATTATCTCTTTGTCCAAATATTTTTAATGATTTATTTTATGAGTACTTTTGGAAGCTGGTTCAAATCCTTTATAAAACAAGATAGAAGAAAGGGGGGCGGGAATGAGGATAGAGTAAAGAAAAGTGTAGTATAAATAAGTGACAGATAAAGAAGTAAAACAACGTCTTTTTTACCTTTGTATTCTCCAGAACACTTTGCACTGACTTTTACGAGTAGTATATGGTTAGTAAATGTTCATTATAGTAAAAAATGATTTTAAAAATCTCTCACTCTCCAGAATATCCTTTTTCGTGCTTGTGCATGGCTATAAGGTTGGACTGCAAGTGAAAAAGGCCTAATGGACTCCTGAGAAGCAAAACAAGAATATTTAAATACTTTGTTAGTGATATTCAACATTTCTAAAGGGATGTCCTAACTACTCTCCAAGGCTCACTCAAATGCCATCTACTTTTATAAAAACACCCCCAGTTGTAAACAAAGACCTCTCCCTCCTCCAAACTCCTTCAGAACTTACTGCCTCTAAGCAGTCATTTAGAATTTGTTTTATGGTAACTTACCTTGAGATGTACATATAAAGATAGATAGATGATAGATAGATAGATAGATAGATAGATAGATAGATAGATAGATAGATAGATATTTGGAATGGAAAAAGACCATGCTTATGGATATTTATTTGTGTTTATTGAACTTATTGAAATTATGACCAAGCATATTAATGGTCATAATTTCAATAAGTTCAATAAATATTTTTAAATTAGTAAATGAATATCTATTTCATTGATTGATCTCTTAACTAACCTTGAATTAAAACCTGTTCACATGCAACAATGTGGATGACTCTCAAATGCATTATGCTAAATGAAAGAAGACTGTCTCAAAAGGCTACAGACATTAATTAAATTTATATAACATTCTTGCAAAAGCAAAACTATAAAGATAGAAAGCAAATTAGTGTCACCAAGGGCTTGAGGTGAAGGGAGGAGCTGACTACAAAAGGGTAAGGGGGAATTTGGGAGGATAACAAAACTCTTCTGTAATCTTGACTGCATGATGGTGGTTACACAACTGTGTGTGTTGTCAAAACTCTCAGAATGCTATCCTAAAAAGTGTAGATTTCACTGTTTGTAAATTATGTATACATTAAAAAGAACAATGGAAAACCCATCATTCAGCATATACTGAAAATACAGAGTAGAGTTTCCAATTTTGTTACTCTAGTGAGTTAACCCATCTCTGAGGCCTAGGGCAATAGGATAAGGTCTGTGTGTGTGCTGCCTCTCCTCCCTATTCCCAAAATAGATACTGCTAATCAACCATGCCATTTTTTTTTCATTGTGCGGCAAGACAGAACTTTAAACAAAATCTTCAATGTAACACTCTAGGCAGCTACCAATAACATTCTGGAATTGGCATGAGATAAAGCCTATTTTCTGACTGGGACCCAGGTCATCCCATACAGGCACTACCATTTGCTTATTTATACCTACTCAAATTGTAGGAATAATGCTTACAAAGAGTTCATTTAATTTCACATAACTTTGTCCCCTTTATCTCAATGTAGCATATTTTTTTCAAAAAGAAATAAAGAAAACATAAATGTCAGCACAGGATCTCATTCTGGAAGCTACATCCATACAACAATTTTCAGAAGTGAGTCTCTAGCCATACAAGTAAATCAGATGATCCCAGAATGAGACTACAGCACAAGGCAGGAGATTTGGAGCCAGAGCACATGGATGCAAGTTCTAGCTGGGACCCTTTAATCAGTGTGTAAGGAGAGAACATGAGGATAGACGTAAAAGATTAAAGATGGAAATTTTAACAGATCTCATTTTGAGTCAGACACTATGCTGGGCATAGAATGATGAGCAAAAGAGGTGAATTTCCTACCCCATAGATCTTATAATCCAGTGGAAGTAATAGACATAAAAGAACTAATCTCACAAATAAGTAGATATAAACCATTGTAAGTGTGATGAAGGAAAGGCACAGGAAAAGAGTAACACAGAGGAATTGACTGAGATACAGAGAGGGGATCCTGGCAAAACCCCTTTTGGAGAAGTGGCTTTTATTATGAAGGCCAGAGGAAGAAAAGTTGTTGCCCAAATGATACGAACAAACATATCACTGGCAGAACCCTATGCTTAGATCTTGAAAAGGGACAAAATATAAAGCCTTCACCAACCGAAAGGCCACTAGTGTTGCAGGAAAACATTGTCCTGGGAGCAGTGTGACTCCAGCTCAGGCAGGGGAGGTGGGCAGGGTCAGGTCACGCAGGCCCCAATAGCCAACTCTGAAGATTTTAAATATACCCCAAGAGCACTGGAAAGCCATGAAGTCAGGTCATACCATCATTCATCTGGACCAACAGCCATGAAAAAAACTTCAAGAAAAACCTCAAGAAAAAAAAATGTATAAGCTCTAAGATACTCTCAAAAATGAAATAAAATCCAAAACTTAGCAGCTTGCACAGCGTTTTATGCTTATCATGAGTATCACTTGCCACACTGTATCAAGATCTGTCTTTTCTACTAGATCAAGGGCTTCTGAAGATCAGCATCCACATGTTATGAATTATTTTATGTCCAGGATTTGATGCATAGTAGGTGCTCAATAAATATTTGTTGAATTGAAATAAATCAAACAAAATTTCTAAGCATGAAAATATATAGCATTCCAAAGCCCATTTCATACATGAGTTCCATGTCATGTCCAAAAGTGGTTTCTGCTCTGAGGCTGGAAGCCATGTGTACTGAGAGACGCAAAATTACAGATGCATCTGCCTAAGAATAAAATAACCTTTATAGGCCTGCCATGAATATATGCTAATCGAAATTACTCTGAGAATTTTCTGTCATGGTTCCAGCAATGTGAAGCAAAACAAAAGACAATGTAGAGATAAAAATTACAGGTTACAAAGGATTATTTTTGGAATTTGTTCAAAAACAAAGACAAATGCAGCAAGAGCACGAGAACAGCCAACTAGTGACAGAATTTCCCCTCAATGGATCAAGAAAGAGTCAGAAAAAGTAACGACAGTCCAAGAACAGAGACTAAATTGAGCCAAACTTCTAAAAAAAGGAAAGGTGTGTGGAGCAGGTGACTGAGCCTCACAAAGAATTTGGAAATTTCTCAAACTAGAGAGCACTGACAAAGAGCAAGATAGGACAAAACTAGCAGAAGAGAGAAGTTATTGACAAGCCAATTATTATAGATTGAACTGTGTCTTCCCTACCAAAATTCATATTTTGAAGTTCAAACCTCCCCCATCTGTTAATGTGATCTTATTTGGAGACAGGGTCTTTACAGAGGTACTAAATTTTAAAGTGAGGTCATTAGAGTGGACCCCAATCCAATATGACTCATGTTCTTTTCAAAAGATACAAGTTTTACCCAATGATATGCAGAGAGGAAAGACACTAGGTGAAAAGACATAGAAGACGAGGAGAGAGGCATAGAAGAGGTTTCTCCTTCACAGCCCTCAGAAGGACCAACTCTGCTGACACCTTGGTCTTGGACTTCCAGCTTCCAGAACTATGGGAAAATACATTTCTGTCATTGAAGCCATTGAGTTTGTGTTACTTTGTTACAGCAGCCCTAGCAAACTAATACAGTAATCAATCTGAAAAATCCTCATTTATTGGAGGATTAAAAAATTAAAGGGGGAAGGCTGGGAACGGTGGCTCATGCCTGTAATCCCAGCAATTTGGGAGGCTGAGGCAAGTGGATCACTTCAGGCCAGGAGTTCGAGACTAGCTGACCAACATGGTGAAACCCCATCTCTACTAAAAATACAAAAATTAGCCAGGTGTGGTGGCATGCGCCTGTAATCCCAGCTGCTCGGGGGGCTGAAGCAGGAGAATCGCTTGAACCTGGGAGGCGGAGACGACAATGAGCCCAGATCGTGCCACTGCACTCCACCCAGGGTGACAAGAGTGAAACTCTGTCTCAAAAAAAGTAAATAAATAAAATAAAAAATAACAAAAAATTAAAGGGGGAAAAATATAAACAAGTTAGTAAATCAAGGGGATAAAAGAGGTTTCCATGGGCTCATATTTGTATGAAATAGGTGACTTTTGCAGAAACCCATTCACCAGGAACTACTGTACAAGACTGGAATGATAATATCAAACCTGGAATGATAATATCAACTAATAATAATGAATAATAATAATAGGTCTTAACATGTGCCCACCACAGGATCATGTGTTTTACATAAATAATTTTACTTCATCCTTATAAAAATAAGTTTAATTATTTTACCAATGAGAATTCTGAGTCTCAGAGAAGTTTAGTTACTTGCCCAAGGTCAGACAGCTAAAGGGGTAGAGGAAGGATTCAAACCATGGCACCTTCCCTCCCTCCTCTCTCCTGCCTTCAGTCCCAGAGAGTCTGGGGGATACCAGGAAATTTTGATATCACAGAGTGAACAGGTACTCTCTCTCAAGCATCAGATTAATGAAAACTGGAAAGGGTGAATACTAGAATCTCTTTCTTGGATTCACAGACATTAAATTATATGTATAAGAGTTAGTCTTTCTCTTTTTCTCCTCCTCTTTTGTCCTCTTCTCTATTTCTCTCTCTATGTCTTTTAACTGCCGAAAGTGGAGCCAAAAATAACCCACAGGTTTCTAGATTTCTCTGGGTAGCAAACTGAACTGTGTGAAAAAGTTTCTTCTTTATATGTGAAGGTTTGCAGAAAGGAGCACAGAGAAAATGGTCCTCAAAAGGACAGAGTTGAGAAGGAAACATACATGCAATTTAAATGTTAAAATAGGCCAGGCTCAGTGACTCACGCCTGTAATCCCAGCACTTTGGGAGGCCGAGGTGGGCGGCTCACCTGAGGTCGGGAGTTTGAGATGGAGAAACCCGGCTTTATTAAAAATACAAAAAAAATCAGCTGGGCATGGTGGGGCATGCCTGTAATCCCAGCTACTCAGGAGGCTGAGGCAGAAGAATCGCTTGAACCTGGAAGGTGGAGGTTGCAGTGAGCTGAGATCGCGCCAATGAACTCCAGCCTAGGCAGCAGAGAGAGACTCCGACTAAAAAAAAAAAAAAAAAGAAAGAACAGAGCAGAAAAAATATTTGAAGTAATAATGCCTGACAATTTTTCAAACTTAACGACTTGCACCAAACAAAACATCCAGGAAGCTCAGAGGACACCAAGCAAGATAAGTAAAAAATCTACACTTAGGCATATTATGGTCAAACTTCAGAAAACCAAAGTCAAAGAGAAAATTTAGAAAGCATCTAGATCTACATTGAAAAAGAAAGCATTGGAGAAGAAATAAGTGAAGGTAAAATAAAATGTTACGTTTTTCTTATTTTTAATTAATCTAAAAGATTTTTAAAGTAATGATATTAAATGTATTGGGTAACTATAAATATGCAGAAGTGAACTGAATGGCAGCAATACCATAGGGAAGGACAGAAGGAATTGGGAATACTCTGCTATAAGGTAGCCAAACCACATGTTGAGTGGCATAGTGTTATTTGAAGGTGAATTTAGTTCAGTAGATATTAATTCTGCTATATCAATACGCATTTTAAATGTGAATGTTCTAAATACATCAGTTGAAAGACAAATATGATTAGAGTGGATGAAAACATAAGAAAAACACTTTAAATATAAAGATACAGATAGGTTAAAAGTAAATGAATGGAGAAAGATATACCATGCTAATACTAATCCAAAGAAAGCTGGCACATTTATGTTAATTTCAGACAAACAAGACTTCAGCTCAAAGAAGATTATGGGTGATAAAAAGGAGCATTACTTAATTATAAAGGGACCAATTTGTTACAAAGATGTAATAATCCTAAATGTATATTGACCTAAAAATGGAGTATCAAAATTTTTGTCTCAAAATTTTTGAGGCCAAAACTGATAGAGCTAAAAGAACAAATACACAAATCTAATATTGTAGTTGAAGATCTCAACACCTCTCTTTCATTTACATTGTATCAGTTTTGGCCTCAAAAATCCACTCTAATCCTATATGTCTTTTAATTGATGTATTTAAAACATTGACATTTAAAATGTTTATTGAAATGAAAGATCTAGCAGATAGAAATCAGAAAGAATATAGGTAACTTGAATAACACTATTAATTCACTTGATCTAATTGATACTTACAGAATACTTCATCCAACAACAGCACAGTACATATTCTTCTCAAGTCCTGATGTAATATTCACCAAGATAGTTCACATTCTGGGCCATTAAACATACCTTCATGATTTTAAAAGAACACAAATCATACAAAGTATGTTCTCAGAGGACAATAGAATTAAACAAGATATCAATAACCAACTTTAAATAATAAATCAATCATTAATACAAATAGTTGGGAAATTCTTAAATATTTGGAAATTAAACATGTTTCTAAATAACCCATAGATAAAAGAAGTCTAAAAAAAATTTAGATATTTGAACTAAATAAAAATACTGCTTCAAAATTTGTGGGATAAAGTAAAAACAGCATTTTGAGGAAAATTTATAGCATTAAATACATACAGTTGAAAAATAGAAAAATCTAAACTTGAGAACCTAAACTTCTACTTTAGGCACTAGAGAAAGAAGAGCAAATTAAACCTCAAGCAAGTAGAATAATACAAATAATAAAAATTAGAGCCTAAATCCACAAAATTTTAAAAAGAAAACAATACAGAAAATCAACAAAACCAAAATCTGGTTCTTTGAAAAGATCAATAAAATTGATCAACTGTTAGCTAGGCTAACCAAGAAAAACAGAAAGGGGATACAAATTACCAGTATCAGAAATGAAAGAGGGATTATCACCACAGACCCCAAGGACATTAACAATATAATTAAGAAATACTATGAACAATACTATGCCAACAAATTTGATAACTTCAATGAAATAGACCAAATCCTAGGGAGATACAAAGTATCAAACATCACTCAAGAAGAAATATATACTCTAGGCCAGGCATAGTGGCTCATGCCTTTAATCCCAGCACTCTGGGAGGCCGAGGAGGGTGGATCACAAGGTCAGCAGTTTGAGACCATTCTGGCCAAGATGGTGAAACCTGTCTCTACTGAAAATACAAAAATTAGCCAGGCGTGGTGATGGGCGCTTGTAATCCCAGCTACTCGGGAGGCTGAGGCAGAGCATTGCTTGAACCCGGGAGGTGGAAGTTGCAGTGAGCCAAGACCGTGCCACTACACTCCAGCCTGGGTGACAGAGCAAGACTCCATTTCAAAAGAAAAGAAAAGAAAAGAAAAGAAAAGAAAAAAATATATACTCCAAATAGGTCCGTATTTATTAAAGAAATAGAATCAATAATTAATAACTTTTCAATACAGAAAGTATCATGTCTGAATGATTTTACTGTTTAATTCTTCCAAACACTTAAAAAGGAATTGACATCAATTATCCACAATCTGTTCCAGGAAGTAGAAGCAGAAGGAACACTCCCTAACTCATTCTATGAAGCTAGAATTACCCTAATACCAAAGCAAGATAAGGACATTATAAGAAAGGAAAAATTAGACAAATTTCTCTCATGACAATGGATGCAAAAATCCTCAAAAATATTAGCAAATCCATCCAACCACATAAAAAGAATTATACATCACAACCAAGTGGGATTTCTTGCAGGTATGCAATGCTGGAACAACATTTGTAAAAAGCAATCAATACAATTCATCACATCAACAAGCTAAAGGAGAACAAAATCATATAATAATATCAATGGATTCAGAAAAGCTTTTGACAAAATTCAGCACCTATTCATGTTAAAACAAAACTAAACTAATCTAAATCTCTTAGCAAACTAGCAATGAAGAAAACTTTCTCAATTTCTCAAAGAACATCTACAAAAGAAACTTACAGCTATCTTACTTCATGTTGAAAAACTGAATGTTTCTCCCCTAAGACTAAATACAAAGCAAGGATGTCCTCTTTCACCACTCCTATTTAACATCATACTGGAAGTCATAGTGTAAAAGGACAAGAAAAGGACATAAAATGTAGACAGATTGGGAAAGAAGAAATAAAACTGTCCTTGTTCACAGATTAGATGACTGTCTATGTGAAAAATCTCAAAGAATCGACAAAATTCTCCTGGAACTAGTAATGCAGTATATATAGTAAGATCATAGGATGAAATGTTATTATATAAAAGTACATTGCATTCATATATAACAGCAACTAACAACTAAAATTTGAAATTAAAAATCACCATAGGATTTACAATAGCACTGAAAAAGGAAATATTTACATGTAAATCTGACAAAATTGTGTTCAGGATTTATACGCAGAAACTACAAAATTCTGATTAAAAAAAAAAAGATCAAATAAACAGAGAGATATTCCATGTTCATGGATTGGAGGACTCCATTGTTCCAAACTTGATCTGTAGATTCAACACAATCCCGATCAGAATCCCTGGATTTATGTTCAGTATTGTAACATTGGGCAATACTTTCAGTTGAGAAAGAAGAGGTGGAAATGCATTTCAAGATCAAAAAGGAAGATTAAGATTTATTCCTAAACACCACTTATGATAATAATTTACACAACATTAAAACTAGTACAACATAATCCTCACAACAATCATATGATGAAGACTCACACTTTCACCAACAGATCCTACCCCCAAAGTTTCTTTGGTCAAGGACAACAGTAATCTTCACTCCAAGGGTCAATTCTCAGCCCTCATCTTAACTTGCCCCATCTGTAGTGTTTGACACCCCGTATCATTCTTCTTCCTTAAAACACTCCTTTACTTAGCTACTAGGATACCTCAGTTTCAGTCTTAGCTGATTCTTTATCTTCTTCCTATTCTTTCCATATCAGAAAGTTCCAGAACTCAGTATGTTATCCTCCTTTCTTCTCTATCTGTTCCCACTGCCTTATTGGGTTCTTAGCATTTCAATGCTTTAGAAACACTTCTATAGTTAATTCTGAATTTATATCTCCAGCCAAGACTTCTCGTCTGAACTCCAAATCCATATAGCCAACACATCGTCACCATTCCCACTTGGATATTTAATAGACATCTCAAATTTAACATGTCCTAAACTGAACTGCTGATCTTCCTCTCAAAACCTGCTCTATTCACAAACCAATTCCTAATTTTAATGTATAGTAGCTACATCCTTTCAATCTCACTGTCCAAAAACTTAGATTCCTCCCTGACTCCATTCTCTGAAACCCAGTATTCTATCCCTCTACCAGTAATGCTCTTGCCCAAGATAATAATTTAGCTAATTCCCTCTCTTCCTTCAAGTCCTTACTCAAATTACATTCCCAATGAGGCTCACCCTGATTAGCCCTATGTAATATTACGACCTGCTCTCTTACTTTCCCTTGCACTCTTGGTCTCTCTTGGACTACGCTTTTCCTTTGTTCCTTGGCACTATGGCCTTCCAGCACACACAATACTTACTCTTTTAATTATTTTCACAGTCTGTCTCTACTGGACAGAGGTCTTCACCCCTTTGTTCACTGATATATCCCAAATCCATTAGATGGCATCTGGTACCTAAGAAGCACTACACAATTATTTGTGAATGTCATTAATATGTGAATGTGATTATTTCTGTTTTACAGGTGAGGTGATGAAACTGCAGTGTGGCTAATAAATGATGGAATAGAGTCCCAGATATGCTTAACTTCCAAATATTGGTGCTTTCTATCATTATGTTATTTTTCTCCTCTCTTTAGATTCAGTGAATGTTAAAGCTGGCTACACAGCAAAATCATCTGAGAAATTTGAATAAAACACTAGATGCCTCCGTCAGAGTTGGGGGTCTGTGCGCCTGTGTTTCCACTCCCCTAAGTGATTCTGGTGAACATCCAGGTTTGTGAATCACAGCCATAGATCCCACTCTCTTCTGAGGGCATGTTTCCTTTCTGGAATGCTTAAAGAATGAGAAGGGTGTGTATGGAAATCATTAGTTCACCAATACAGCAGCGGTTACAGAGCATCATAAAGGAATAAGCTGCCCCATATTTATTAACTTCTCATAAAATAGAAGTTTCGCCTTTTAAACACCAAAGTGTTTTTAAGTAAGTCATCTGAGATCCAAATCTTTCTGAAATGTAATGCCCTTTTCTTTAAAAATAGTGTGTTAAGGCCGGGTGCAGTGGCTCACGCCTGAAATCCCAGCACTTTGGGAGTCCGAGGTGGGTGGATCATTTGAGGTTAGGAGTTTGAGACCAACCTGGTGAAACCCCATCTCTACTAAACGATACAAAAAAAAAAAATAGCTGGGCGTGGTGGTGTGCACCTGTAGTCCCAGCTACTCGGGAGGCCGAGGTAGGAGAATCACTTGAACCCAGGAGACAGAGCTTGCAATGAGCCAAGGTCATGCCATTGCACTCCAGCCTGAGTGACACAGCGAGACTCTGTCTCAAAAAAAAAAACAGAAAAAAGTGTGCTAAATAAATTTTAGTTTATTTTTATCTAGGTTCTTCCTTCTTCCTGGAATGTACCTGGACAATTCCCACTCATTCTTTATGATTAGCCCAAGTAATTCCTCATCTTGGGATTCCTTCTCCAAATCTCTCAGGTTGGGTGTGGCCCCACTTCCCCAGCTACAGATTCCAAGGCACTTCTGCACACATCTATTATCACGATGTGTTATAATAAGTGATCGACTCATCTTGCTCCCGTTTTACTCTAGTAAGAACTGTTTTTGTTTCAAAAGACAAAAACCCACATCTAATTGGCCTAAGGAAAAAAAAGATAATTTATTAGTAATTGAAACATTCATGGGTAGATTTGGTATGATTGGATCTAGGTACTTATATGATGCATTAAGAAATCTGTTATCCTCTATTGTGGCTTCATTCTCAAGCAGTCTCTTCTCGAACAGCAAGAAGGATAGCCCCAGAATCTCTAGGCTTTCCTCCTGCCTCTTAGAAACACTGGTAGAAGGAAAAAACTCAGTTCCAAGAGCTCTAGCAAAAATGATGGAATAGAGCAGAGCAAATGATGGAATAGATCCAGGACTGACTCTTTCTGGGACTGAGATGGGTCGTGTTCCCTCTCTGAACCAGTCATTATGGGTAGGAAAAAGGTACAATTTGTGGAACTGTACTCTAATGGCTAGACCTGGCTCATCTGCCGAGCCCTTAAGCCAGGAAATAGAATCAGTTCTTTCCTTCAAATCTCTGTGGATAGAAAATGGGACGAGAGGGTCCCTCGGGAAGAGAGTAAGGTGTAAGTATCAGATAAGGAGAAATAGATGTTGCTCAAGTCTCAAACATACTGAACACCTTGAGAGCAAGAGCCTGCCCTCTTGCTCATCCATGTATCTTCATCTCCTAACCTAGTACTTAACATGCAGAAGGCAGTTCATGGTTAGTGAATTAATCATTGGACAAATGAATGCAGTCAGGGTTATCATTAAAATTACCTTGTGTCGCAATGCAGGATGTCCTCAGATTATAGACATGGTATGCCTCTCTGGTACTCAACGCCTGCCGTCTGATGGATGTGGACTACATTGCCGTCTGATGGATGTGGACTACATGGAACACAGGCCTCTAGGACAAATCCAAAGATGCTCTTTGTTATTTCACAGAGATACAATTCCCAGCTCCAAGTATGACTATTGGTAAAAGCACTGTCGGCCTTTTAATTAGGTATCCCAGGAGATCAGTCCCAAGATGTTGCAGGAAGACAAAGACAACAGAAGGAAGTGGAAATGTCACCCTCGTTAGTGTGGCCATTCATGCGAGGAAGGGCCCTGGTGAGTGTCAGAGGGCAGGTTCCTGCCAAGAGCCCGAAATGAGTGTCAGAGAGAGAAGCTGCAGAGTTTTGGGGTGGGGAGGGGGTGGGGGACTTGTTGAATTCAGATTATAAGGCAGAGGGAGCAAGAACATCTCTAGGGCTGACTCCAGCTCCACTTCCCTCCACAGCTCCTTGGGGATCCTGAGGACTTTCTTCCAAGGTGATTCTGAAATGTGAATGTTGTGGCTATTGCTTATTTATTTCCCATTTATATTAATGTACCCTTATTATGGGAAACTTCTATTTAGACATGGGCCCTCTGACCAAGCAAAAGGGCAAATGAAGGTGTTTTCTGAAGTGTTCCCTGCTCTCCCCAAAGTGCTGCCAACTCCCTCCACCCTCTTCTGTGCACACACACACCAGCCAACCCACACTGCAGGAGGAGAGACTTGTTGAGTGCTATCCCATGGACCCTCTCACTGCTCCTGTCACAAACCTGACTGGCCAGACAGTTGCCAGGATGCTCAAACTGAGGAAGCTGTGGGTTGTAGGAGAGCAGTGGACTAAGGAAGTCCTGAGTTCAAGTCAAGTCATAGAAACTTGGGCAGTTTGACCCATGTACCTCCTTTTCATTTTTCCTTTCTTTCTTCTTTCTTTCTTTCCTCTTTCTTTCTTTCTTCTTTTTTCTTTTTTTGAGACAGAGTCTCACTCTGTCACCCAGGCTGTTGTGCAGTGGTGCAGTCTCAGCTCACTGCAACCTCCACCTCCCGGGTTCACGCTGTTCTCCTGCCTCAGCCTCCCGAGTAGCTGGGACTACAGGCACCCGCCACCACGCCTGGCTAATTTTTTGTATTTTTAGTAGAGACAGGGTTTCACCGTGTTAGCCAGGATGGTCTCGATCTCCTGACCTCGTGATCCACCCTCCTCAGCTTCCCAAAGTCCTGGGATTACAGGTGTGAGCCACTGCACCCGGCCTTTCTTTCTTTCTTTCTCTTTCTTTCTTTTCTTTTCTTTCTTTCTTTCTTTTCTTTCTTCTTTCTTTTTTTTTGACAGAGTTTCACTCTTGTCACCCAGGCTGGAGTGCAATGGCACAATCCCAGCTCACTGCAACCTCCGCCTCCTGGGTTCAAGCAATTCTCCTGCCTCAGCCTCCTGAGTAGCTGGGATTACAGGCACCCGCCAACATGCCCAGCTAATTTTTCTATTTCTTTTCTTTTTTTAGTATACATGGGGCTTCACCATGTTGGCACAGGCTGGTCTCGAACTCCTAATCTCAGGTGATCCGCCTGCCACGGCCTCCTGAAGTTCTGGGATTACAGGCGTGAGCCACCATGCCTGGCCTCTTTTTTTTTTTTTTTTTTTTTTTTTTTTTTTTTTTTTTTGAGATAGGGTCTTGCTCTTTTGCCCAGGCTGGAGTGCAGTGGTACAATCTTAGCTTGCTGCAACCTTTACCTCCCAGGCTCAAGCCATCCTTCTACTTCAGCCTCCTGAGTAGCTGAAACCACAAGTGCATGCTACACCAAGCTATTTTTCTTTTTTTGTATTTTTTGTAGAGAAAGGGTTTCACCATGTTTTCCAGGCTTCTCTTAAACTCTTGGGCTCAAGCAATCTGCCCACCTCGGCCTCCCAAAATGTTAGGATTACAGGCATGAGCCACTATGCCTGGCCAGTCCACAGATCTCTTCAATTTCTTCTTCTGTTAAAAATAAAGACAAAAGCAACCACATGAAGGATTCTGTGATCTCTAAAGTCCCTGCCCTGGAATTAATAAAAACTTCAATAAAAAAACACAGGCTCCTGCCAACAAGAAATTCAATTCCAACTAAGTTAAGCATAAGGGATCTCAGGGTTGTATAGCATTGAAGAGAGATTGCTGAGCCAGGCTAGGAACCAAAACAGATCTAGAAGAAGGTACCTGGGCACCACACTTGTCCCATATTCTGGCTAGGACCTGACCACTGGGGTGCCCTGGAACACCGGCCATGCCAGGAGCCATGTCACGTGTAGGAATCACCTAGCTGGCCAAGACTGGGTCATGGGATAACTGGACCATGAGGACATTTCCATAAGACTGTATCACACAAGGAGGAAACAGTGCTTCAAGGGGAATCAGAGGACCCTTTAGAGCAGAAACAGATGTCAGACACCCAGAAAACATTAGTGAAAGAGGAGAGTTAAATGCTGCCATTATATCCACAAATCTAGAATTCTGATAGCCCAGGACACGTGCACCCATGGAGAGCATCGCAGGCCACAGAGGCTCACTCAACCCCCAAACAATTGTTCTAATTCGATCTGATTCTCCACTGTCCTTTGCAATTTTTCCATGATGACCAAGAAGCCATCCCCCTAGTCATTAGTCCCCTGATCAAGTAATTTAAGTATAAATCTACTGCCTATTTAATGAGCTTAGCCAAGCAGACATCACAGGTAATATTGTCATGGCAAGTGGGCTACCAAATTTCATTTCAAGTAACACATCAAAATGGTGATCTCTATGAACCAGCAACAATCCCTCTGAAATTTGCCGAATGGGTGTGAGGTGTAATATCAGAGACTAAAATCTGAGTCCCCATTGATGGTCCTTCGCTTCCTAGCACCCAAGCTAGGCAGCAGCTCTGTCTCGTCTTCCCTGTGACTGCTCCACATTCTCCACCCCACCTCTCATCCCTTACCAGCCCCCCACCAACGTACCTTCACCTTGCACAATATTTTTCAGCCTCTTGGTGTGAATGCAGCATCGGTCCCTGAAGCTGAGCCAAGGACCTACATCTCAGGTTGATGAGAACAAGCTCTCCCCACCTCCCTCTCTCTTCCCCCTGGTCTCTGAGACTGCCCATGGCCCCTGCAGGTTAAGCAAAGAGGAGATTAGAAATTATCTAAATCACAACAATTCCCCAGCAGCTTTTGTATGCTTGCAGGGTCTGGTGAACTAAACTGTCCAGCTGGGTAATTGAAGGAAACATATTTATTGAAATGTTCATGCTTACAGTTATACTTAGCCCCTGGATATCAGCAAAGCTGACCTGAAAGAGAATAAAAAAACCCTTTCAGCATTCCAAGTAATCATTCAGTACAGGCCTTTTGGGGTTTAACTCTCTGGTGGCAAGAGAGAGCTTTGATTTTCCACACCCTTGGTGCCTCTTGGCTGCTGACAGCAGCCAGCGGGGTTGCCAGGACTGGAGCAGGACATAAAAATGGGACCTACAAACATTGACACTTCCCCCTATAAAAGGCTTTGCCCAAGAGGTGTCAGCAACATGGCTTTGCTTTTCAGATTTCATTTTATGCTCAGAAAGAGGAGGGCTTTGATCAGCCAGTGAGTTCACTCTGAGTGACAGCTGCAGTTAGTAGCAGATGGGTTTCTAGAATAAGCACCTACAAGCCTACCTGGGCAAGGTCTCCCTGAGCCCTATGTAGCTTCACTGAGACAAGCTGCAAAAAAATGTCACGTTAAGGCAAAGCATGCTATGTATTACACATAAATATATATGTTCCCTTTTAATATAAGGGAGGACTAACAGTGATGTTGCTCCCCACCTAGTATGGAATCATAGTCCTTAGAATTCAAAGAAATGTCCAAGGTCATCAGACCCTGTCTTCTGCCAGATGTTGGAAGCCTTTTCCTAAGCCCCCATGATCTTCACCAGGATTTTAATTAGGTTTCAATTCATAAGCCCATCCATAATCAGTGGAGCATCCTATAGTTGAAGTTTGCGAGCCCATATTTGGGTTCATCAAGAATGTCATATGATGTTTGACAAGGGCTCTGGTGGGAACAGCAGCAGCATCAGGGCGAGGAACTTGCTACCTCTGAGCTCAAGCGTCAGCAGTGTTACTGGTAATGAAACCTCTTTCTGCTAAATAGGCCTGGCCCCTGTAGCTTAAGGGGTGACATATGACAGGCAGAAACCAGCCTGAATGGAGAATTGTGATGACTTCGTAGGCACCTTGGCCAGCAACTTATAAGTGGGTAATGAGACACCTCAAATCCAACCACCAGAAGTGTATTGACAAAGGTTTATGTTGGACCTGTGCCCCAAAGTGGGAGATATTTTTCCTTGGCAATCCCATGCAATAATCTCACCTTTTATTGTTTGTTTGTTTGTTTGTTTTTTGAGTTGGAGTCTCGTTCTTTCGCCCAGGCTGGAGTGCAGTGGCATGATCTCGGCTCACTGTAAACTCCACCTCCCGGGTTCAAGTGATTCTCCTGCCTCAGCCTCCCGAGTAGCTGGGATTACAGGCGCACACCACCACACCCAGCTAATTTTTGTATTCTTAGTAGAGACAGGGTTTCACCATGTTGGCCAGGATGGTCTGGATCTCTTGACCTCACGATCCACCCTCCTCGGCCTCCCAAAATGCTGGGATTATAGGTGTAAGCCACCGCACCCGGCCTGTTGGTTTTTTAAAGCACCTTTAGATATATTATAGCATTCAACTCTAAGCACTGGAAATGTCCAGACAGGCCCAGAATCTTAGTACTGAGACTTCTTCCTGCTTTCATGCATAATCCCTAATAACAAGAAACAAAAGCTAACACAAATGCTGAAATGACACAAATCCTACTTAATGGAGAAATGGTGAAAGTCAATATGTGTCATCAAGAGGAACGCAGGCTAGAATCACTAGATAGTCCAACTGTACATAAGGAAATGCAAAATTTTCTTGAGGAGGAACAGGACCAAATCCCCAAACATAAAAGAGAAGCGAATTAATTACTGGCCAGAGGAGACTAGACTTCATGCGCACTCAGGCTGTGTCTCCAGCCCTGTGCCTGGAAAGTGAAGAGCCCATGCAGATTGCTGTTTGAAATTACACCTAAATTTTGTTGATCTGTTCTCTGAATTGAGAATAAAGTTCATGCTTTTGCATTCCCTGCAAGAAAAGGGTTCCTGAAGTCAAATAGATTGCCTAAATCCTATTTAAGGGAATTACAAGAACATACTGATTTTAAGGACTTCAGCGCACTAATTGTCAGAATAAAGATGGATAAAACCAATTACCAAGGGGATTCAGAGAGTTTCCAAAGTGGTCCTCCAGGACCTCCACTCAGAAACACTTTGTCAGCAATCAGTGGTGCTGTGTGTATATGAAATTGGGTCTAAGAAGTTAATGGGTTTTTTGAAATAAACTAACGCCGGCCCCACGCCGGCCAACAGTGGGTTTATTCTGCTTTTAAAAATATCTAATCTATAAAGATAACCTAGATTTATAAAAGAAGTCATATACAACAAAGAAAAAGATTTGCTGTATGCTATTCCTATGAACAGTAAGCTCTCCTACCGAATCTGAAATTTTATCTTTCCTAAAAATAAGCTTAAGAACAACTGCTTAGGAAGATGTCAGTTATATAAAGTGACTCACATCTATGAGGCAGATTTATATCAGCATGTTCAGGACATTTTATATGCCCTCTGGTGAGACCTGCCCTGGTGTGAAGACAGAGATTGTGGCTTTGCGTGGGCTGTGGTTGCTCCTGGTTTGCAAGGGAACAGGAACTGATCTTCCTTGCTGCTAACTGGAGTGTGTTTTCCTCTGTAGGAGTATCCATTCGTTTATATATCCAGCAAGATTGTATTGAGCACCTGCTATGCACATAATATATGCGCAGACATATACCTAGACATGAATAAACACGAGGCATGTGGAGTGTGTAGGAAGTCAGTGCCAGTCTTTAGGGATTGATAGTGGGACTTTGTTAACCTTTTTGATTGGTACCAATGTCTGCTTCCTCACAACACCCCAATTTTTTCCAAGGAGCCCCCTTACTTCTTGGATTCATCATGAGGGGCTGCTGTCAGGTTGCCCACCCCCTCCTGGTCAGGTATTGGGCTGGGCCAGTTGGCTGCTTCCTCCCTGAACTGAACTGAAAGTGTTGGCAATTCCAGGTCGTCTGTGTGCCACTGTTTTGACTGGGGTGTCCCTGACACAAAACGGTAGCTGGGCTTCTTCTCCCTAACCTACAGTGTTGCAAGGGTATCTCTCCAGCTTTTCCTCCTTCTGTGACTCTCTAATAGGCTTTCAACATTCCCTCCCACAAAGTCAGCCAGAACCATTTTCTGTTGGTTATAACCAAACCACCACATGGTACTAGACCTTGAGCCCTGATCCTGTGCATCAGAAACTTTCCCTAGCATAGAAGCTGAGCCTTGCTCCCTCCAGTACCTGTGCATTTTCTAACTGCTTGGAACTCATCTACTTTGGGTCTCCTTTGCTATCGTTTTAGAGGAAATAGCGTCCCTCCTTTTTGAAATTGAGCCTCCACACAGTAAGGTGGCCAACTCATCTGCATCTGCCCGGGACTTACTATCCAGTTTTAGCATTGACAGTCCCATGTCCTGAGAGCTCCCTCAGTCTCAGTAAAACAGGATGTTTGGTCATCCTAACTGAGAGCTTTTATCCCATATCCTTATACATAATAATAGGAGTTTTGCCCTCCCTCAACCAATCATGCAATGTTTTGCTTGGATTACCCAACTTCCCCGCTGTCCCCACTTTCTAAGAGAGTTTACAGAGTCGCCACTATAATCCACATCTCCAGTCTTAAAACTCTAACCTACCTTCTCTCCAACTGGGTCTTCAAGAAGAGGTGCTCTGCTGACAATTCACACCAACATATTCCAAACAACGTTCATTCTCTTCTCACAAACACTAGTTCCCTGTGTGGGTGGCCACTGCCGCTTTGAAGGCAACATATCTAAATGGCAATATAGCCATCAAGTAAATACCAGACAGTAAATACCAAAATGCCCCATTTACCGTAGAGAAACACTTGTACATGTGTAAACAAGCAGACACAAGGACATTCATTAGAGGATTGTTTACAATAGGAGAAAATGAAACTCTCCCCCAGTAGCATATTCATAGAGGGTAATGTATAAATAAACTATGGTAGATCCCTACTGTGGAATCCAAGCAGCAGTGAAAAATAACAATTGCTAATTTGTATACAGCTTACTACACTGGGGGCACTGTTCTAAGTTCTTAAGTGTATAGAGAAAGGTCTATAAAACTACTTCTCAAAACAATGTCTTTACCTCTAAGAAGGGAATTGAGTTTATCGGGAGGTAGCCAATAATGACTAATGTTTTTATATTTTACTCAGGATAATATTTCCACAAATTATTTGATTAATAAAAATTATGTTTTAAAAAAACTACGGCCGGGCATAGTGGCTCACTCCTGTAATCTCAGCACTTTGGGAGGCCAAGACGGGTGAATCACGAGGTCAGGAGTTCAAGACCAGCCTGGCCAAGATGGTGAAACCCTGTCTGTACTAAAAATACAAAAATTAGCTGGGTGTGGTGGTGGGCACCTGTAATCCCACCTACTCGGGAGGCTGAGGCAGAATTGCTTGAACCTGAGAGGCAGAGGTTGCAGTGAGCTGAGATCGCGCCACTGCACTACAGGCTGGTTGACAGAATGAGACTCCATCTCAAAAAACAAAAACACACACACACACACACACACACACACACACACACACACACACAAACTACATTCTCAAACTCCAATCCCCCTATCTGCTAATACTGCCATTCTTCTTTAATCACTCAGACTCAAATCCTTAGTGTTAGTCTCTGACACTTCCCTTTCCTTTATTTCTCCTCTGTAATCAATGAGTTTTCAAGCACTATCAAATCTTTCTGGAGATCAATGTTTGGATCAATGTGCTGGAAATTGCTGTTAATAGGCAAATGTTACCTGAAAGGAATAGCAGATTAAATGTGTAAACATGCAAATCAATAACAGATAACTCAGCCTGAATTCTTTTGTCCCATCTGCCCACACAGACTCGGCAATGTCATGACGGGAAACCTGTTAACTGGGAGACGGGAAAAGCTGAGACCCCTGAGCATCTGATAAGGGGAGGGGGTGGGGATGGGGCTTCAGGAGGATGAAGAATGAGGCGTGGGAGATAAGCACAACTTCTGCTAAGCGCTTAGAGAGAGAGGAGATTCGTATGGAAGAGATCCTATAGGAAACTCACAGTAGGGTTTCTAAACCTCAGGATCGAGCAAATAGCATCTGACTAGAAAGGTCTTAGAGGCTGTCTTGTCTGACCCATCAGATGGTATGTAACTTGAAGCCAAGATCTCTTTACTCAGTGTCTCTGACACAGAGGCCTGGTACAGAGCAGAGGCTCAATAAATACTGGTTGGATGGATGAAATACACAGATCGGGAAACTGAGGCAAAAGAGGTATGGTTATTGGCCTCAGCTCCTTAAGCAAGAGAGGGCAGAGCCGGGAATCAGCCTTAAGTCTCTTTATTCCCTGATCTTAGCTGCTCCCCGACACCACATTGATGCTCTCAGCCACTTCCTCTGGGGCTGCCAGCCTGTCTTCTACATGCAAAGCTTTGGCAGGCACAAGGCCCACCCACATGATTTTTTTCCATGCCACTGTCTCAAGATTCACTTGTAAAATATGAATGCTACTCATCCCTCTCAGTAGCCAAATACTAGGACATCAGCTGCTGCACCCTGTTTCTAGCAGAGGGAAAGGGCTTCCTGTCTCTGTTACATTTTATCCTCATAGAGTGCAATGCTTCCAAACTCTGTATCACTCCCACTGGCTGCTTGCAAGACTACCTAAGAGCCACCAGGCAAAAGGATATTAGAAAGCATATTCATTCAAAGAAATAAAATCATTCCTCCCACCTTCCTTTGGGCTCTGATCTCCAGGTAGTAGGCAGAATAGAAGATGTGTTTCTGGATCAGAAGTTCTGGTTGCAAGGTAAGAGCTACATAGACTCCTAAACAAAACATCATGTGTTTGATCATTCTCCCTATTTCTGAACACACATTTCTCCTTTCTGTAAGAACCAGAGCCCACTGAGAGATTCCCATTTCCTCCCTCACGACTTCTAAGAGAAGTCATCCTTGCTTCCCATCAAAAACAGATGCAACTGGTCTGTCTAGGCACTGCCGAAAAAAATATGGCTTTTCTAGGGGCGAGACCTATGCTCCTTAGCACTGAGGGCTCTGTGTGCTACCTACTTGCATTTTTCATGAGGTGCAAGTGGACGAAATTTTCAAAAACACTCTCATAGAAGCTGCAGAAGATGCTGTGTTATATTGAATTGTGAAGAACATAAATCACAGTGTAAAAGGCCCATTTTCTGCTTAGAAATGATGACTTTGACCCAGGCAGTCTTCGCTTTAGTCCCAAGAGGGCAGCTCCCACTCCTAAGGCAGAGCAAGAGACTCCAAGTCTCTCCCTAGAGACTTCAAATCATGCCCCATCTTTATCTTTACTCCAAGGCAGGGCTTAAGATGAGTAACGATGAAGGGGAGATGCATCTGCTCTAGGTACTACTCAGGATTGGGTGAAGATGTCACATCAATGCTTGCAGCAGTACTCCTGGTACCAGGTCACAAAATTCAGTCGTCTGGCGCTGTTTACTGAAGAGAGCACCACATTTGCTCTCCTTAAGCCAACTGTCCCAGCATTTCAACATCACTCCTCCTGACCCCTCCAGCCTCCCAGTCTCCCAGGAGAAACTCAGCCCAGGGAATACAGTCTAAGGGAACTAATTAAGAGATTTCTGTGGTGCAACAGTAGCTTGATCCTGATTTAACAGATATAATAAATACTTCAAAAATACCAGGCTTCAATACGAAAAAAATAAAATAAAATAAAATAAAATAAATGTAGCTTTCTTAATATCTAGAGCTGACTTTAATTTCTGGCTCTGAGCCTCCAAACGGCCCTGGAGTAGGTAAAATAATATGATCCGTTCAGTTTTCATATTCCAATGTGATTTTTCAAATTAAATCTGGGGGCCAGGCTCAGTGGCTCACGCCTGTAATCCCAGCACTTTGGGAGTCCGAGGCAGGCGGATCATTTGAGATCAGGAGTTCAAGATCAGCCTGACCAACACGGTGAAACCCTGTCTCTAGTAAAAATACAAAAAATAAAAAATAAAAATAAATAAAAATTAGCTGGGTGTGGTGGCGTATGCCTGTAGTCCTGGCTACTCCGGAGGCTGAGGCAGGAGAATCACTTGAACCCGCGAGGGGAGGTGGAAGCTGCAGTGAGCAAGATTGCACCACTGCACTCCAGCCTAGGCGTCAGAGCAAGACACCATCTCATAAATAAATAAATATAAATAAATAAATAAATAAATAAATAAATCTGGAATGGTTAACTCTTTCCCAGTCTGATTTTGAAATTATAACAATGTCATTCCTTTCTGTACTTTCCTTGCATTTTTCCCAACCAGCTCTGTCTTCCTTCTCTATCTTCTATTTTTCCCAACCCATTCCATTGAGTTGCAGCACCTCAACTCCACTGAGTCGCACACCTGAGGGCGGCAGTGCTGTGATCATCTTTTTAATTGGCCCAACTCTGGTGGAGCTGAGAAGAAGCTGTCCATCTTGGTCACTCATAAGCTGGTCTCTTGCTGACCTGCTGCCTGAGCCCTCTTTTTCTGTGTTCTCAGTGCTGGCCTCCAGAAGGCTGGCTCTGGCCATGGGAAACCAGCAAATTGTCATAGGGGCGATTAGTTCCAAGGTTCTTATCAGGGCAGACCTTCCACCAAAAGATTTTAGGGCACTTTCCATTCTTTCCCTCTGTATTTGGCTGTATACATCTTGAATCCCCCCACAGCATACCTCTGGGGCCAATACAGTGACAATCTTGACAGATGCTCATGTGTCCTTGCTATCCCTCAACTCAAGACTGACAAATTTTGAGAAATTTATTCTTTCACCTTTGACAAATATGCAAATCTAAAAAGGGGTCTAGGTCTTAGACTAAGCCTACATGTTTCACACTACCAGGGATCCTAGGTCAAAAGCCAAGAAATAACCTGTCACCCTTGCTTATTCACAAATACTCTTTTATATCAAACAAGATAATGAGAGGCAGGGAGAAGAGTAAGCAAAGGCTGCCTAATAAGGTGTCTTTACTGTGAAGCTAACAAAATTTAAGCTTCACAACCCTTCACCTACACAGGCTACTTCCACATTCCTGGAGGGACCTAGTAATATTTCTCCACAGTCACTTTGTTATTGTGAAATTTTCAAAAGTCAAATATTTTAATCTCAATTGGTCAGGACCAGTATTTCTTCTTTGACTTCTCCTCCATCATACCTTCTTTCATATCTGGTGGCACTGGGATGGCCATGAGCATTTTGGAGATACAGTTAAAGGTAAATTGAGTTGGGAATATAATTTGAAGTTAGGTGGATATATTTACATGGTTGGCAGTCACTTCCATATATAACAAAGTTATTGCTAGCTGTCCTGACAGAGTAATGGCTTCCAAGAGGAATCCTAATGTGCAGTCTACCGATCACCCAGTGCCTTGACTTTGTACAACAAGGTGCAGGGCCAGAGTTGTGTCACCTATAACCACGGCCTACAGCTCCCAGCAGAGAAAGCTCAGGGACAGTGGAAGCAAAATGACATTTCAAAGTTGATATGGTTCGGCTCTGTATCCCCACTCAAATCTCATGTTGAATTGTAATCCCCAATATGTTAGAGGTGGAGGCTGGTTGGAGGTGATTGGATCACGGGGGTAGTTTCTAATGGTTAAGCACCATCCCCCTATTGCAGTCTCATGATAGAGTTCTCATGAGATCTTGAGATCTGCTTGTTTAAAAGTGTGTAGCACTGCCCCGCCCCCACTCTCTCTCTCCTGTTGGCCATGTGAAGATGTGCTTTCTTCCCCTTCCCCTTCTACTATGTAAATTTCCTAAGGCCTCCCCAGAAGCAGAAACCTGTATAGCCTACAGAACCATGAGCCAATTAAACCTCTTTTCATCGTAAGTTACCCAGTCTCAGGTATGTCTTTATAGCAGTGTGGGAATGCACTAACACAAAATTCTGTTTCCTACCTGACATGGCATATCTGCTGACCTTTGCACATTCACATTAAGATGGGGCCGGCCTGCCACTGACGGCAAAGGGCTGAACTCGACATTATGAGGCTCAAAGAAGACTTGAAAGTGGATGTGTTTAGGTACAGCTACTTTCACACTCCTATGGTCAAGGTCAGTGGTTCTCACTGAGGGGCAGTTTTGTCCCCCAGGGGACATTTGGCAATGTCTGATCTTGAGCAGGAAATATAATATCTCTTGACACTGTCTTATCATCTATAAACTGAGATAATATCTATCTTGCAAGGCTACTGTGAGAATTACATGAACTAATGTAGTGAAGTGTCCTGTACAGAGCTTGGAACATATTAGG
Source organism: Homo sapiens (assembly GCF_000001405.40). Taxonomy (NCBI): domain Eukaryota; kingdom Metazoa; phylum Chordata; class Mammalia; order Primates; family Hominidae; genus Homo; species Homo sapiens. The sequence continues at coordinate 10,932,805 of NC_000017.11, read as the reverse complement.
GGCTCCATAAACAAATGTTCTATAAACATTTATTTCTTTGATAACCAGATAAGCAAAGGCAGAATTATCATACATGCAGTCAATTTCATTTATATGCAAGTCACTTCTAAGACAGTTTCCAAGTGTGCATTGTATCTAAAAGTGGGACTTTCTGTACCATTAAATGTGAATAAATACAGTAGCCCAGTAGAATCACTGAACTATGGGGAAGAACCACTGAAAAGCCTTCTAGGAATGTGGTTGAAATTCCAGGCACAAGACGAAGGAACAGAAAATTGTTCATACATTTCCTCTTATTCAGAAAAATATGAGCTAAAGCAGGAAGCTCAGCTCCTATTGTTGAGAGCAGCAGGGAATATTAGGGGCTGTGTGTGCTGAATATATATTTTTGTGTATTATCTTGTAAAGAGCGGCAAATTTGGCTTCATAACAGTGAGATCAAGCATAACAAATTTACTTAAATTCTTGGAGTGCATTACTGACTCACACAGCTTTTTTATATATTTCACCCCTAGAAAAGAATTTAATAACCTCTCTGCTGCATTCTTTGTCTGGGTAAAAAGCAAGGGAAAAGAGTATGAGTGGATTTGATAAATTACAACTTGTCTTGTGCATAGGACAAAACTCATTTGGCTGTTGCAAACGCAGAAAATCGGCATCTCCTGTGGATTAAAAAAAGCTGATATAGCTTAGGAGAAAGGTGAGCTTGTCCTTCTGCCCTTTGAAGCCTTAAGAACCCTGCCTGTGGGTTACACCACTGTGAAAATTCCACTGGGACAGAATTTCATGGCTGCCAGTGTTCACCTAGGCAGGTGTCCACAGAACTGGAGAGTGGTGAATATTCTGTTTGACCAAAAGGAATACAGACAAATGTCTGATGCTTGAGTGTGAGTGGCTGCAGGTCACACGTGGGAGCCCAGCTGATTGGCAGAGCTTAACAGTTCTTTGATTCATTGGGGCTTAGAATTGGCTAGATTGTGTAGGACAGTGCTGGACCCAAAAATCTGCTCTTAGCAAAACTTAACTTGCCATAATTAAGGCAGATTCACAATTACCAGCACATCACCTTTGACCTCTCTCCAGGTGAAGATGGGTCTAAGAATTTGCGAGTCAGAACATGTGCAGCCGTGGAATTCTGGCCCAGTGGAATCTTCATAGGGGTGTGCATGCGGCAGGATCCAATCCCCTGGGATTTTATTACCAAATGTTTGCTGAAATCTCCACCCTGGCTCTTTAGGTAGCAATACTGCAATACTGTAGTCAGAGGTTGAAGGGGACCCAGAAGACAAGCCCAGACATCATTGTCCTAGTCCTTCTCGAATTTGTCCAGTCCCATAAAGGGTTATTCAGCTTCTCCAGCAGCTGGAAGACTCCAGGATGAAAACAAATCACTTTCTATAACACTATCGACAGCTGCTCCAGATTTGCAGGATTTTTCCTTTGTGGCGGATTAGTTATTTAACTTGGTGAAGGTTAATGACTCATGGGGTTTGAGTCTGGCTGGATCAGTAGCTCACAGTCCTGACTACCCATTAGAAACTCTGGAGGTGCTTTTAAAAAATGTCAATGCCTGTGCTCCACCACTGAAGATTCTAATAAAGATGGACTAGGGTGAACCCCAGGGAGCCCAAAGCTTTGAAAGCTCCCCTGGTGTTTCTGATGTGCAATAACTGGCTGGAGAAAGTGCAAAGCATAAGAGAGTGTCTTTAGAAGAGACAGCAGGAAGCATTTCTCACCACACATGTAAACACCAACCCAGCAGTCCCTGAACTGCAAGGCCATGGAATATCAGTTTATTTTGCGGCTAATGAAGGATAAATAGACCTTTCCTAAAATTTTTGCTTGGAGGCCCTGAGTGTCCTCAACTACTCAGAACTAACTAGTGCTACTTTAAAGGTATGACCTAAAGTAGAGGCTGGGCAAGGAGGAGGGACTATCAGAAAGGAATGCTATAGACTTCTAGGTTGGATTATTTGGTAATAAGACCCATGTCTGGTCCCACCACTGCCCCCAGCCACCTTAATGGACTCAAAATGCAAATAGTTCCTCAATTCTTACCAAGAACCATTCCATGTTCCCATAAGCAACGTGCTCCCCTATTCTTCGTATAGACTGAATCAAACCTTTCCTGGTTTTCCTTTTACTCCCTTGACTGGACTTTCTCTGACTCTATTGCCTTCATTCTGTTCTTTGTGGTCCTTTGTGTTCTATCCTTTACCCAGTTCTCTTCCCATTTGACCTATTGTGCTGTGAGATCTCTCCTGTCATATGCAGCTTGCTGGCTCCCACATCCATCGCCTCCAGCCTATACCTCTCCCTGAGATGAACACACTACCAAGCAAATTCCCTCACTGGATATCCCACTGACATCTACATTCAATAGTGCAAAGTGGAATTCACCATCTTCCTTTCCAAACGTGTTTCTTCCTCCTGGGTTTCCTAATTTCTTGAAAGATGCACCATCCACCAATACCCAAGCCAGAAACCTGAGAGTCATCAAGGTCTTCTTTCTCTGACTCCTCTACCTAGTTAACTACTCACTAAATCCTCTTAATTTTATCTGTTAAATGTGTCTCAAATCCAAACACTTTTACCTATGCCAATGCCCTAGTTCAGGCTATCATCATCTCACCTGGAACAATTTCAATAGTCTCCTAAAACCTCCCCATCTCCCGGCCAGGTGCGGTGGCTCACGCCTGTAATCCCAGCACTTTGGGAGGCTGAGGAGGGCGGATCGCGAGGTCAGGAGATCGTAGACCATCCTGGCTAAGACGGTGAAACCCCGTCTCTACTGAAAATACACAAAAAATTAACCGGGCGTGGTGACAGGCACCTGTAGTCCCAGCTACTCAGGAGGCTGAGGCAGGAGAGTGGCGTGAACCGGGGAGGCGGAGCTTGCAGTGAGCCCAGATCATGCCACAGCACTCTAGCCTAGGTGACAGAGCAAGACTCTGTCTCAAAAAATACAAACAACAACAACAAAAAAAAAACCCTCCCAAACCTGCCTCTCTCCAACCTATTCTCCATACCAAGAGTCAGAAAAATCTTTCTAAATCTGCTCAATTCACTTGTTCACTCTCTTCCTTAAAGCCCTGCAGTGGCTCCCACTGTTTTCAAGATAAAATCCAAACTATTCCACAAAGACCGATGAGGCCCTTTATTACCTGGTTTCTGCTAATCTCTGCAGCCTGATCTCCTGCTTCCCATCTCCCATTATATTTCAGTCATACTGATTGCTTGTATTTTACTTCATCTGGCTAATTCTTATTCATTCTGCTTTTCACTGATACTGGTCACCCTTACTATTTGATTGACAGTTTACCAGTGTGTCTTCCCAATTAGGCTATGAGCTCCTTTAAGACAGATGCTTAAATTTAAGGGTGCCAATGAGCATACCCCTCTTCCTTCAAGGTCAGAATCAACTGAGACAAACATCAGATGGTAATGACAACATTAAATTTATTTATGGTAAGACATATGGGGGAAAAATGCTTAGTCCTTGCTGTGTAATTACCCTCCACAATGGAAACTACCTCCTAGTTCAGCTCCTACACCCACTCACGCCACCACACACAGCAAGGAAGGAGGCAGGACAGGACTTTTACTGAATGGAGAAAATAGGAATGGAGCGCACACAGCTAAGATCCTAAACAGAAGCAAGAAGGGGCTAAGCTACATAGGAAAGGTTTCTTTCTCCAGTGTTAGCAGTTGGGTAAGTCAATGCCTCCTCCTGGGAGAAGAAACAGCAATGGTATTGGAAAGAAGGATGGACTTTTTTTTCCTATGAATAGAAGGAGAAATTGATTCCCTTCTACAGCAGCCATTATGTCCATTGTCGTGTGCATGGAGAACTGCCTCGGGGGACACATAAAAGAAGCCCCCAGAAGTTTCTTTGGATGAATAGAAGGAGCGAATTGCTAAAGGAGTTTGCACAAGAAGGAAAGAAATTAATATTCTCCTTCCCAGGACATGGTGGTCCTTTCTCTAAATGGAGAGGATGCAGTAGACTTGCTAATAAGTAATGCAACTGATGCTTCTGAAGATGTTGTTCCCACTAGTTAGTCGAAGTGGGGAGAACCCGCCTTGTACTGTACTTTGAGTTCAGTAGCCAGGGAAACGCAAAGGCCGTATTCATTCAGCCCTGGCAACATCAACCTTGGGGAGCTGCGGCAGCTCTTGGAACCAACATCCAATGCAATCAAGAGAAAGCTGACTTTGCAGCACCCACTGGTTGGCTATTCAGTATGACTGCATGACAGTGGTTCTGCCACTTTCTCCCTGTTTCAAAGAAGGCATAACATTAACTAAACCCTTAATATAATCATTTGGGGCTGTAAATTATATGGTTATTCTTAAAGAAATGTTTCATGTTTCTGTTCATAAATCATTTTTCTGGCTTAGAATTGAAGCTGCCATATAACTAAAACTATTTCTCCCCAGATGGAAAAAAAAATCTTTGAATTTTAACAAAAGGGAACCTGCCTAATTGTCTGGTGGTAAAAATAATAGTAAAAATTCTGTGCAGACTTCCCCTCCCCCTTTCTCTGTGTTGTTTGTCATAGAAGAAAAAAAAGCTTGACCTAGTATTCAACATCCCACCCACAAAATGAAATAGACTTTATCATACATCTCACAAGGCTTCACATACAGGATTGATTCCTACTAAACTCTCCTTTTTTTCTTCATTCCTTCTGTCCTTCTAACCTTTCCTCCCTTGCTTCCCTACTTCCTTTTCTTCTGTCCATCTGACAATATGTTTTGAAGCCCTACTATGAGCCAGCCACAGTGCAGAACCCAGTGATTTCACAGAAAATATTCCCTGACCTCATAAAAGTTCAGCTTAGAGCCCAGAGATTCAACTTTTCTGCAAAGTCATCAATACCTCACTGTTCTCTCTTTCCTTAAAAGGGAAGAGAAATTTGCAGAACAATTCCTCTTCTGTGGGATCCCAACATACCTACATTACTCAACTAGGATCCTTTTGTAAAGTTTTGTAAAGTCTTTGGTGAAGACCGTGTATAACCTTAATAAAAACTCTAAAGTTAGATATTGTCGTCCTCATTCTATGATGAGGAAAACTAATGTCTCTAGTTCAAATTGCACAATTGGTAAATTTAAGATCTAAGAATTTTGATCTAGATTTGTGCAAATCTAAGTCCCTTTCTGGTTCCAACAGCCAATTGTGCCTCTTCTAAGTATAACTCTAAGACTGAATGGCCAGGCGCGGTGGCTCACGCCTGTAATTCCAGCACTTTGGGAGGCTGAGGTGGGTGGATCATGACGTCAGGAGATCAAGACTATCCTGGCTAACACGGTGAAACCCCGTCTCTACTAAAAAAAAAAAAAATACAAAAAATTAGCCGGGCTTGGTGACGGGTGCCTGTATTCCCAGCTAATCTGGAGGCTGAGGCAGGAGAATGGCGTGAACCTGGGAGGCGGAGCTTGCAGTGAGCCTAGATCGCACCACTGCACTCCAGCCTGGATGACAGAGCGAGACTCCATCTCAAAAAAAAAAAAAAAAAAAAAAAAAAAAAAGATGGAATGAAGGGATAATGGGAGGGAGAAAATATGTATTTTTGGAGGCTCTAAGATGTAAACTTTAGAAAATGTACAAGCAGAGTTTCCCTTGATCCAAGGAACTAGACTCTTAGAAAGAGTATGAAAAGAATTCCTGCAGATTCTTCATGTCCACCTTCAAGCCCATCAAATGGATGTGTCATTTGAAGTCAGAATACAAGCCAGAGGGCCCATCTGGAGTCACCTAGAGAGTGACTCTTTAGTTTTGAAGTTGTAAGAGGGGCTGAACTCACTCAAGGAATGAGGACTAAAGAAAAAGAAGAGAGCCAGGCTTTAGTCAATAACACTGCTGCGAAGAGGCGAAGAGGCCGCATGGTCACATGTGTCTGTTCTTTCTATTTGATTCAACCTCCTCCTGGCTTCTGATGTGTGGAAAAGAGCCTACAGGCATGTCCAGCAATGGCTGGCAGAGGGATGTGGGATGGGTGTTTACTCTCAAAATTTCCCTGAGTGGGGTAGGAGACAAAGTACTTCCCTGTATGTCTCAGGACCCTGATGCTACTGGGAGAAGAGGGGAATGGTGGTCTGGCCTTGGCAGCCAAACAATGATGCAGCACTGGGGCAGAGGAGTGCTGCTGGGGTTGCTGAAAGCAGCTGAACACAGCAGAAGCGCCAAAGAACAGAGATCTGCCTCTCCTGCCCTTGGAAAGGGTGAAGCTGCTGTACCAGCACGTGTATCTGCATTCTACCATGTACCCACACAGCCCTGTGCTCCAACACACGTGCCCGAGTGTGTGCATGTGAGCACCTCCCCTCACACGCCTACCTGGGCTCTCAGAGAACTGACAGCAAAGCCTATTGACTTGGTTCTTAAAATATATACCAAATCGGCCAGGAGCGGTGGCTCACGCCTGTAATCCCAGCACTTTGGGAGGCCGAGGCAGGCAGATCACACGTCAAGAGATCGAGACCATCCTGGCCAACATGGTGAAACCCTGCCTCTACTAAAAATACAAAAATTAGATGGGCGTGGTGGTGCATGCCTGTAGTCCCAGCTACTTGGGAGGCCGAGGCAGGAGAATGGCTTGAACCCAGGAGGCGGAGGCTGCAGTGAGCCAAGATCACACCAGTGCCCTCCAGCCTGGTGACAGAGTGAGACTGTCTCAAAAAAAAAATAATATATATATATATATATATATATATATATATATACATATATACATATATACATATATACATATATACCAAATCCAGCAGACATCATCTCCCCCTCTGGCATCCAGTCTAGGTCCCCATCATTTCAGTCCTGGACCCCTGAAACAGCCTGCTCACTCAGCTCCCTGCTTCCACGCCTGCCCCCGTAGTCTATTGTCAACACCATAGCCAGAGGGATCCTTTTAAAATGGAAATCAGATCATGCCTCCCCTCAGCTTTCATCCTTCAGAGGCTCCCATCATGTCACTGCCCAAAGGTCCAATGCCTGGTCTTTGATTTCCTTTCCAGTCCTCTCTGTGCCCTCCCATCATCTCACTTCTCTCCAGCCACTCTGAGTCTTCATGCTATTCCTTGGAAGGCCAAACACACCCTCACTCAGGACCTCCAAACTTGCTCTCCTTCCTGCTGAAAAGCTCTTCCCTTGAGTACTTAGAAGGCTTGCTCTCTCTCTTCCTCCTGATCTTTCTTAAATGACACCTCCTCAGACTGGCCTTTCTCTTTCCTCCATTTAAACTAATCATTTTTTGCCTTTTATCTGCCTTATTTTTCTTAAAAGCAGTTTTCAGCTCCAGATACATATTAGGTGACACATCTACTTGTTTATTGTCTGTTCATCCCTGCCTCCTCACCAGAATGTAAGCCTCAGGAAGGCAGGTTCTTGATTGTTTTTCCCCTGCTGAATTCCTAATGTCCACAAGAGTCCTGACAGGTGTTTTATAAATACTTTGTGAATGAATGTTTGAGGGAATGAATGAGTGAGTGAGTGAGTGAATAAATGAGTGAGTGAATGAAAGAGTTGGTGAGTGATGAATGAGTAAATAAATAAGTGAGTGAATGAATGAGTGAATAAATAAGTGAATGAGTGAGTGAATGGATGACTGAATAAATAAGTGAATACGTGAGTAGGTGTGTGAGTGAATGAATGAGTGAATGAGTGAGTAGGTGAGTGAATGAGTGAATGTGTAAGTGAGTGAGTGAATACGCAGATGAATAAGTGAGTGAATGAATGAGTGAATGAGTGAGTAGGTGAGTGAATGAATGAGTGAATAAATAAGCAAATGAATGAACAGGTGAGTGAGTGAGTGGTGAGTGAGTGAGTGAGTATCCTTCTGCATCATCCTTCACACCGTACACTGACTCAGGGGAACAGGACAATGGCGGATGCTGTTCTGGCGTCAGACCCCAGGGAAGTGCAAGACTGCTCCACATCAGGCTGTGTGCACTCCTTCCTCCAACCCAAAACAAACAAAAACACCAACTTTGCTCTCTCTTCACTTCTCTCCACCTCTGGGATGCAGGAGCCCCTCCTCTCCCAGTCACCCCAGACAGCAAGGAAGAAACTTGATATAAGGGTATGGTGCTGAAATACTGACCTGGGAAGCTGGGTGGGATCTCAGGTAGACACACAGAGCTGCAAGGGCTGCGATGAGGCCATCTTGGGAATGCCCAGACTCAGAGGTCGGAGAGCAGAGTTGGCTGGATATCTGCCCATAGGCCAAACTCAGATTACAGTTGTATTTTGTTTGTCATGCCCAGCATTTTTGAAGATTTTTAATTAGTCATCAACATTTATAAAGCAGATTTCCCTGAAAATCTAGATTTCCAGCTTTTGTGGAAAACTCAGAAGATGGGTCATATCTGGGCAGTCAACACTGGCAATGAACTGGAGGAAAGTAGACTTTGGCCCCCTGCAGGCTAGTTACAGTTCCCACCCAGGCCTTTTGCCCATTTGGGTGACCTGTGGGAACCCTGCTTGTACTTTAGCTGAACTTGAGAGCCCTTTAGTCTCAACTACAGGGAGTGGGCTTATTCCTTGTGAGGAGAATGCTAGTCATAAGTTATTAGTGGTGGTTAAAATGTCAATATTTGCAAGTAATTTACTTTTAAGCTGAATCAAAGCCGCACCAAAGTCATCCTTAGAATCATCCTACTCTTGGTCAATTGTATTCCAACATGTTTTCTGGAGAAAGAAAGGAAGGGGGCTGTTAAAGGGAGGATCCATCCATGGGCATCCATGTTATGGCAAGAGCAGGGTTGAGACCTGGAGGGATAGATAGAACTGCAGCTGCTCTTCTCCCTTAGAGGGGAGAAAAATATTCCAGGAGTTCAAGAGACAAAACCTGGAGGGCAGGCCCAGTTCGTCTCCCTTGAGAGCACAGGAAAGAAGCAAGGCCAATCCCACTATATGATTCCAGCCCTGCAGCCTCGAGGGCTGGGTGAAGTAGCATGCTCCATCTCAGCACAGGGTCAAGTCTGCTCTTAGGTGAGCCTGGTCTGCCTGGAAGATGTGCAGCTCAGGTGAGGTTAAGAAAGAAACAGTGTGGACACCTGAGAAAGCAAAGTTGTGAGTGTCTACAAGTTGAAGTCTACGGCAGACAAAGGTAGGGCAAAGACCTCTGTCTGGTTGTTAGCATGCAGTCAAGTCCCCAGCCTGCCCAACCCATTCTGTTCATCCCTGTCTCTGTCCCAGGCCAGAGCTCTTTGAGAGAAAGAGCAGAGTTCTGCATCTCTCTACCTCCATCTGTATTCCAGTCCTGTGAACATGCCTGGCTTCTGATGAGCATCATATAAATGTAAACCTACTGTTCCCAGGTTCTTTTCCTGTGACTTTAACTCACTAAATTTAAGATAACTAAACTGCTGGTGTAATTGCTTCCAATTCCTCTTCTCCGCTTCTCTCTTTCCTTTTTTTTTTTTTTTGTGAGATGGAGTTTCACTCTTTGCCCTGGCTGGAGTGCAGTGGCATGATCTTGACTCACTGCAACCTCCACCTCTCGAGTTCAAGCGATTCTCCTGCCTCAGCCTCCCAAGTAGCTGAGATTACAGGCACACACCACCACGCTCGGCTAATTTTTGTATTTTTAGTAGAGATGGGGTTTCACCATGTTGGCTAGGCTGGTCTTGAACTCCTGACCTTGTGATCCACCCACCTCGGCCTCCCAATCCCCTTCTCTCTTAAACCTGCTCCAATTTGTTTTTTGCTTCAATCACTCCATCAAAGTGACTTTGTCCAGGCTATTGCTAAATCCAAAAAGGAGCGGAGACAGTAGGCAGTAGCTGGTGAGGAAGTGGGGCCAATAGAAAGTTTTGCTCTGTAAGATGGAACAAGTAACAGTGTGTTACTGGAGAGGGAGAGAAACTGACACTGTAAAAGACAGCAGGGAGAATCGCCAGTGTGATGTCACAGAGTAGAGGAGAACGGATAGAATGAAAGTATAAAAACAAGATTGGCTTACTATGGGAACACAGACAGTTCATCTAGAAAAATGGTCCAGAAGGTAAAGCATACGGTGCAGATGCCGTAAGTGGATGGATTTGGTGGTGGGAATTTGAGGAAGCCCTCTTCAGATTGCTTCATTTTCCCAGTGATACAGGAAGTAAGTCATCAGCCAATAGTGCGGGTATGTGAGGAAGCCTAGGGGATTTCTGAGGTGAGAGGAGAAGATATCAACCAGTTATTTGAGAGAGGAGAATGGATGAACTAGGAAATATATTACTGCTCCCAACATTATGTTTGTAGTCATGAGTCAACAAAAGAATCATCTTAGGTTTATTTTTTTTTTGTTTTCAAGCCTTATTCAGCTGCATGGGTGCAGGCATGGAGCAGGGAGAATAAAACAGTGTGAGACATGCAAGGAAGTTGAAGGCACATACAAGGATATAAAAATAATAGTCAGCCATGGACTTTAAACTGCATGAGGAGGGAAGCCATAACATCACGATGCAGTGGGCAGGGGAATGATCAGATCAGTGGATGGACTGTCCCTGCGAGATTGGAAAATTGTTAGAGTTAGTTATTAGACGCAATGAGTTAAAACATAGGAGGTAGTGGTCAAAAAGAGTTGCATAAAATAGACATTATGACAAGTTGTAATCATTGATCATGAAGAGTTCTAGGATAAGACCACAGGAGTGAATGGCCAAGCTAGGGTAGAATATAACTTCAAGGGAGGAGAGGAATTCAAGAACAGAGAAAATTATCTAACGGTTTGTGAAATCTTCAAGAATTAAGATGAGAGTGGTGTTGGAGACAGTGAGATGGCCTTCAAGGATGCAAAACTGTCAAGAAGTGTGAGACCTGAGTGCTTGGTCAAGAGAAGTAGTACTGGAGGATAGGGTCTGACATAGCCTGATAACATGAGAGTTCAATGGGGATTTGAATGAAGGTGGGAGAAAGCCTGGTCTGAAAGAAGAAATGACAAACCAGGAGACTCTGAGGTATAAGGAAAAGGGATGGGAGAGAAGCAAGCCATCACTTAGAGAGTGGCAGAGAAAACTTCCCTCAATGAAAGCCAGGTCCCCGTTACAGCAAGAAGAAAAAAGGTCCATCCAGAGGAAAGGTTGAAGACACAGAATTTGGCTAATGATGGACCAGGAATTCCTGATGTCACCATGGATGGTTTCCATGAGATGAGGATAGATAGGAAATGCATGAGAATATGGAGTGCATTTGGGGAGTTAATGGGCTAAGAAACATGGTAACCTAGGAATCTGGAGCCTTGTGTGTAGTGGAATTGAACAGAGATACAGGGGAAAATGAGATTTGTTATGAAGGACTCAGGGCAATTAGTAGTAGGGCTGAAAGCATTGAAGCGCAGAGAAGGGTGTGTGTCTAGAACTGACTCTGGACTCTGTCGTTGGAGGTGAGGAGGCTGGAGAAGCTCAGTCTCATTCCAAACTCCAGAGACTCCTTCCTGATCCTTATCAAGGCTGGATAGGTTTTCTGGGAGCTGAGGTCTTAGGCCCACTGCTCGGGGTTCACTCTTGGCTCCTCTGGAGGGAAGGGCAGCCTTGCCACGATTTCCTCATATGAAAAAAATGAGTCATAGTTACAACTATCTCTTAAGTAAAAATTATAGCATACCTCATGGAAGAATAAGTTCAAAAATGAATGTAAAAACTTGGCACATTAGTAAGACTGCAATCTTTCCCTTTCCTCAACCACAACTCCATTTAAAAAAATAGACTATTAACTGATGGAAGAGTTATGTTTAGTGAGAAAAAATGCAGAAATGAGTGGATCACATGCAAAATGCCTACTTGTCCTAGGTACACTTGGGAAGGTCTAACAGCTGGGCCTCCATCAATAGGCTACTATTCTGCAAGTGGAAACTAATGCAAGTGCCCAGGAGGAATTAATTAGTCTCTCTAGGACTGGTCTAGGAACCCACACTTTTTATGTGACATAGATTCCAACTGGTGGCTCACTAAATCTTGTTGATTGATTGGGAAGGCTGGGAGGGCTGGAGCCCAGCTGACAGCTCTATATCGATCGTGGCTTTTAGCCAAGTTATTAAGTGGTTGGAGTAAGGGGTTGTATGGCAGAGTCCCACATTCCCTCTCCGCCCTCCCCTTCCCCGACATTTCAGCTGAAATCACAGTATTTCCCAAAAGGATATTAGCTCCCACGGACAAAAGGGCTGAATGCATTAAGCAAGACAGGCTTTATTGCACACATCAAATTTTCATGTGCTGTGTGGGGTGCCTGGGCTGTGCTCAGAACAGCTTACCCCTCACTTAGAAACCTGAGAGGAGTGCAGGAGCCTGTGTGGCTTAGACATTTGGGGAAAGAGCAAAGAAGTCACCTTCAGAAAGGACTCAGTGGATGTTTGGCCTTCTGTAGCAGGGAAACTAGAGTGTGCAAAATTCTTCAGCAGTTGCAGGAATTCCCTCTTTCTGAGTCAGGAGGAAAGAAATTAACCTATGGAATGTTTCCCCTCAGCAGATGCAGCTTCCATCTGCTTAGCATTGAGAAAATCAGTAAATCTATTAAGAAATAAATAAATGAAATGGCCAGTATTATTGAGTGTGAACTAAGGGTTAAGACTGATTTGGGCAGGTTCACATAGAGTCTCTCAGCTTTGGTCTCTGCATTAGTCTATAATACTAAAACAAGCTCATGTTTTTCCTCCTGTAAAACTCTCTAAGCTCATTATCTTGTCCCATGAGATGGTTCTAGTTCATCTGGATATAAGAGGACATATTCAGATCTTCTCCCATAATAACAGTGAGTCCAATCTCGAGATTTGTAGAGTTATTAATGCATCTTCCCCACTGAATCTCCTCTTGGGGAGTAAGAATTATGCTGCAGGAAGATTCCTCTTCTACCAAGTGTAAGTATGAGGGAGAATGATGAAAATGGTACACACAGGAGACTTAGGTGGGACCCATCCCATATGGGAGAGGGAGCAAAGAGCACAAGCACAAAGAAGAAGCCTTCTCTGAGCCCCTGCCTCTTTCCTCCAGGTGAGCCCCTGCCTCTTACCTCTTGACCTTCAAATGTAGGATGGTCACTTGCAGATAAGTCCTAACTCCAACCTTTATCATGCTGAGTCCAGCCCTTGAGGACCCCTTCACAAGCACAGAGGTTCAAATGGAAGGAAAACTGGAAAATCCACAGAATCAATAAGAGATATATGCTTTGGATTAGAGCCAAAGGTGAAACTTGATGATAAACCCTTGGATGTTTCACGTGAGCAATCTGCCTTTTTGCTGCCTTTCCCCAGTTATTTAGCATCCCACAAGGTTCCAAGAGTCAAGGGTGTTGGGGGCAAAAATCTAGAATGGCTGAGCAAATGTTAACAAAAGATTTGAGGTGGGGATAATGGGCAGCAAAAGCCATTAGGACAAAGCCAGGTGCAGTGGCTCGCTCTTGTAATCCCAGCACTTTGGGAGGTCGAGGCAAGCGGATCACTTGAGGTCAGGAGTTCAAGACCAGCCTGGCCAACATGGTGAAACCCCATCTCTACTAAAAACACAAAAAGTGGCTGGGCGTGGTGGTGGGCACCTGTAATCTCAGCTACTCAGAAGGCTGAAGCAGCAGAATCACTTGAACCCAGGGGGCGGAGGTTGCAGTGAGCCAAGATCACACCATTGCACTCCAGCCTGGGAGACAGAGCAAGATTCCATCTCAAAAAAACAAACAAAAAAGCCATTAGGACAGATAATGCTGAGCAATGGATGGCCATTGTTGAGTGAATGCCCACCCAGCTTTCTTTCATCACAGGTGGTGTAATTTCAGTGGTAACTGTGAACATTTTGTTTATTCGTACTGTTCCAACATGGTTAGGTCTGGGCAAACCTACTCCCAAAGTCCAAGGAAGCTGAAAGACCAAAGAAAGAGGTTGACAAATCCAGTCTCTCAGGAACATTTAATAGGGACTTACAAACAGAAACCATGACTGTGTCTCAGGAAGCGGCAAGGTAAGATGGTAGATCCTTGTGCCGTTACCCCCCAGAGCCAGGGCTTATATACCATAAAGAAAGGGTGATTCAGAAGGGATATGTAGAACACTTGAAGTACTATAATCTCAAGGTTGTTGGACCTAAGGTCAGGATTTATGATAAGTACTTGCTGTTACACAAGGAACAATGGATAAACTAGAAATCTTACAGACATTCTCAGAACAGGGGTTAATCAGAAGCCAACATGGCTGATTGGCACCCAAGTTGTTCTGACCTACACACTCCATCCACAATCTGGTTCTTAGAATCTCACATTCCCCGCTCTTCCACGATGTTCCCTCAGCCTTTAGGGAGGATGCTTGATGTGGTATAGCTTTAGCAGCTGTGCTTTGCCAATGAAAAACAGATCAGGCCCAGTGGGATTCCAAATCAGGGAGATTCACAGGCTGTTTAATCAGCTCTAGTCTTCAGAATACGGTGACTTTGTTTTTCTCAGAAGTAAAACAATGAGATACATAACATTAGTAATTTAAATTGTAATGTCGACAAAAAGAGTAAAACTCTGTAAAATATTTTAAGAGATTTATTCTCAGCCAACTAATGAGTGACCATGGCCTGTGACACAGCCCTCAGGAGATCCTAAGAACATGTGTCCAAGGTGGTGGGGGTAAAACTTGGTTTTATATATTTTAGGGAGACATGAGACATCAATCAAATACATTTAAGAAATATATGGGTTTGGTTTTAGGAAGGTGGGACAACTCAGAGCAGGGGGGCTTCCAGGCTACAGGTAAATTTAAACATTTTCTGTTTGACAATTGGTTGAGTTTTTCTGAAGACCTAGGATTAATGGAAAGGAATGTTCAGGTTATGATAAAGGACTGTGGAGACCAGGTTTTATTATGCAGAGGAATCCTCAGATAGCCGACTTCAGAGAGAGAGCAGGTTGTAAAATATTTCTTATTAGACCTAAAAGGGTGCCTGGCTCTTAGTTATTATCTCCTGGATCTACAAAGGAAGAAAAGAAAACAAAGGGGAAAGGAGATTCTCTATAGAATGTGGATTGTTCTCACAAAAGACTTTGCAGGGCAAAGGTATGGCAAGGAAATGTAGTTTGGGGTTAAATATTTTTTCCTTGTCTCATAATGTTGTGCCAGGGTGAGATTGAAAAGTAAGTCATGGCTGAGCATGGTGGCTCACACCTGTAATCCCAGCACTTTGGGAGGCCAAGACGGGCAGATCACTTGAGGTCAGGAGTTTGAGACCAGCCTGGCCAACATGGTAAAACCCCGTCTGCACTAAAAACACAAATATTAGCCAGGTGTGGTGGCAGATGCCTGTAATCCCAGCTATTCAGGAGGCTGAGGCAGGAGAATCGGTTGAACCCTGGAGGTGGAGGTTGCAGTGAGCCCAGATCACACCACTGCACTCCAGCCTGGGTGACAACAGTGAGACTCTCTCCAAAAAAAAAAAAAAAAAGAAAGAAAAGAAAAGTAAGTCACTATATATAGGGTCAAATAAAACCCATCTGATGAGAATTTATGTTTTGTAGGGCATGACTCCCTAGACCCCTTAGGTAGAAATTTGTGTTAGATAAAAATCAGAGCTTAGTCCTCAGTAGAAATATAATGCACACAGGATTACAATGAAAAGAGAATCTGTAAGCCAGAACAACAAAAAAAGAAGCCATTCCATTAAGAAGGCAACTAAAAGCATTGTGAAAAAAAAGTAAACCTGGTTCTTCTTTAGAGACTTGTTGCAGCCAGAAAACAATTCAGGATCAGCCCAAACTGTAGGCAAATAATAAAAACTTCAAAACAATGGCCAGGGCCAGAATCTAAATTTTTCTCTCTCCAGTCTCCCCATTTCTGCCAAGGATAAATCATAGTAGGACAGATTTATTTGCAAAATAAATTTTAGTTTTATTCTACTTTGCCTGATTATTTGCATAAAGTGTCACAAAAATAGTGATCAGTCATGGGCTCCTTTTAAGTTGGCTTTTCTGAAACTTTTATAAGAAATTTTGGATTCCCTCAAGGCCAGAAGCCAAGCCAAACACTCACCATTAGACTGTGCTTATAATACCTGTATGAATTCCTCTCTTCCCAAAGTCCCAAAATATTCCTCTCTTCCCAAAGTCCCCCATCAGAATGTTTTTCATAAAAACATTTAGGTGAAGAAGACACAAGTACTTTACATAAAGCCTGTTTAAATATTCTAACCTTCATAAACGTATTAACCTTTCCATTTTATTTTCTAGTCCCAGAAACTTTTCTTCTCCAAGACCAACTTTCTTCAAGACCATTTAACCCTGTCTTGAGAAAAAGGCTTTGCGTTTCCAGCAGGTAGTTGAGCCAAGGGATCCAGGCCCTTTCTCCCTCTTTATGTTGATTAACCTGCCTCAGTATTGCTCCAGCAATAGTTGGCCGACGTTTTCTTTGGAATTTTCGCCTTCTGATTTTTTTCCCTCCACTCTGGAGTAAATATAGAAAACCAGTTTGAGGCCCTTTAGTATCGGGGAACTAGCAGGGGCTAACTTTGGTCCACTCAACCTTCTGTAGCCTTGTATTAAGACCGTTGTTTTAACCCATTAATTTTCATTTTACTCACTGCATTTCTTAATAATTATTTTCAAAATTTCCATTGACTCTCTCCTTTCCTTTTTCCTTTGAGTTTCACTCCATCAGTGTTTTGGACATTGAAGTTAGCAAATGGGAAATTGAGACAGCAAATTTAGGTAAGGCTTCCTGGACTGTCTTTTGGTTTTGCGGCTGTAATGAGGTGCCGAAGCAAAAGGGGTCCCCTTAACCACAGCATTTACCATGACCTGGAGAATGGGCACATTCAGTGGGTGAATATCCCTGTCATTATAAATTAGCCAGTCCTACATGGCTTGGATACAAAACTCACCAGCTGCCTTACCTGGGGTATCCACTTGGCATTTGTGGGTGGAGTTGAGCAGTCTGCCTTCTCAGGGTAAACAGACCTTACAGGACTTTTATCCAGCCCATCAGGCTGGCTGTTCCCTCGGGAATACCCACCTGTGTGTCTAAATCACATATCTGCGATTATTCAATAGTGAGCTGTGGGGCCTGAATCAACCCAAACGTTTTTTTAGTCTGCAGCATTTAAAAGCAAAGACACACATCTCAAACATGTTATTCTCACTACCCACTTTAGTAATGGTTCCACTGTGAGCTGATGATACCAATCTACTAAATGGAACAATTCCTTCACACTATCCCCTCTGGTTTCCATAGTTACTTGGTTTTGCCCTCCCCTGTGTTGACTACCTTCTTGGTACTCACAGATCTCTTGCCTTGGGCATAACTTTCCCCCTTTGTGGGTAGCTTTGAGGCTAGTGACATGAGCTCAGACAGACCCACATCAGCCTCAAGGCCCAACCCAGCACTCTTTTACTTTCATGTTAGCTACTATAGATAACGATAACCAAGGGTTTAAATATTTCACTTTTTCCTTGTTGGTTTGCATTTCCTTATGTATCCAGTGAACCAACTCCCCAGGAGTTGAATTCATCTTTAAATTTCACTGCTAATGTTTTCTTTAGTAACTGAGCACAGCACACCTGGAGTTCCATACCATGGATGGCCATATGGCCACCCGGGAATCAAAGATTCTGCATTTTCCACCATTTTGTCCTTTCTCCTTCTATTGACTATGATGAATAGTGTTTTTGTCAACATCCATGTACGAGTTTTTTTTTAAATATCTGTTTTAAATTATTTGGGGTGTATACTTACAAGTGAAATTGCTAGGTAGCTCTATGTTTAACTGGGGTAATATATTTAATAATATTTCACTGTGTATTTTGGTGATTGAATGAGATAGTGCATGTAAACTCACTTTGAACGCTAAAGAAATCTGTGAGACAAAATATTTTCTAAAACAACCCTGTGCGTTATTGCTTCCCAAAGACACTCAGTGGCTAAAAGCAGAGCCACTTTTCTCAGGGATATTCTTCTGTTTAAAAATGTGGGTTATCCAAATAGTAGGGATGAACATTCTTCCATGGGACTCAATAAAAGTTTT
The DNA here is from genome assembly GCF_000001405.40 of Homo sapiens. NCBI lineage: Eukaryota > Metazoa > Chordata > Mammalia > Primates > Hominidae > Homo > Homo sapiens. Next base: position 10,914,838 of record NC_000017.11, on the reverse strand, counting down.
CATTTGCATTTGCATTATTAAAAAGGTGAGCCTCTTGAGCTAAACTATGGGTTGGCAAAGGCATACAGAGTGAGTGGAATAATGGACTTTGGAGACTTGGAAGGCAGGTAAGGAATAAAAAACTACATATTGGGTACAATGTACACTACTCAAGTGGCCGGCAGACTAAATCTTAGACTTCACCAGTGTACAGTTCATTCAGGTACCACTTGTACCCCAAAAGCTATTGAAATTTTAAATATATATATATATATATATTTTTTTTTTTTTTTTTTTTTTTTTTTGAGACAGAGTTTTGCTCTTGTTGCCTAGGCTGGAGTGTAGTGGCACGAGCTCGGCTCACTGCAACCTCTGCCTTCCAGTTTCAAGCAATTCTCCTACCTCAGCCTCCCGAGTAGCTGGGATTACGGGCACCTGCCACCACACCCAGCTACTTTTTGTATTTTTAGTAGAGACGGGGTTTCACCATGTTGGGCAGACTGGTCTCGAATTCCTGACCTCGTGATCTGCCCCCCAACCGCCTGGCCTCCCAAAGTGCTGGGATTATAGGTGTGAGCCACTGCACCTGGCCTTAAAAATATATTTTTTTAAAAAAGTGATCCTGGTTTAGGCTAGTGCAAACCAAGTTGCTCATTATTAGAAATTGAAGAAAAGCTAGAATTTGAACTGAGATCTGTCTGGCCCCAAACTCCATCTGTTTTCTTGTCATTAATTCTTGAAGGAGCTTACACACTTAAGATACATAGAAGTAGAAAGAGTTTCTAAACAATAAAAGAATTTTCCATTTGTGTAGTTCTGTTTAGATTATAAAGCACTTCCACATAATTCTTATGAACACAAGTGTCTCCTCAAATCAGCATTATCTCTGGATTTTTTGATTCATTCAAAATAGTGCTTGACAAATGTTTGTTTCATTCATTCAAAGAATATTTATCAAGGTCCCCCAAGGTTGCAGGCATTGTGTCATGCCTGGCGAATACAGAGACAAAGGAAATACCCTTTTCCTTCAAGTAGTTCAGTCTAGGGGAGAAACCGGCCCACAGAAAAACAGTCTGATCAATGTTTTGCCCAGTTTGCTAGAGAGACAGAGTAGAGGGAGGCCAGTTCAGGCTAGAGGTGAGTCTCAAAGAATGAGAATGAATAAATGAATGCGTGCATGAATACATGGCTCAAAATGCTTTACCATTAAGATAAAGCTCCACCTTCTTAACAAAAAGAACCACAATAGGCCCCTTCATTATCTGAATACCAGCGAATGCTTCAATTCAATATGAATCACCAGTATATTGAGCACCTACCACACGCCAGGCAATACACTGGAATCTCCATACCAGGGGACATGGCAGAGTTAGATCAGAAGTCAACAACTTCATCTAGAAAGGGCCAGATAGTAAATATTTTGGGCTTCGTTAGCCACACTGTTTCCGCAGCAGCAGTGGTGGTTTCTGCACCACTCTGCCATTGTAGGGCAAAAGCAGTCACAGACAATATGTAATCAAAAGGGCATGACCTTGCTCTGATACACCTTTATTTACAAAAACTTTTGGCGAGTAGGCAATAGTTAGCCAACCCCCTGAATTAGATAAACAAAGCTCCCAATCTAATGGTGTTGACAATCTACCCATCCTACTTCCCATCAAACTGTAGCTGTCTTTCTACATGTGATGTGTTCCCTCCACCTCCACACTTCCGTCCCTGCTTCTCCATCTGCTTGTAGTGACTTTTCCACCTTTTAACTCTCTGTCCTTCCCCCAAATATCTCTTCAACCCCAATCCCTACACACAGGACACACTTCATTACCTGGTAAAGTCCTGCCGAGTCTTTCAAGGGATGGCTAAGTTGCCTTTTCATGTATTTTGCTAAGTTGTTAAGTCTTCCAAAAAATAATGTAGCAACCTCTTTGGCAATTACATTTTACAAATGCTTTCTTTGGCAAAGGACACGAGAATTTACAATTCTCAAAATTAGACATTTTATGAGTGCTTCACTTCAACTTTTTAAATAACCTACATGGTTATTAAATAGTATCCGCTTTTAAAAGTATTTGGAGTAAAGTTTTTACAGCCATGCTCCATGGCTTAGAACTTTGACGCTTCAATCATTCATTCTTATGTGTTGAAATCAAGTCACATTTATTTATTGAAGAATACATTGGCCCTGAAAAAAGGAAAGACAGGGGAAAAGTCATTCTAAACAATACCAGGAGGTACAATGTGTAGTAGTGGAGTGGGCTTATATTTAGATATATTTTGTCTTAATGAAACTGCCTTTGCAAAGATGATGACAGTAAGAAAGTCTAGCATGGCTGATTCCATTTTGCTTCTAGCCTCACAGGCTGGCCACCCTCATTCATTTCTTGGAGTAGGACAAGCTAACTATGGGATGAATTTCGTTCATAGCTTAACTTTGCCACAAGGGTGATAGTAGCCCCTCCCTAAAACTGACCCCTTTCTTATTCAGGGATTGAAACTTGCCTTTATAAGACTAATGAAAGGCGACACGAATAGGATTATGGGAGGGGCCTGCATTCTGCTAAAATGTAGGCATAGCTTGCCTTTCTATAGTCATTTACTGTGACAGAGATCACAAGATTTGTAACTTCCCCAATTGCTCCTACAGATAACATCACTATTATAGAACCTAAGATTGGTCTTTTGAGATATTTTTTAGACTTCTGCATTCTGGCAACCTACTGACTCCACCAAGACCCATAACTCATGGCTCCCTAGCCAGAGGCTAACTCAGTGCACAAGGACCATTTTCCACAAGACCCGTAACTCATGGCTCCCCAGCCAGAGGCTCAGTGCACGAGGACCATTTTCCACACCCTTATGATTTCTCCCCCAACCAATCAGCAGCACCCATTCCCTAGCCCCTGCCTGCCAAATTGCCCATAAAAACCCTAGCCTCTGAGTTCTCAGGGAGATGATTTGAGTAATAAACTCTCACCTTCTGCCTGAGTAGCCTTGCATTAATTAAACTCTTTCTTTAATGCAATACCACTAACTCAGTGAATTGACTCTATCTGTGCAGTAGGCAAGAAGAACCCACCAGGCAATTACATTAACCTACTCAACTTCTATTTAAAAATTTAATCATTCCCATTGTTCTGTCCTTAATTGGAAAAACAGGACACTTGTACAATAGGTACTTGTTAGAGAGTATACCGTGGAAGGCAATGTTGTTCAAATCTTAATAAAAACCTGATTAATACTAATTGTTCAACATTTAACCATAATTGAACAACTTAATTGTTCAACTCAGATTCCCAGGAAGAATGAGAAAAGGTAGAACCCCACAATTCTTAAATCTAAGATTGATCAATAAACAACTGCCAAAATGGAGAATTGGGGTTCATCTTAATAGTAGATAGAAGTGGACTCAGAAAATCCTTCCTCAGCTTCACATCCTGGTACCCTTTGTCTTCACCCTATGAAAATGCCTGGGAAAAGTTAAAAAGGTATTTCAATTTTTTAAAGAAATCCCCATCATTGGTCTAGTTCAGAGACTCAGGGTCTCTATTAGTCAGTTCTTTCTTATCCCTCAGATTTTACCTAAAACACTTCCTTAAACCCGCAATTGAAAGTAGTCATTTTCTTTTTTCTTTTTTTTTCTTTTTTTTTTTGAGACAGAATTGCACTCTGTCGGGCTGGAGTGCAGTGGTGCAATCTCGGCTCACTGCAACCTCCACCTCCTGGGTTCAAGCAATTCTCCTGCCTCAGCCTCCCACGTAACTGGGATTACAGGCATGTGCCAACACACCTGGCTAGTTTTTGTATTTTTAGTAGAGACAGGGTTGGCCAGGCTGGTCTCAAACTCCTGACCTCAGGTGATCTGCCTGCCTCAGCCTCCCAAAGTGCTAGGATTAAAGGTGTGAGCCACTGCACCCGGCCAAAAGTAGTAATTTTCTAGCATAGGAGTTTATCTATTTTCTACTAAACATTTAATTCAATAAATATGATCTTGTTTAAATGTTTCCTTATTCACAGTCTGCGCTCCTCCATTAGAATGTAAGCCACATGAGAGCAGGCACTGTGTCTCCCTTGGTCACAGCTGCTTCCACAGCAACTAGAGCAGGACATGTAGAAATCACCACTAAATAAATACTTACATAATGTGTGTGTACAAATATGTACACTTAAGAATCTTCGGCTGGGTGCGGTGGCTCACGCCTGTAATCCCAGCACTTTGGGAGGCCAAGGCGGGTGGATCACAAGGTCAGGAAATCAAGACCATCCTAGCTAACACAGTGAAACCCCGTCTCTACTAAAAATACAAAAATTAGCTGGGCATGGCAGCGTGCGCCTTTAGTCCCAGCTCCTGGGGAGGCTGAGGCAGGAGAATGGCGTGAATCTGGGAGGCGGAGCTTGCAGTGAGCCGAGATCGTGCCACTGCACTCCAGCCTACACAAATCTACAATGTCTAGGTGTGGTACCCTGTGCTGTTTATATCCTACAAAACCACACATTGAAGTGCTTTAAAAAAAATCTGAAAGCAACCCATTGTATTGTTACTATTCAGTATCTCCAGGGGTAAAGTAGGAGCTGGAGTGAAGGTGAAGGGTTGCATTTGTATTTGACTTTCTTACATCTTTTCAATGTTTGAATCCTTTATGATGAGACTATTCAGGTAGTACTTGGATTTCAAAAATAAAAAGACAATAAAAAAAGAACCAATAAAAGCAACTAACAAAGACTCTAATCACCAAATATTTTAAAAATCATTCTCTGTCTTATAAACCAGAAAAAAACATTTAGAAAATGGAAGGGGTTGGAAATCCTATTTACAATGACAAAAAGAATGATAAAACAATTAGAAATAAATGTGACAAGAATTGTGAACTTACATTTACCCTATGACACAGCTATTTAGCTTGTAAATATTTACCCAAGGCAAGTGAAAACACATATCCACAAACACACTTGTATAAGTGTTTTATCAGCTTCACTCATGAGAACCCCAAACTGGAAACAACCTAAAAGTCCATCAACTGGGAAATGTATAAAAAATATTATGAAATTGAAAGTATTGTATGATACTACTAAGGAATAAAAAGAACAAACTACTAGTATACAATTACATGGATGAGAAAAGAAGCCAGACACAAAGAAATGCACGGTGCCTGGCCCAGGCACGGTGGCTCACACCTGTAATCTCAGCACCTTGGGAGGCTGAGGCGGGTTGATCATGAGGTCAGGAGATCGAGACCATCCTGGCTAACTTGGTGAAAACCCGTCTCTACTAAAAATACAAAAAAGCTAACTGGGCGTGGTGGCAGTCACCTGTAGTCCCAGCTACTCGGGAGGCTGAGGCAGGAGAATGGCGTGAACCCGGGAGGCGGAGCTTGCAGTGAGCTGAGATTGCGCCACTGCACTCCAGCCTGGGCAACAGAGCCAGACTCTGTCTCAAAAAAAAAAAAAAAAAAAGAAAAGAAAAGAAATGCACAGTGCCTGATGACAATGGACAATTGCATTTATGTGAAGTTTTAGAACTGGTGACACGAATCTCTAGGGTCAGGCAGCAACACGAATCTCTAGGGTTTGGCAGGCCAGGTTTCCATGAGCAGCCAGAACAGACAGTTTCCACTAACCCTTTACTGTAATTCTTATGAGTGTATAAGTTAGACATTAAAGACCTGGAGAAACTGGTACCTGAGTACAAGGCCTGGAATGTAAATCAACCCCATTAAGACCCCACCTGGGGTTTCTCAGACCCTAAAGTCTGATCAAGTAAGAATAGCATTCTTACACATACACTTCGTTGCAGGGCCCATTTAAGATTTAAAAACCTTCCAAGGTTCTAGAGAAAGCTTTCCAAACCCTAGACCCTAGTTAAAGATTAGATATAGATGGAATGAAACACTTCTACTTGTAGGTGCATTTCCACACATAGGCATAAAACTTTAAATGTATATAAGCACTAGAATAAAACCTTCAACTTTGAGTTGGTCTGGTGAGTTACTCTGAACTTCTCCCTGTCGCCAGTTGCAGAAATCAACTCCCTTCTTTCCCAGTCTGTCTGCATCTCATTATTGGACAGTAGGAACTTGCTCTGTCCAGGAACAGGGTGATACAAAGCAGGTGGTGATTGCTTGCAAGGCATGGTGATTGACTGGAATGGGGCACAAGGAACTTGCTGGGGCAAAGAATTGTTCTGTGTCTTGATGGGTGTTGGTTGACTACATGAATGGATACATCTGTTAAAAGCATCAAAGTTTCAGATGTGTGCATTGACTGTTGGTAAATTCAAATGCGATGTTCAGATCTGTGTATTGACTGTTGGTAAATTTTATCTCCATAAAAAATAAAAAGAAAATGTTTAAAAAACTCTTGTCAAGAATTATATAAAAGGTGGGGCAGGAGGGACTTTCCTTGAAGAAATGTCAGATTTCTAGTTGTTTACAAAACATTAAGGAGGCAAACGTTTTTCTGCATGTTTGCACAGTTGGTTTCAATTCTGTCACACGTTAAGACAGTATGAGACTTCTGCATGCTTTTTGTTGTTGTTGTTGTTGTTTTGTTTTGTTTTTGGAACGGAGTTTCGCTCTTATTGCCTAGGCTGTAATACAATGCCATGATCTTGGCTCACCACAACCCCTGCCTCCCAGGTTCAAGCAATTCTCCTGCCTCAGCCTCCTGAGTAGTTGGGATTAAAGGCATGCACCACCATGCCTGGCTATTTTTTTATTTTTAGTAGAGATGAGGTTTCTCCATGTTGGTCAGGCTGGTCTCGAACTCCCGACCTCAGGTGATCCGCCTGCCTCAGCCTCCCAAAGTGCTGGGATTACAGGTGTGAGCCACTGCGCCCAGCTTGAGACTTCTGCATGTTTAATAATCACTCTCCATAATAGCAGGCCCTGGTAACCATCTTACACTCGTTAGCAGAGGCTGCAGAAGCTTATGCAAATCTAGTTCACAGGACATCAACTAATTCCTGAGACACATCCACATCCACTGCTCTCTGATGATGGCAGATGGCATTCTGCAGATAAAAGTGCAAGACTTCAAGAAAGAAACTGTCAAATCTTACATAATCCATCTAGGAATGTGTGGAGTAAATAAATAAATAACAATAACATCAATGGGAGCAAAACTTAAGTAGCTATGCGTTGATTTTACATAAATTTCCCAGCAGCAGAATAGGGAGATTAGAAGGAAGAAGAATATCACTTAGAAGCCAGCGACAATGTCCCTCCATATCTGTGCGTCACAGCCCAGGCTCGCACTGGGGCCGTGCAGGGAATGGCAATAGCTCCTTCCTATTCCCTGATGGCTCAGAAGCGGCTCCGGAAGAGGCTGAAGCAAACACCAGCTGCTCAGACTTCATTTTTCCCTCCTGACTTTATCCTTGTGCTTTGTTCAAACTCTGGAATGGAGATAATAATGGCACCATGGCTCTGTCTGTGAGAAAACCTCACATGGAGGTTAGCCTTACTTTTTTTTTTTTTTTCCTTGGAATGGAGTCTGGCTCTGTTGCCCAGGCGGGAGTGCAATGCTGCGATCTTGGCTCACTGCAACCTCTGCCTCCCAGGTTCAAGCGATTCTCCTGACTCAGCCTTCCAAGTAGCTGGGATTACAGGCGTGCACCACCCGCCTGGCTAATTTTTGTATTTTTAGTGGAGACAGGGTTTCACCATGTTGGCCAGGCTGATCTCGAACTCCTGACCTCAGGTGATCCACCCGTCTCACCCTCCCAAAGTGCTGGGATTACAAGCATGAGCCACCATGCCCGGCCGAGGTTAGCCTTACTTTTCAACTACCATCACAATAAATCATTACCTTTTCCACATGAAACCTACAGTACTAGGGAGCTTGCCCCATGAAAGGGTCAGACCAGAGCATCTGAAAACAGGAGACAAGAGGAGGAGAGACCCCCAAGCAAGAAGCCCAGCCTCCCTGAGGCCTCTTCCCTCTCAGTTCCCCATCCCTCACACCCACCTCATGTCCTGCAGGCAGCTCTGTTATCATTTACTTACTCCAGGAATAACCACACAGTTGTCTAAGTAGCTTGTGCATATAAAATGTGGTCTCTGCTCCCAGGGCCAGCTAAAGGCAATGTGTCAAAGGAATTTCTAAGTATCAAGGCAGATTGAGCACAAATGTATAACTTGACTGCTCCCTGCTCCCCATCCCATTCCTGACTTCCCAAATTGCAACTAAAACTATCAGTGAAATATCAGAATATGGGGAAATTATATGAGAAAGTTGAGAAAGAATGACACCCACATACCATTCATTCAGCAAGTTCCAGGCACTCCCCTGAGTGCTGTGCTGTATACTGTAAACGTTCAGCTATCTCTGCTAAATATAGAGGAGAAAGCATGAGCCTAATGAATAGGACTTTGAAATAGATATTCTCTTCCTGGGATCCTCTAATGAATGGTTTGTTTGAAAACCCACTCATCGACTGTGAGCTCCCTGACAATCTGTGCACATGCATACACACGGCCTCTCATAAATTTTTATCGTCTCACTTTAAAAAGTAAACTGAAAGAGCCAAGAGCAGTGGCACATGACTATTGTCCCAGCTACTCAGGAGGCTCAGGCAGAAGGATCGCTTGAACCCAGGAGTTTGAAGCTATGGCGCACTATGATCATGCCTGTGAAGAGCCATTGCACTCTAGCCTGGGCAATAGAGAGACCCCATTTCCAAAAAAAAATGTAAACCAAAAGAATTGAAATCAGGGACTTGAACTGATCTTTGTACACCCATTTTCATTACAATATTATTCACAATAATCGAAAGGTGGCAGCAACCCATGCCCATCAATGGATGAATGGATAAACAACTTATGGTCCAGACATATGATGGAATATTATTCAGCCTTGTAAAAGAATGAATTTCTGATACTTGCTACAGCATGGGTAATCCTTAAAAACATTTTGCTGAGTGAAATAAGCCAGACACAAAAAGGATAACTATTGGATGATTCCACTTATATGAGGTACTTCAAATAGTTAAATTCTTCGAGAAAGAGGAATCATGTTTACCAGGGGCTGCAGGGAGGGGGGAATGGGGAGTTAGAGTTTAATGGGTACTGAGTTTCAGTTTGAGATGATGAAAAAGTTCTGGAGATGCATGGCAGTGATGATTACACAACAATGTGAATGTACTTATCACCACTGAACTGTCTACTCAAAAATGATTCAAATGATAAATTTTGTATGCTGTATATTTTGCCACAGGAAAGAAAATGGCCAGCAAAGGATAACCAGACACTTGAAATGTCCTCTAATCGACAGAGAGAAAATGAAACTAGTATAAATAAGGGACCTGGGTTATGCAGAAATGACTCCAGGAGCAAAGGAAAGATCTACATCTTTATCTGGATCTGTATCAGCGTCTTTAGTAGAATGAAAGGAGATATTTCACCTGCCTGGACTGTGAATTGCAAAAGGAACAACATTCCACACAAAAGAATTGTCCAAGAACAAGGAAAGAACTTTTAGAAATTAAAGTATTTGAAGTCCTTGCCCATGCTTATGTCCTGAATGGTAATGCCTAGGTTTTCTTCTAGGGTTTTTATGGTTTTAGGTCTAAAGTTTAAGTCTTTAATCCATCTTGAATTAATTTTTGTATAAGGTGTAAGGAAGGGATACAGTTTCAGCTTTCTACATATGGCTAGCCAGTTTTCCCAGCACCATTTATTAAATAGGTAATCCTTTCCCCATTGCTTGTTTTTCTCAAGTTTGTCAAAGATCAGATAGTTGTAGATATGTGGCGTTATTTCTGAGGGCTCTGTTCTGTTCCATTGATCTATATCTCTGTTTTGGTACCAGTACCATGCTGTTTTGGTTACTGTAGGCTTGTAGTATAGTTTGAAGTCAGGTAGCATGATGCTTCCAGCTTTGTTCTTTTGGCTTAGGATTGACTACTTTAAAGTAGTTTTTTCCAGTTCTGTGAAGAGAGTCATTGGTAGCTTGATGGGGATAGCATTGAATCTATAAATTACCTTGGGCAGTATGGCCATTTTCACAATATTGATTCTTCCTACCCATGAGCATGGAATGTTCTTCCATTTGTTTGTATCCTCTTTTATTTCATTGAGCAGTGGTTTGTAGTTCTCCTTGAAGAGATCCTTCACGTCCCTTGTAAGTTGGATTCCTAGGTATTTTATTCTCTTTGAAGCAATTGTGAATGGGAGTTCACTCATGATTTGGCTCTCTGTTTGTCTGTTATTGGTGTATAAGAATGCTTGTGATTTTTGTACATTGATTTTGTATCCTGAGACTTTGCTGAAGTTGCTTATCAGCTTAAGGAGATTTTGGGCTGAGACAATGGGGTTTTCTAGATATACAATCATTCTAAAACACCAAAAGAAATGGCAACAAAGCCAAAATTGACAAATGGGATCTAATTAAACTAAAGAGCTTCTGCACAGCAAAAGAAACTACCATCAGAGTGAACAGGCAACCCACAAAATGGGAGAAAATTTTCACAACCTACTCATCTGACAAAGGGCTAATATCCAGAATCTACAATGAACTCAAACAAATTTACAAGAAAAAAACAAACAACCCCATCAAAAAGTGGGCGAAGGACATGAACAGACACTTCTCAAAAGAAGACATTTATGCAGCCAAAAAACACATGAAAAAATGCTCACCATCACCAGCCATCAGAGAAATGCAAACCAAAACCACAATGAGATACCATCTCACATAAGTTAGAATAGTAATCATTAAAAAGTCAGGAAACAACAGGTGCTGGAGAGGATGTGGAGAAATAGGAACACTTTTACACTGTTGGTGGGACTGTAAACTAGTTCGACCATTGTGGAAGTCAGTGTGGCAATTCCTCAGGGATCTAGAACTAGAAATACCATTTGACCCAGCCATCCCATTACTGGGTATATACCCAAAGGACTATAAATCATGCTGCTATAAAGACACATGCACACGTATGTTTATTGCGGCACTATTCACAATAGCAAAGACTTGGAACCAACCCGAATGTCCAACAATGATAGACTAGATTAAGAAAATGTGGCACCTATACACCATGGAATACTATGCAGCCACAAAAAATGTAGAGTTCATGTCCTTTGTAGGGACATGGATGGAATTGGAAATCATCATTCTCAGTAAACTATCACAAGGACAAAAAACCAAACACTGCATGTTCTCACTCATAGGTGGGAATTGAACAATGAGAACACATGGACACAGGAAGGGGAACATCACACTCTGGGGACTGTGGTGGGGTGGGGGGAGGGGGGAGGGATAGCTTTAGGAGATATACCTAATGCTAAATGATGAGTTAATGGGTGCAGCACAGCAGCATGGCACATGTATACATATGTAACTAACCTGCACATTGTGCACATGTACCCTAAAACTTAAAGTATAATAATAATAAAATAAAAAAAGAAAAAAAAAGTAAAGTATTTGATAACTAAAATTCGATAATAGAATATGAAGTTGAGGGAATATCCAATATATAGGTGAAAAGATCAGGAGGTAGAAAATAGTGGAGAAAAGAAAAAAGTATTTTTAAGAAATTGCAATATCTAAATACTTGGACTTAAAACAGCAAAGAAAATAAAGAAAAGGAAGTCATTGAGGGAAATAATAGGAAAGCATTCTTCAGAATTGAAAGGCCTAACTCCAGATGGAAGGAGCCCATAAAATGTTACTCATGATGAATACTAAAAAGTCACACAAGGCACATCACTTTGAAATTTCAGAACCCCAGGGATTTTTACAAAAGGTTCTAAAAGTAACCACAGAGGAAAAATTAATAGGTCATATACTAAGAATAAGAAATCAGAAACACAATCTCTTATGAGCAACATTAGATGCTAGAATATAATGAATCAAAGCCTTACAAATTCTGAGGGAAAACTTATTGCCTAGAATTTTATATCCCCCTAAACTATAAATTGAGTATGATAAAGAATGTAGATGTTTTAAAACACATGTAAAAAACTGAAATTTTCCTTGCTTTGTGACCTTTTTTTAGCTATGAAGAAAAAAGGAAAACAGCAAATCTAACATAGAATAGTGAAGAAGTCACAGATAACAACTGTGCATTGTGGTTTTTGGTGCAGATTTAAATTCTGCAGTGGGATGTTAACGTCCTTATTTTTCTTGACGTCTAAGCAACAATCACTTTCATTATCTGATCTAATCTTTCCAATGAACCCTATGAAGTCAGTATGATTTTAACCTCCACATGAGCTAAAGGTTAGCTAGGCTGTCAGGTGGTAGAAAAGGTTTTGAGGGGAAGATAAGAACTTCTTTTTGATACACAAAACTTGACAACAGTTGAATGTATGGATCTGAAGCCTAGGATAGAGATCTGGGCTAGAGACAAAGGTTTTATAAGGGAAATAAAGTTATGGGAAGGAAAAATGAACTATGGAAAGTAAACATATTTTAGTTTTTTTGTTTTGTGTTTCATCAAAAGACAGAGCCTCACTCTGTTGCCCTGTTATCCAGGCTGGAGTGCAGTGTCATGATCATAGCACACTGCAGCCTCAAATTCCTAGGCTCAGGTGATCCTCCCACTTCAGCCTCCTGAGTAGCTGGGGCTACAGTCATGTGCCACCATGCCTGGCAATTTTTTAATTTTTTTGTAGAGATGGGGTCTTGCTACATTTCCAGGCTAGTCTCAAACTCCTGGCCTCAAGAAATCCTCCTGCCTCAGACTCCCAACCTGCTGGAATTACAGGCATGAGCCACCGCACCCGGCCAAAAGTCAACATATTTTAAAAATCAAGAGTTTAAAACCATAAGAGAAATGATAATAAATAAGATAATAGATCAGAACCGATAGACTAGAAATAGTAATCAAAGCTATCTTAGAAGAAAGAATGTGTGACCTGTAGGCATAGTGGAAGCTACCAATGAAAAGATTTTTGTTACATAGCTGGAAAAATAAGTGAACAGAGACCAAGGGCAAGAGCTTTCTTAGTTAAGGTGCTGTATTAAAAAGACAGAGAGATAAGAACATGTTTCCAGACAGAAAATACTGGTTACTATTAAAAGAATCAAGCTCCCCACTAGTCTTATAGTTCTATGGGGAGGAATTTTTATGAGAATAACACTCCTGGCCTTTTTCTCTACCTCATGATTTCTCTGCATAAGAAGAGCAGCAACTTATAAGTGAAAAAAAAAAAAAAAAAGAACAGTAAGATAAGTGCATTTGAGAGAAGTAACTAGAGAAGTAACTATACTAAAGACTCAGCCCTTGCCCCTGTCTGATCAGGTCTATCAGCTGTAGGAAGTATGCCCCTATCTCCTTACCTGCCAGGTGGTAACAGTCCAGCCCACAGGGTAGAGCCAAGCAGTGGTACTCATGACTATGCCCAGGAGTCTGCCAATTTTAGGAGGTAGGGGTTAGTAAGTCCATTTGGCCACAGTTCTAAAGCCTCTTTCTCCAATCAGCTTTAAGGTAACACAACTAACATTTTGATTTTCCTTTTTCCATCTCCTGTGTTCTCAAGTTTATCCCAAAGTATGTAACCCAAGTCAGTACCAACTTGGGAGGGAAAGAGGAAGTAACTTAAAACACCAATGGTTACCCACAGAAGATTACAAATACATGAGAAGACAGTAGCAAAGTTCACCAAGTGCTGGTTCTTAGGCAAAATATAGCTCAGGTGTGTGTGCTGTTTGCTGATTTTACTTGGCATGTACAATGTTTGAAGTGGCCATATAATTAGGCAGGCACGATATTTGATTGTAACACACCTTTCTCCTGGGCATCACATTTAGGTTTCCCACATAATGGATGTAGAATTTGAGTTTTCTACCCCTCCAATACAGCAATGTTGACAGAATCAAAAGTTAAATAGAATTAGGTAGATATATAAGTACCAATATGGCTAGACCTCCAAGCCAACTGTTGACTGAAAATGCAGAACAATTGCATACAGGTCTTTCTAGAACCTTGTGGGATCTTTTTATGTATTCATATTCTGAACTTCACGTTCATATGCCTATGGACCTGAGAGATGAAATCCCTGTCTTCTCTTACATTCCAGTAAAGTTCATTCCGGTGAATTTACATTCCAATAGGTGAGGCAGCCAATAAACGACATAATGGAATACATATGTAATATGACAGAAATTGATAAATTAAGAATAAATAAATTGGAGCAAGGGCTCCCTCTCTCTTCCTGAGGTTGTTTCTGAGCTCTTGGTGCTTCGTATAGGGCAGAACCATCCTATGTGGAGAGAGAGGCACAATGCTGAAAGGAACTTTGATAAACTGCCAAACCACCTTCCCAAATGGCCATACTGATTTATAATCCCCCTAGCAGTGAGACTACAGATATTCCCCAATTTGAAAGACACAAAGTATTGTATCCATTTTCACTTCCTTGATTAATTTGTGGTTGATTTCTTGTTGTTCTTGGCCCCCTTTTCTACTGGGTTGTCCAGCCGATTCGTATTTCACATTCACAGACCCAGTTTCCAGTTCCAAATTTGTTGGTCCCCCCCATGGTGCTTTTACCAGAATCCCTACTGGAAAGTAGATATGAAGCTCTCCTTAATCAAGTATGATTCAATCACTCAACTTGTAAATACCATTGGATGACAATTTGTAATGCTTCTTCCTAGACTCAATTAGGTGATTTGCCAACAAGATGTTATTTAAACCTTATTACATGAAAAGGTAAGTGATAGTATCGTCACTGCACAGATAAGCAAACAGTCGAGATAAATTACTTTACTTCAAGGTCCCACAACAAATAATTACAGAAGCCAGAACTCAAAACTGTGTCTGATGATCTGTAAAGCAATGCTCATCTCCCATCAGTACATTCCTCATTAGACATGGAGCACAAAAGTGACTCTGCAACAGCATTGGCTGTTTCAAATTTTAGCTAAATTCAGATTGGCACTGGATGCAGCTCACAAAAATAAAGTTTTTGCAGTTGATCTTCTTAGCTCATCTTCCACCCCCAATCCAATGCTGTTTTATCTCTGAAAAACAAGATCTCTCTTTCCATCCAGGTTCTAGGCCCATCCTCCCAATTCTAGGTCTTAAATTGCCCTCAACATAGCTTGACATTAGTCCAGATTATTTTCATAAAATTGTCTTCAATTGTTACTTCCTGGAAAATACCTAACAGAGATTTTTTTCAGTTTTCCACATCCTTTTCTTCTGTACAAACATTCATTTAAACATGTTTAAAATCAAATTTACATGTCAGTTTCTCAGGTCCCAGACAAATGGTTACTCAGATTATCATGTAAAGTTTAACATCACAGACTCCTAAAACATTGAAGCTGCAAGGAATTGCAGAGTCAACCCAGCCCAAGGATGGCCAGCAGGGTCTATAACTGGAAGCAGGTGCCAGGGAAGCTGGGGTTGCATCCAGGCTCTTCAGGAAGGAGTGCTGTGCTCCATTAGTAATGTCTGCCCTGGACAGCTGCAGGAACTCAAGCCTCTGGGGCAGCTGCTGGAAAATGTTGATGTGAAAGAAACACTAAAACATCACTGGGATAGACTAGTTAAATGTAATTTGTTCCACTCCCACCAAAGCAGACAGCACTCTGAAGTGAAACTTTTAAAAGCACATCTCTGCTTATGTCTTTTGCAACTTGCTCATGAAGTCCCACTTTGTTAAAATTCTCAATTGAAATATTTCATGATATAGTGCCTTTTGCCCAGAAGAAGAAATTTGTTTTATTAAATACATTTCAAAGGTTGTAATATAACTCCCAAGAAATGGACTAAAGAAATCAGGGGAGAGAACAAGAACACACAAAAAAGGGAATATTTTAGGGAGTTTTTCAGTGACTCTGATTAGCCTTGTTGAAGTAAACTAGCAAATATAATTTTTATTAATACAATTTTTTTTTTTGAGATGGAGTCTTGCTCTGTCACCCAGGCTGGAGTGCAGTGGTGCGATCTCAGCTCACTGCAAGCTCCGCTTCCCGGGTTCACACCATTCTCCTGCCTCAGCCTCCCGAGTAGCTGGGACTACAGGCACCAGCTACCACGCCCGGCTAATTTTTTGTATTTTTAGTGGAGACAGGGTTTCACCATGTTAGTCAGGATGGTCTTGATCTCCTGGGCTCGTGATCCACCTGCCTCGGCCTCCCAAAGTGCTGGGATTACAGGCGTGAGCCACTGCTCCTGGCCAATACAAATTTTTTTTCTTTCAACTTCTCTATCCTCCCTAGATAAATAAATATTGAACAACTTTGTAAGTAATATTGGTTGGATGAGGGCCAATTAGTCTGGAGTGCCCACACATCAACATCTGGCCCTGCTGCCTGGTGTGTGGGAGAGAATGTGTGTGCCATATATTTATTATCCTTAATATCATCCAAATCCTACATTTTATGGAGTAGGAAACTGAGGCTCAGTTAGACTGAGCCATTTATCCATAAACATGCAACTAGTTAATGGTGGAGCTAGAATTTGAATTGGCGCCAATCATAATCTCTGATGTGGTTTGGCTCTGTGTCCCCACCCAAATCTCATCTCGAATTGTAATCCCCATAATCCCCACGTGTTGAGGGAAGAACCTGGTGGGAATTGATTGGATCATGGAGGTGGTTTCCCCCATGTTGTGCTCATGACAGTGAGTGAGTTCTCACGAGATCGGAGGCTTTATAAGTGTTTGACAGTTCCCTTTTCACAGGCTCTCTCTCACTTGCCACCGTGTAAGATGTGCCTGCTCCCCCACTCTTCTGCCGTGATTGTGAGTTCCCTGAGGCCTCCCCAGCCATGCACAACTGTGAGTCAATTAAACCTTTTTCCTTTATAAATCACCCAGACTTGGGTAGTATCTTTATAGCAGTGTGAAAACAGACTAATACAGTCGCTAAAGACAGAATTCCCAATGCTTAAATCCTGAAAGCCAAATTCTGGGGAAGGGATTAGTGTGCTTTCAGTTGTATTAGGGATAGTTGCATTATGTTAGTGGCTTCACATTAGGTGGAACTGACACCTTGCTATTGTCTTTATTTGCAAATTAAGTATGGTTTAAAGAGATGCATACAGTCGCCAAGTTGACAAGGGGTGGATTTGTCAACCTAATTTTAGGTGTCAACTTGATTGAATTAAGGAATACCTAGAATCCAGATAAAGCATTATTTTGGGTGAGTCTGTAAGGGTGTTTCCAGAGGAGAATAGTGTGTGAATCTGAGTGGAACGGGTGGGGGAAGATCTGCCCTCAGTGCTGGCAGGCACCAGGCAGTTGGCTGGGGGTCCAGAGAGAAAAATGTAGACAGCAAACTGAGAGCTGGGACAGACTTTTCTTCTGCTGCCTGGAACGTCAGAAATTTGACTCCACCAAAGTGCATCATCGCAACATTGACTTTGTGTGTCAGCGTCATGCCTGTAATTAATAACGTTGAAACTTCCTCAGTAAATGAAGAGATGTCCTCTATGTGCATCTTCATTTGTGAAAGGCAAAATTTCTCAAGATCTTTGCCCTTTGGGTGATTGCATAGGCAATGGTGACTCATCACTGTTTTTGATGGATTTCATTGAAAGACTTAGGTTGCTTGTCACGGTATTTCAGGTGAACACAGGTATAAAGCTGGATGCACGCAACACCATCCATAGTAATATGTATCTATATATTTCACTTTTTGACATGATTCTTTATGAATATGGTTCATCTGCTGCTCATGTCATATTCATGTGACTGTAGTTAGTAAGCCTGGGTGTTTGTGCTTGCAATAATATGTATGTTGCTGTTGTCTATTTTGTTGTATCGAGTGGCCTGTGAAGTGTTCTGTTGTGTTTTTGTGTTTCTTAAATACATCCTCTTTTTAAAAATGTAAATAAATATCTTTTTTCTTTTTTTTTTTCGAGACAGAGTCTTGCTCAGTCACCCAGGCTGGAGTGCAGTGGCGCCATCTCGGCTCACTGCAACCTCCGCCTCCCAGGTTCAAGCGATTCTCCTGCCTCGGCCTCCTGAGTGGCTGGGATTACACGCACCCACCACTATGCCTGGCTAATTTTTGTATTTTTAGTAGGGATGGGTTTTCACCATGTTGGCCAGGCTGGTCTCCAACTCCTAACCTCATGATCCACCGCCTTGGCCTCCCAAAATGCTGGGATTACAGGCATGAGCCACTGTGCACGGCCTGATAAATATCTTTTAAATAATTTTTTAAATTAATTTTTTAAGAATCATGTTTTTGGGATTTTGATCTTTCAGGATTGTGATGTTCAGGGTTTCAACCATCAGATTTACGGCATTCAGGATTGTGTCTTTTGGGATTATAGCCCAAGCCCATTTGTAATCCATTTCTGCTGCCTCTTGGTTTAGTACTTTAACCCTAGCTCATTGTTCAACAAGTAGACATAGATTTAGGAGACAGAACTGAAATGGCACAGACTTGGGTGGTCCTAGGATGCTCACAGCCTGATAGCAGAGGCAAACCAGCAACTCCACAAGCCCCTTGGCTTTCCTGAGGAATGCAGTCAGAGGTCTTTAAAATCCCCAAGTTCACCATTGCATTTAGACCCCTTCACTCCCCTACCAGCACTAAAAGTCAACTTCCTTTCTGGAGTCTTTTTAGGACAAAGAAACTTATCTTTAACACCTCATGAGAGTTATCCTGTACCGAACAATAGAGAGCCACAAAATAACCAAGCTCATTCCTGCCTTGGGGTCTTTGCACCAGCTGTTTGCTCTGGTAGGAACGTCACCTCCCCTCCGTCTTCACATGGCCAGCTCTTGTCATTGCAAGTTTCTTTTCTTAATTTGTTTTTAATTGTGGTAAAATATACATAATATAAAGTTTGCCATTTTTACCATTTTTAAGTGTACAAGCCAGTGGCATTAAGTATATTGACAATGTTGTGCAACCCTCACCACTATCTCTTTCCAAAAGTTTTTATCACCCAAAACAGAAACTCTGTACCCACTAAGCAATACTCCCTATGCCCTCCCTACCCCCAGCACCCTGGCAGCTCTGTGTCACCTTCTGCCCTGATTTAACAGGGCTCTCTTTATCCCCAAGGATAAAACCACACATCTCTCTGAGAGAGCCTTCTTCCCACTGATCTCCGCCCTCGGGGATTGTAGAAAAATGTCAGTGATGCCTCCAAGTATTGGTAGCTTGGCCAATTTAGTGGGAGCAGGAGGAATGCTGAGCACATTGATAGAAAAGGAACAGAGAAGGCAAGAGAAGAAAGGGATGGGAGTGGATGGCACTGCTGCCGAAGAAAGTGTAAAGTGAAATAAAGTGGGTTAGCACAGAGACACCAAGAGAGGAAAAGAAGCCAAATGAGGCAATGAAAGAGAAATCTAAGTGGGAAGAGAGCTGGGACAGAACATTGCCTTGGAAGTCCACAAGGTTGAAAATGTGTATTAAGAATCACATGCTTCATAACTGTTGAATAGCCTGAGGCCTGAAGGTGGTGGCAGAATTTCAGAATGAGGAAATCCTTGGTGACTTTAGGAAGTTCATTTTCAGTATGGAGGTGGCAAAAAGAAGATGGATTGACATAGGCTGAGATTTGAATACAAGCAGAGGGAGCAGTGGCTCTCAGCCATGGCTGCACATTAGAGATACTTGGGAAGATTTTGAAAATGCAAACGCCTGGGCCCCAAACCTACAGATTCTGGTTTAATTGTCCTGGGATAAGGAATAATCATGGGGATTTTTTTTTTTTTTTTTTTTTGACAGAGTCACCCAGGCTGGAGTGCACTGGCACAATCTCAGCTCACTGCAACCTCCACCTTCCGGATTTTAAGTGATTCTCCTGCCTCAGCCTCCCCAGTAGCTGGGATTACAGGCACGCGCCACCATGCCTGGCTAATTTTTTGTATTTTTAGTAGAGACGACGTTTCATCATGTTGGCCAGGCTGGTCTCGATCTCCTGACCTCAAGTGATCCACCCTCCTTGGCCTCCCAAAGTGCCGGGATTATAGGCCTGAGCCACAATGCACACCCAATCATGGAGATTTTTTTTAAAGCTCCCCCATAGGATTCCACTGGGCTGCAAAGGTGAAGGACCAGTGGACGAGTGATTAAGAGAGGAACCTACAAGGCAGATCTTTGAAAAGGAAGCAAAGTAGAAAGAAATGGGGGAAAAGCATGTGAAAGGGGAAATGAATACATAATTGTATGTGCTGGGCGAAAGCCCGGAGAAAGAAAGAGACAGTGAAGATGTGAGAGTAGAATAATTTCAGATATAATGATGAAGGAAGTAAAAATATAGACAAATTTAGAAGTAAAAACTTAGAAGGGACATACATGAAATAAATCACTTCTGATGACCTCCATATTCTCTGCAGAGCCTCGGCTGGGAATAGGGGGTGATGGTGGGTTGGGTGAAGCAAGGGGAGGTCAGGGCAGCCACAGAAAGGAAAGGGAGAGAAAGTCAACAAGAGATGATTAGAAGATGACTGAGCAGGGTTGGCAGCACAGCTGAGGCTGGGAAGCTCATAAATTTGTAATGGAACCAATTCAGCATGGTTATGTGATTTTTCTGCAGCATTGGAAGGCACAGAGGGAGAAAAGAATCAGTTGGATTGACATAGCATTGGGGATGGAAGGGAGGCACAGCTGTGGAAGGAGGACAAGGAGACAGAGGAGATGGGGGCATGGATGAGAGTGCCCTTGCAGGGACGGGTGATTAAATCTAGCTGAGGAAGGGGAGAAGGGCAAGGCCAAGTGAGGTCTGACAGCCTGTAAAATCACGTGCCAGTTACATCAGAACACATATTTCGGTATAAGGTTTTGTATTTGTAGGTTTTGACTAGATATAAATCAGGGTTCCCCAGAGAAACAGAATCAATAGATATAGATAGATATTGATATAGATACAGATATATATAGAGAGAAGAATGTTTATAATTAAGAACATTTATAATAAAGAACATTTATAATATATCATGTATATATATGATTTATTATGACGTTATTGTAAAGAACTGGCTCACACAATTAGTGGCTGAGAAGTCCCATGATTGGCCATCTTCAAAGACCCAGGAAAACCAATGGTGTAAATTCCAGTCCGTGTCCAAAGGTCTGAGCACTGATCGTGTCCCAGTCCAAGTGCACAAGACCAATGTCTCAGGCAGAAAGAGAGGGAGAGTTCAACCTTCCTCTGCCTTTTTGTTCTTTCTGGGCCAACAGGATGAGCCATGCCTCCCCTCCCCACATTGGGAGGGGTCTTCTGCTTTACTCAGCCTACCAACTCAAATGCTAATCTCTTCCCTCACAGACACACTCAGAGATAATGTTTAGCCAGATATGTGGGCATCCCGTAGTCCTGTCAGGTTAACACATGAAATCAACCATCACAGACTTGATAACAGTAGCTCTCATTGTAACCCTTGGTATTTATGCACCAGGCATCATGCTAACAGCTTTACATGTAGGGTCTCATTTAGTACTCTCTCACTTTGCAGAAGAGTAACTGCAATTCAGAAAAGTCAGATTACTGTGGACTTCTCTGACTCTAAGACTCAGGCCCATGAATGTGTGACCCAAAAGGGTTGCAGAGCTAGACTTCTGAGCATATAGATTTTGCAGGTTGGGTCATCCCAAGTGATGGGGAGGAACAAGGTATAGGAGGTGACAACAGGACTGGATTGGTGAAGTGAATGGAAGCTGAGTCGTTGACAATGAGGAAGTCAGAGCCGTCTGTGGCCAGAGAATGGAATGCTTCAACAACAAGGATGTGAAGTTATGCCAGTGGTCCAAGAGTCAGGGACCTCAGAGATCACAAGGAAAATTTAACTTCCCAGAAGCGGTAACGTGAAGAAGAACCAGCCTAAAGCCAACTGGAATAAATGTTTAAAGGCCAGGGAGACTGAGACTTGGCAAGAGGTGGCATCTCTCTCTTTGCGGGTTCTCAGTTGTGGTGAGGGTCCCCAGGACCACCCTCAGGTTCAGTGATTCACTAGAAGGACTCACAAAACTCAGAAAAGCTGTTATATTCATGGCTATGGTTTATTACACTGTAAGGATTCAGATTCAAAATCTGCAAAAATAAAATAAAAATGGCATAGGGTGGCGTACAAGAGAAACCAGACATGAGCTTCCAGTTGTCCTCTCTCAGTGGAAAAACACAGACAGGGCTTAATTGTCTCTGCAATGATACGTGCCTATGCACAAAATATTACCAGCCATGGAAGCTCACCCAAGCCTTGATGTCCAGGATTTCTATGAGGGTCAGTCATATAGACGTGGAGCACCCACGTGGTATACAAAGACATTCTTATCAGGCAGAGTATTCCAAGCATTTCAATCACTTACATTCTGATAATGCCTCTTGAGCAGAGAAGAAAGTAAATGGTTCCCTTACACCTAGCATTCTAGGCCATGGACAACACTCAGCTTGTCTTCTCCATGCTGCAGTCCAGTCTAATATTCGTGAGTGCCTCTTGTTTTACAATTCTCAATGAGTAACTCTTTTGTAGAGGGATATTCTATTAGAGATCACCTATGAGAGTTTTGCCTGGGGACTGCTTTATGCCTACCTTTCCTTGACCAATGGGGAGGCCATTCTATTCCAACTGCCGTTGGGGAAGGGTGTTACATCAGCAAAAAGGAAAAAGAAAAAAAAAATCATGCTTAGATTTCCTTTTCCAAATGAACATTTGAACTTATGGCAGAGACAAAAGTTTGACAGGAAAGGGATTTTGGAATTCCAAAGCAGAGCCTAGTAAGACTCAGGGCCTAAAGTTTAGTTAAGCAAAAAGATTTCATGACCAGTCAGAGCCAGCTTTTACCTCCACTCATATTAGATTAAAATCTCTTAAGTAGAAAGAGGGTGAAACTAGGAGTGGTCTGAGAGAAGCCTCTGTGTCCTGATCCTCTGGGGTCAAGTCCATGGTGCTGGGAAGAACCATAAGCCCAAGAGCAGAAGGAACCCACACTTACCTGCTTAGCAGGGCTGAGGCAAATAAGCAAGGTCTGGGAATTCTCCATCTGTATCCTACCATGGAGCCACAGTGATGGAGAATTGGCCTGAAGGGTCCGGGGAAACAGGCTTGACCTCCCAGGCCCCATGCAGTAAAAAAAAGTAGGTCAGATGCTTCCCATTTAATGTTTTTTTTTTTTTTTTTTTTTTTTTTTGAGACAGAATCTCACTCTGTCACCCAGGCTGGAGTGCAGTGGCACCATCTCAGTTCACTGCAACCTCCACCCCCCAGGATCAAGCAATTCTCAATTCTCGTGCCTCAGCCCCCTGAGTATCTGGGATTACAGGTGTGTGGCATCATGCCTGGCTAATTTTTGTGTTTTTAGTAGAAACAGGTTTTTGCCATGTTGACCAGGCTGGTCTCAAACTCCTGGCCTCAAGTGATCTGCCTGCCTCGGCCTCCCAAAATGCTGGGATTACAGGCGTGAGCCACTGCACCTGGACTCCCATTCGATTTTTAGGGTTGATGAGCCCTAATGTCCCCTTGTTGTCTTGTGAGGCTGCAAAGTGAACTTTATGGACTAACCACCAGGGAAAAGATGAAAACTTGGATATCGCAAAGGAGGTCAGCAAAATGGGCATTGACAACAGAGCCAATGGGAGTGAGGATGTGGTAGAGATGCAGAAGAGAAGACGTGATGGCCAAGAATCAGAAACAATTCCCAACGGCTTCCTGGTAGTCAAGTCTCCTCGAAATTAAATACAATTGTGGAGGGAGGAGGAAAAGGGGGAGCTGTGATCTGATTGAGAAAAATGTTGAATTAATTAGTTTTCCTAAAACGGCTAAGATTAAACATTCATTGTCAGTGACATGGAGCTGGAGGTAGAAATCAAATTCAGTTATGGAAATAAAAAGATAATTGTCTTTTATTTTGCAAACCTGAGTTTGAGGTCTAGGAAATGAGCACTTGCCACATTTTAAACTCTTGAAAATTCAGAGATGGGAGGATAGGTAACATCATTGGTAGTAGCAGGAGCAGCAGGATTTTTTTCATGCTATGTATATAGATGTCAGTTTCTCCAAATCGAATTTTGGGATGCATTGTTCTGACCATGGAGCACATCTATAAGGGACTGCCTTCAAAAACGTGAATAGTGTGTGCCTAGGATATCTTGTTTCTGCATCAAGAGCACAACCATTCCTGAGCAGGCAGATATAGTGACCGTGCATTTCAAAAGGGAAGATGTGTACAACTTCTAGATGTGTGAAATTGTCTCAGAGATGCAGACTGGGCCCAAAACTGTTGGAATATCTGAAACAATTCATGGAATAAATCCAAACTCCCTAGTACGGAAAACAAAGCTTTTCAGTCTGTGACCTTGCTTTCCTGACCCACCTCTCTGAGGCTTTCCAGCGGCACTCTGGTCACGATGAGCACTGGAAAGCCTCTAAACCTGCTGTGTGCACCTGCTTCGGGGATTTTGCACAGCCCATTCCCTTTGCTTGAATTGTCATCCCCACCCTTGTTGTTCTGGCTACTCCTATTTATCCTTCGTGTCTCAAATTGAACTTACCTCTTTGTCTTAATCAGTTTGGGCTACTATTTTTAAAAAAATACCATAAACTGGATTGCTTAGAAACTATAGAAACTTGTTGCTCACAGTTCTGGAGATTGGGAAGTCCAAGGTCAGTGTGCTGGAAGATTCAACGTCTGGTGAAAGCCCCCTTCCTGATTCACCAACAGTGCCTTCTGGCTATGTCCTTACATGGTGGAAAGGATGAGGGGTCTACTTCAGACCTCACTTATAAGGGAACTAATCCCATTTATGAAGGCTCTGCCTTCCTGACCTAATCATCTCCTAGAGGATCCACTTCTTAATGCTTTGGGGATTAAGATTTCAACATATATTTGACTTCCTCTCATTATTGGGTATACACCCAAAGAAATATAAACTGTTCTATTATAAAGACACATGCACGTGTATGTTCATTGCAGCAGTACTCACAATAGCAAAGACATGGAATCAACCTAAATGCTCATTAATGGTAGACTGGATAAAGAAAATGTGGTACATATACACCATGGAATACTATACAGCCATAAAAAAGAATGAGATCATGTCCTTTGCAGGAATATGGATGAA
This sequence comes from Homo sapiens, assembly GCF_000001405.40. NCBI lineage: Eukaryota > Metazoa > Chordata > Mammalia > Primates > Hominidae > Homo > Homo sapiens. The sequence goes on along the minus strand of NC_000017.11, from coordinate 10,889,895 downwards.
GCTGGAGGCCATTATCCTTAGCAAACTAATTCAGGAACAGAAAACCAAGTACCACATGTTCTCACTTATAAGTGGGAGCTAAATGATGAGAACACATGGACACATACAGGGGAACAACACACACTGGGAACTACCCTAGTGTGGAGGGTGGGAGGAGGGAGAGACTCAGGAAAAATAACTAATGGGTACTAAGCTTAATACCTGCGTGATGAAATAATCTGTACAACAAACTCCTGTGGAACAAGTTTACCTCTGTAACAAACATGTGCATTTACCCCTGAATTTAAAATAAAAGTTAAAAAAAAAATTTTAACAAAAAAAGACTTCAACTTATGAATTCTGAAGAGACACAAACATGCGGACCATAGCACTCTTTCAAAAAGCCTTCCCAAACTTTCCCAAAGTGGTTTTATTGCCCTTCCCATGAACTCCCATGGGATCCTGAGTTTTCCCTGGCTGTAGCAGAACTTAGAAGAATGTATTTAATTGTCCATCTACTTATCCATCTCCCTCACTAGACTGTCAGCTACTTGAGGTGTATCTTGATCATCATCACATTCCCAGAGCCTAACGCTGCCCATGGCAACAAGATTGTGCCCAATAAATACTTATTACCTCAACAGGGTTAATGACTCATAGAGAAGGAATAGCTTTGACCTGAACTACTTTAGAAAATCCAGGCTTACCAGCCCACTTCCCAAAGGGAAATGGCCCCTAGCAAATAGACATCAGAATCAGGGTTGTGGCCAAATAATTTTTCTTCACTTATTCCCTGGCAGAAATTAACACCCTGAGCAGCAGTGTGATACTTCTTATTCTTGGAGGAAGAGAAATCCCCCAGGGTAGTTAACCCAAATCAACAGGTGCACAGCCGCTGTCTCTGGAGGGTCTGTTTGTGCCACTGCCAGAAGGCAGAACCTCAGCATCCCCATTCCTGAGGCTACGGTTCAGAGACTGGGCTGTTGGGGTTGACTGTGTGGGCACTCCCCAGGGGCTCGTTCTCTGCTCGGAGGCTTTTGTTATGAATGTCCTGAACAGAAAGACTCACTGGAAACCTTTCCGATGGAGGGTCTACGCTGGGCACTCACAGAGAGCATATGATTTAATCCTCACAAAAACACTGAGAGATAAAACCATTACTCTCAGATTTATAGAGATAAAAACTGAGGCTCAGAGCAGTTAAATAACTCACTTGAAGATCACAGCTAGTCAGAAGGTAAGTTGTTCTTGAGAAAAATAAATAAACAACCTCCATCATGTGGCTGTTCTGTTTTTACACTGCTATGGCAAAAAAACATTCAATACCCCACTACCTGTTTCAAAAGCTTCCGGTGACCACACACACACACACACACACACACACACACACACCCCATTAAGAGTCCAGCAGGTGATAATTGGTGTTGCTACAGCATGAAAGAAAAAAGGGAACTGTGAAACTCTCCACTATCCTGGGAAAGAATCGGGCGTTTTATACTTTGTTAACCATGGTATAAGGTAAAGATTTAAGCAATAGTTTTCCATGCTTCTGATTTAAGTTTAAAATTTTCAGGAAGAGCAGAATGTGTCAGTTAGTTAGCTCTTTGCCTTTTTTTTTTTTTTGAGATTATGTAAGCTGTTTACTCTCACAAATACTCAGGTGAGTTTGAGTGCTGTTCACTGGCTCACCCATCGATATTTCATGCAGTCATTAATCGTTCACAGATTATTTATCCTCTGCACATGCCCTCTAATATTCCTTTATCTTAGTTGGTTGGCTTGAGTTATAAGTTCCAATGCCTACGAGAAGCAGACCCATAATATAGAAATTAAGAGTCCCCACCATCCCCATTTAACATAGCACTGGAAGTCCTAGCCAGAGAAATCAGGCAAGAGAAATAAATAAAAGGCATTCAAATAGGAAAAGAAGAAGTCAAGCTATCTTTGCTGATGATATGATTCTATGCCTAGAAAACCCTAAAGACTGTGCCAAAAGGCCCTAGAGCTCATAAATGACTTTGGTAAAGTTTCAGGATGCAAAATCAATGTACAAAAATCAGTAGCATTTCTATACACCAATAACATTCAAGCTGAGAGCCAAATCAAGAACACATTCCCACTTACAAAAGCCACAAAAGAATAAAATACTTAGGAATATAGTCAACTAAAGAGGTGAAAAATCTCTACAAAGAGACTTACAAAACACTGCCAAAAGAAATCACAGACTACACAAATAAATGTAAAAACATCCCAAGCTAATGGATTGGAAGAATCAACATCATTAAAATGACCATACCGCCCAAAGCAATTTACAGGTCCAACACTATTCCAAACTGTCAAAGTCATTTTTCACAGAATTAGAAAAAACTATTCTAAAATTCACAAGAAACCAAAAAAGAGCCTGACCATACTGCCCCAAGCAATCTACATATTCAGTGCTATTCCTATCAAGTGACTGATGTCATTTTTTACAGAATTAGCACAAAAAAATTCTAAACTTCATCTGGAACCAAAACAGAGCCCAAACAGCCAAGGAAATGCTAATCAAAAAGAACAAAGCTGGAGGCATCACGCTACCCAACTTCAAACTATACTATAAGGCAACAGTAATCAAAACAGCATGATACGGGTACAAAAATAGACACATAGACCAATGGAACAGAATAGAGAACTCAGAAATAAAGCTGCACACCTACAACCATCTGATCTTTGACAAAGTTTAGAAAAATAAGCAATGGGGAAGGGACTCCCTATTCAATAAATGGTGCTGGGATAACTGGCTAGCCATATGCAGAAGAATGAAACTGGACCTCTACCTTTCACCACATGCAAAAATTAACTCAAGATGGACTAAAGACTTAAAGGTAAGACCTCGAACTGTAAGAATCCTAGAAGAAAACCTAGGAAACACCATTCTGGACATTAGCCTTGGGAAATAATTTATGAATAAGTCCTCAAAAACAATTGCAACAAAAACAAAAATTGACAATTGGGACCTAATGAAACTAAAGAACTACACAGCAAAAGAAATTACCAACAGAGTAAACAGACAACCTACGCAATGGGAGAAAATACTTACAAACTATGCATCCAACAAAGGTCAAATATCCAGAACCTATAAGTAACTTAAATAAATCAACAAGCAAAAAACAAATAACATCCTTAAAAAGTGGGCAAAGGACATGGACAGACACTTCTCAAAAGAAGACATACAAGCAGCCAACAAACATATGGAAAAATGCTCATTATCATTAATCAACAGATTAATGCAAGTCAAAACCACAATGAGATAGCATCTCACATGAGTCAGAACGGCCATTATTAAAAAGTCAACAAACAGCAGATGCTGGAGAGGCTGTGGAGAAAGGAAAATGCTTATACATTGTTGGTGGGAATGTAAATTAGTTCAGCCACTGTGGAAAGCAGTTTGCAGACTTCTCAAAGAACTTAAAACAGAACTACCATTTGACCTAGTAATACCATTACTGGATGTATATTCAAAAGAAATAAATCATTCTACCAAAAAGACACAAGGACATACCATCCTGAACATGCCTGATCTCATCTGATCTCAGAAGCTAAGCAGGGTCAGGCCTGGTTAGTACTTGGATGGGTGACACATGCACGTGTATGTTCATCACAGCACTATTCACAATAGCAAAGACAGGGAATCAACACCAGTGCTCATCAGTGACAGTTTGGATAAATAAAATGTGATACATATACATCATGGAATGCTATGCAGCCATAAAAAAGAACAAAACCATGTCCTTTGAAGCAACATGGATGCAACTGGAGGCTGTTATCCTAAGCGAATTAATGAAGGAACAGAAAAACAAATACTGCATGGGAACTAAACAATGGGTATTCATGGACATAAAGAAGGGAACAATAAACACTGGGAACCACTAGAGGGGAAAGAGAGGGAGGCAAAGATTGAAAAACTACCTATTGGCTACTATGTTCACTATCTGCATGATGGGATCAATCATACCTAAACCTTAACATCATGCAACATGTCCAAGTAACAAACCTGAACATGTACCCCCTGATTCTAAAATAAAAGTTGAAAAAGAAATACATAACCACCTACGGGTGTTCCTAAGCAGAAAATAGAATCTCGCATTTATTTTGGCACCTAAAAAAAAATTGGGCTGAGTGCCTGTAATCCCAGCACTTTGGGAGGCTGAGGCGGGCAGATCGCCTGAGGTCAGGAGTTCAAGACCAGCGTGGCCAACATGGTGAAACCCTATCTAAAAATACAAAAAATTAGCTGGGCGTGGTGGTGGGTGCCAGTAATCCCAGCTACTTAGGAGGCTGAGACAGAAGAATCACTTGAACCTGGGAGGCAGAGGTTGCAGTGAGCCGAGATCACACCATTGCACTCTGGCCTGGGCAACAAGAGTGAAATTCCGTCTCAAAAAAAAAAAAAAAAAAAAAAAAAAATTGGTAGTCCCAAGAGGCTTACTTGGAGGGATATGTAATGACTTAAAGTATGTACTCCATCTGCAGGGGGCGCCATGACTCAACTCTAGCCAATGGTTGCTATGTAGAATGTCAGAGTTCCTGTGCCTGGGTCTTTTTATATTCCTCTGCCCACAAAAAAAAAAAAAAAAAAAAAAAAAAGTCATTAATCTGTAATTTTGCATGAAATTTCCTGATTTGCAAAACACTATGTGATCCAAACAGCATATGCCTGTGGGTAATTTTCTATCCAGTCTGTGACTCCTGTATGACCATCTGCAACAGACCCTAGGATCCAGGTCTTGAATTAGCTCACCAGAGAGCTGAACAGCACAGCCCATAATCTAAGAGCAGACAGCCCTGAGCAGGTGAGGATGGGCAGCTGTGGGGCACAGCGGCAGGAAAGTTCTGTGTCTGATGAAGTCTCAAGCATTGAGCCAAGGAAGAAAGGAACTATCTGTCCTGTCAGAAAACTACAATGCTCAACAAGTCCTTGTGGTCTCAATTTTAACATTTTTGGTTATCACTGCAACAGTAGCATCTGCTCGGGCAATATGAGACAGGACTCTGGGAACATTATGTGACACCTTTTATCTCAGCTCTGGGTGAGGTGAACTGCAAGTACAACTATTTACAGGCAAGACAATCACAGGTACAGAGGTGTGTCAACATGCTCGGTGAAATTCAGAGGGAATCTGACCAAGAGCTTAGACAGATTTCCAAAAGGGTAGTGTGAGGTGTTAGAAGAAGCAGAGCCGATAGGAAAACTCATAACAGCATGTGCCTCCTCAGAAGCATCTTTTGTTTATTTGGCAAGGATGCAGCAAGAGCTTGGCTAGACCCCAGGGATATGCCAGTGAACCACACTGACCATGTTCATCAGTGGAAGTCAAAGTCAAGAGGAGGCCCCTGAGTTCTGCACTGTCCAGGCAAGATCACCCTTCACCCAGCCCTGCCATTCTGACAGCAGGACTCCCTAAACTCATCCCTCAGTACCCTGCCTTTCATCCCCTAAACCTCTGTGAACCCCATAATCTGACTACCCCCAACTTCCCAAACCCACCCACTGGGTCACTGGAATGCATGATCTATTATCAGCAAAATCTCTTTATCTTCGATTGCAACTGTAAACATTCCCCTTACCTTTCTGCCCTCACCGAATAAGGGGGCCATCAAGAGCAGAATGTGATGGAAAAATAATTATATTAATAGCAAACATTTATATGTGCAACCACTGTCCCAAGTCTAGTGCAAGCACAGCTCCTATATCTATTGCCTGAACTTCACAACAATTCCGTAAGCCCATTACCATTCTATCTTTTGATGAGGAAACAGAAGCACAAAGAGGTCGATTAATTAACCCAAGATCACAGAATTGAGAAGTAGTGCATTAGAAACACAGGACTTGAATCGAGACAGTTGGAGCCCAAACCCTGTGTATGTAACCACTGTGATATACAGTAGTACAGAATGGTCTGTGGTCAAAGACACAACTCCAGGAAGCAGCAACAGAGGCAACAACAGGGAGGAAGCATTAGGAGGGCTCCGCATCCACTGGGTTCCAGAACTAGCCCCTAAGAAAATCTCAAAGCTCCCCGCAAAGACACCATTTCCCCTGCTGTCCTCTGAAAAGGCAGCTGATTTTTTCATTCCCATACCCCTTGTTCCACTGGGCCTGGAGGTGAGGCAGGGCTCCTTTTTGCCCATTACTCCTTTTTGCCCGTTACTGATCTTCCATACCACTGCCCCCAACACTCCCGGTTTTAAGGGTCATGCGGCCATACCGAACAACCCACTACCCTCCTTGTCATAGTCAACTATTGAGCCCTGTGTCATTCCCCTCATTTCTACAAGATCCCGGCACCTGGGTCATGGTCACCCTCTCCCATACTACCTCAGCTGTGATTCTCAGTGATTTTGCTTTCCATAGAGAAATCCCTGCAAAGCCCTGGACTGCCCATTCCATGACCTCCTCTTTTCTGGGGATTGTTTTCCTCCATCCTAACTCATCCACTCTCCCTTATAGTCATGCCCTAGACCTTTTTACACAAGTAACTGCACTCTGTTATCTCAATTCTAAGAATCCTACTTTCCAACCACCACTTCTCATTTTCAGTTTGCCAATTCCAAAAATTATTGACCCCTCTATAAACTAAATACATGATTATATCTAAATATATGATCAATACATGGTTGTACTGTCCCTCAACTCCTCCATTGCCTCACTCTTCTTATCCAGCTTCCATTCAAGTAGGTGCTGTTACCATTACTCCCCAGAACATACTCCAGCTCCTTTTTTCCTCACTCCCTAATTCTCACCTAGGAAAAAAAACCCTCAACCCTTATTAAATCTCACTCTCTAACTATTCTGAACCTTTATCCAAGCAGCTGAACTTAGTGGGAGAAAAATACGCAAGCATATTGACTGGCCTATTTCAAATGCATGAGATCCTACCTCAAGGGGCCCAAATGCTACCTTCCAATCCTACTCCATTTCGCAAGTCATCCATTTATATGCTTTTCTGCCTAGTGTGATTGGAGAAAATCCAATTAAGAGACTAAACTATTATTTTGTAACTTCTTTCTCCTCCTCACTCTGGACTAAGAAAATAGAAGCAATCAGAAGAAAATGTTGCAGGCTTCCACCAAGACATCTACCACCCTCAGGGCATTTGTCCTAGAAGCTCTGCATTCCCACTCAACATCACAGATGAACTGAAAGCTCTAATGCCAGCCCTTCTGCTTGAACCCTAGGTCCTCATTCTCTTTTTCAATAACAAGGTCATTGATCGGTCAGCCACGCTGTCTCCTGCACCATCAAATTTTCTCTCTCTTCTTGACCTTTTCCATCCAATGCAAAACACAAACCCTTTGCTCACCCTTTACCTACTTCTAGTTCCCACTCATTTCTCTGCTCTCCTTTGCAGAATGGTCTCCAATTTCTGACCTCTTTTTCCATCTTGAACTCAATGCTTTTGGGCTTTTTTGCCCATCACCTCACCAAAACAGCCCTTATCTAGGTTTCCAATACCTCCATGTTACAAAGCCCAATCATCAATTCTCGGTCTTCATCTTACTCAGTCTCTCAGAAACATTTGACAATTTTTGTCCCTACCTTCTTCCTGAAAGTCTTTTATGATTTGCCTCCAGGATGCTCTTTTCTCTAGAGTCTCCTTCTACATCACTGGCCACTCCTTCTTGGTTGTTTCTCCTGGTCCCTGCTCAGATCTCAGACGTCTGAACATCAATGGCCCCAGACCCAGCCCTCGGCTTTCTTTTCCCGGTCTACCCTTCTCACTAGAGACCTCTCTAAGACCTCTTTCAGGCTCATGGTGTTAAATGCAATTTACACTGATGGCTCCCAGGTTTATCTCTCCTGCTAGACCTCTCTCCTGAATTCCACATGCCTCAACCCAACTTTACATCTCAGCTGGATTCTTAACACACATCTCAAACTTTAAACGAACAAAACCCAACTCCTGAGTCACATACCTCCCAGTCACATACCTCCCAATTCTCTCTCTCTCTCTCTCTTTGTCTCTCTCTCTCTCTCTCTCTCTGTCTTTCTCCCCTTGCTCAAAAACAGCTTCCCGTCGCACTCAGAGTAAAAGCTAGGGCCACCTGCTACCTCTCTGATTTCATCTTCCACCACTCTCACATGGGATTATTCTGCAACAGTTGCATTGGTCTTCTTGCTGTTCCTTGAATATACCAAACATGTTCCAGCCCTCAAAACCTTTGCACTTTCCATTTTCTCTTCTTTAAATGCCCCTCCTCCCAGAGAGCTTCATGATATGGTCCTTCACTGCTTTCAGTCTCCGTTTTCATGCAACCTGATTTGAGAGACTTTTTCTGACAACTGTGTTAGGTAGCAATTCCCTTTGTCCCCATCCTGGAACCAGAATGGGAGTTCTGGGTGAGCAGGTTGTATCTGAAGGGCTTAAAACAGTACCTAGGATGTGTATAGGTAATTTGTAGCTATTTGTGGTAAGCTCCTGTCCTTTTGGAGCTCACACTTTAGTAAGACAGACAAACATTGAATAATTAATGACACATATAATTAATCCTATTGCTGAAATATGTTGTGAAGAATAATTATAGGCCAGGCATGGTGGCTCATGCCTGAAATCCCAACATTTTGGGAGGCTAAGGTGGGTGGGTTACCTGAGGTCAGGAGTTCGAGACCAGCCTGGCCAACATGGTGAAATCCCGCTTCTACTAGAAACACAAAAATTAGCCGGGTTTGGTGGCATGTGCCTGTAATCCCAGGTACTCAGGAGCCTGAGGTGGGAAAATCGCTTGAACTTGGGTGGAGGAGGTTGCAGTGAGTGAAGATCACACCACTGCACTTCAGGATAGGCAGCAGAGTGAGACTCCCTCTCAAATAAAAAAAAAAAAATTACAGAGTAAATTTAGGGTATACGAGTAGCATATTCAAGGATGTTACATAAAAAGGAATATGGCTTCCAGACCCTAAGCTATGGGAACTCTCTAACTCCTTAAGGATCAGAGTTACGTGTCTCTTAGAAAAAAAAGGATGACATAGACATATCCAAATTGACTTGTCCTAGGAATTTCCAATTCTCTAGCATTTATTTATCCAAATATCTCTGCCTCCACTTTTAGCCACATGTAAAGCATCCTCAAGGTAGGTGGCAGAGCAGAGGAGATACCCTGTATGCCCAACCCTTTAGTGATAGAGAGTTTTCAGTTTGCTCAGAGGCCACTGTACCTCCATAGCTTCCAGTATCCTGTGCTTGGACTGTGCCTTCCGTGTATCAACTTAAAGATGCAAGTAGACACATGAGACAAGAGGTTCCATTGCATTTGGTGGCACCTTCTACACTATAGACATAGTGAGAGCTTGATCAGTGATGGATGGGTGGATGGATGGAGGCGTGGACAGGTAGGGATAAAGTGAGGAAGACGTCAGATCATCCAGGTTTTCCTCACGCTGGTTCCTCAGGTTCCTTGCCATTCCCTGTGGAACAAGAAGACAAATTCAAGAAGAATCTATGCCAGCCTGGTGGTTAGATCCTCAATTCCCATACCTTGGAGTTGTAATGCCACGGAAAAGAAATTTCCACCAACACCCTCACCAACCAGCATCCTTCAGCCTTTTTTGGGACCATGGTGGTTAGGACATCATCTTGAATCAAGCTTCCTATCCTGGAGCCCAAAGGTGGCTCCTTGTGCTGTTGGTCATTATCATCACCTGTCATCATAGGCTTTGTGAGTCAGTTCCTTGACCTCATCTTTTCCACTGATTTTTTTCCTCCATCCTAACTCAGCCACTCCCTCTATAGTCGTACCCCAGATTCATTTTATAGAAGAGGCAGGGGGAAAATGAAGGTCAGAAAAGGTAAAGTGAAATGCTCAAGGTCAACATCAAGAATTAATGAGAAAGGTGGGACTTGATTCAAAGTTGCCAATCCCTTAACAGCACTGCAACACCCTCTAGGAAATGTGCTCTGTATCCAGCCCCCACGCCTGGTACTTTGCATGCAAAGTTGCTGCTAGGGGATGAGCCAGGTTCCCAGTGAACAACCAACCCTTGGTCCTTCCGCCGGGGCTGAGCCCAAGTTAAGCAGACACTGAGCTGGGAAAGGGCGGGGAGAGGAGATTCTGCTCTGCTTCTAGATCATACTCCTTCCCAAAAAGATTGCAAAAAGAAAGCAACTTAAAGCCAGTATCCATCCAGCCCTTAAGCCAGAGGTTATGTGTTTGCCCGGGGGATGGAGTATAAAATAGCTGCTGGATGTGCACCACGTTTATCTTGTTCTCTGTGCCCCCGGAGTGTGCTGTTTACTTTCTCACTGGAGGTGCAATTATTTAATGAGGTGCTGAAGCCTGGGGAAGATTGCACATTTTAATCAAAGCACCAGAGGAGCAAGTCTAGATGACTTTACAAAATGTATTTGAGGCGAATTTTGCACAGCAATGTCTGGATATCAGGTAATTAAGTGAAAGGGGAAATAACTTCCCAAGGGGTGTAAACAAACACACCAAGTCAGTCTCATTTCAGTGTTATGCTGAGTGGGGAAAATGGATTTCGGAGTGGACCGTGGACTGCAACAGGGCTGCTTCCTCCAATGTCAAAACAGGCTTTGTGAGGCTGGGAGCTGCGGGGCCATGGTGCCTCCTACAGGTTGAGGGGAAAAAACAACCCTCAGAGAAAGTCTTGTCGAATTTCTTCAGTTAGAGGAGGAAGAGGAAGCCTGAAGCCTGGAAGGGCAAAGTGACTTCCTCAAGGTCGCATGGCTGTTTAGGGGAGGAGCAAAGACCAGACTGGTTTTCTGACCCTCAGTCCTGTGTTGCTTCCAGTCCACCAGGCCAATGCTACCCAAATGTCAGCTACTGGGAACAACAAAAGAAATAATAATAACAACCCAGTGACATCTAAAATAATGAGAGCTAACATGTATAAGTGTGTGTGCCAGGTGCTATGTCTTGTATGATGTCTCCATTTCTCATTAGATAGCTCCCCAAGACCCCAGGAAGAAGATACTATTATCCTCAGTCTAGAGGTGAGAAAACAGAAGCAGAACATTTAAGAAACCAGCCCAACATTACAAGTAGAAAGTGTCGTAGAGCAAGTGCCAGGCACAGATGCCCTGATATCCCATGGTTCCACAGTCTCTGAGCTTCCAGACCCTTCCCCAAGTCCCTAAGACTTCAGAAGCACAAGCCTAGAAACCTCCATCTCCAGGGTCCTGCTACTAAATCTGTTACTACATTTACCAAGTGATATCTCTTTGGGACCACACCAATCCTGATGAGTAACTCAGTCTTTTTCTCAGTTCCATGATAGCAAAACCAAAACAAAGCTGGAGGAAACAAAATGCAAGATGCATTTGCAAGTGTGGTTACTTAGGAGTCATGAGGGAGGGTCCCAGAGAACACCTTCCAGCCATCTCCTGAAAACAACCTTTTAGACATTTTCTTCCAAATTCCAGGGGTTTCTTTCCGGCTTTCTCATAGGCATTTCTTGCTCTTTCTCCTGCTTGGGTCTGGGCTATGGTTCAGCTTTCCAGTTCTTATCTTTCCCCTTATTCCACTTCTTCTATCTCCTTTGTCTCTTTCCTGCATTGTGAGGAAAAAATAAACAATTCATTTCACTGGACACCCATGCCTTCAGGGTCTCTCACCTTCTGCCCTGAGCAGCTTATCAAGATATTTTCTTGGACAGAGGCAATCTCCTTGTTGGACCGGGATTCTGGAACTAGCTGCTAAGAAAATGCATTATTCACTTTGTGACACCAACAAATATGAGGTCTCCACTTCTATTTTTTTATGCCCACATATATGTTTACTTGCACAGCATATGGTTTCTGCAGGATAATTCACATTTGGGACCCCAGAAGTTGAGCATCTTTGTTTATTATGTTTCCCCTGAACTTGTTCTTTCTTGAATTTCACCCTCAAGGCATCATAATGATGCAAACACATACTGGCTGAGGCGGAAGGATGTCCACCTGCCTCCTGACTCCAACCCCTGAAAAACAGCTCTCTCAGAGAGCACACATAGTAGAAGCTCCTTGAGAATAGAGTCCTTGGTTGGCTAAATTCTGTATCCCCAGAACCTAATACTATACATGGCCTGCATACAAAAGGCACTCATTCATTCTACATACATTTATTGAGCGCCTGTTATGATCAAGGCCCTATATTTTAGGTTTTGAAGATATACAAATAAAGAAAATATAGTCCCTAAACTCAAAGTTGGGTCTATATCAGAGGTTCTTGAACTTTTGCAGATATGGGTCCCAGTAAGAAATTGGTAAAAGCCTTAGATCATCTTTCCAGAAAATATACAGTATTTTGGCATACAATCCATGGTAGATAGCAGCAATGGCCCTAATTCTTCTCTCTTTTCTGAATGATGCCCTTGGCCACGCAGCATGGCCAACCTTCCCTCTGTGAGTAGGGGGGCCTTCCCCACCACTTGAATTTGAGCTCATCCATGTAACTTGCTTTGGTCAAAGGGATGTTAGTGGGAATGGCCAATGCAGAAGCTGATGAAACAGACTTGCATTTTGGGGCCTGATCTTTTGCATTTCCACAACCATTATGAGAAGGACCTCCTGGGTTAGCCTTCTAGTCCAGAAGGGAGATGGGAAGCATGTGGAACACGGCTCAGTTGCCGCAGCAAGGGCCAATCTCCATCAGCCAGCAGTCAGGTAATCCCAGAGGTGTAAACAAGCCCATCCAAGAGTGGCAGGACCCCTGCCTGGCTGAATTTCAGCTGACTCTAGACACATAACAAATATTCACTTACTATGGGCCACTGAGGTTTTGTGGTTGCTCTTATTCTGTATTATTGTGGCAGTAAGTAAATAATACAAAATTTTAAGGGCATATCATGGATAGCCTAAAGGTCCAAATACCCCAAGTTGAGAACCCCTGATCTTTTAGGGGACACAGAGAAGGATTCGTGAATTACAGCATAGTAGAAAGAATAACAATGGGGTAAAAGCAAGCACCTAACAAGCTCTTGTTTTGCACAGGAGGTGATGTCCAATCTAAAATCTGAAGAATAGGCAGGAATAGATCAACTTAAGACAGAGAAGAAACTGTTCCAGAAGTGGAAATTAGCAAGCGCAAAAACAATAAAATCAGAGAAAGCGTGGTCGATTAGTTATTTTGATGGGACTGCAAGCATTTTAGTTGCTCTTCAAACAGGTAGCTCTTCAAAAATTGAGAAAGGAGTCCTAAATACTTCCAATATCTAAAGATGCTGACATATTTTTAAAACGAAGGTATGCTAAAAAAAGAGCACAAAAATAATGGTACAACTTAAATATACCATTATTCGTAAGAACGAATAAACTGTTTTAACATCGGGAGGGATATAATGATCGTATGCATGGCCTTATTTGAATGCAACATTAAATGCCTAATCATGTTCTTCATAAATGTGAGAACTGGGACTGGTGGCCTTCCTGTCCCCACACCCCAATCCAGTCTAAAATAGAGGGTGTGAAGACAGAGGGGGTGTTAGTGAGAGCTGAGACTCAATAATGTCTTGTTCAACTGAGTTGAAATGAAGTGAATAATTTTCAGATTTCAACAAGAAGAAAATGCACCCTGGCTTAGTAAGAGTCCTCTCCATTCATCTGCTCATGGGCAGCATAAACTGGAAAGCCCTCAACTTCAACTACAGAGTTTGGTGCACAGACCCCCATCTTGGCCATCTTGATTCCCAAGAGGCCCCCAGCCACTCCACCGGCCCCGCGCAATTGGTCCAAGTTGCCCACTAGCCCACGGCGAGGTGATGATGGTGTCACACCACCACCTAGTGGCCACTCCTGTGAAATCGTATTCTCCTTAACCTCTGGGATTTATAAGCTCGCCCAGGTGAGTCTTCTGCTTGGGAAAGGACTACCAGTGACTGGGAGGACCTAGAGTACCTCTCTCTCAATATACTAAGGGTGATATAAAGTGTTTTGCCCAAATCCCAGCATGTAACACTGAGAGCTTAGTAACCGGAATTAACATTACCATTGTTATTGCCATGATACTGTAGAAATTCCTGAGTCTCTTTGAAATTAATTGGGCTGCCGGAAAATGAGATTTTTCAAAGATAATTAAGAATCCATTTCTACTTTAATTTCATTCAATAAACAGGTACTAAATGTTTAATATATGCCAGCACTGTGCTGTGTAACTGGGACAGCGTGAAGAAGATATAAAAATGGCTAAGATGCAGTCCCTGCTCTAAGACATTTCCAGTCCAGAAGGAGAAGTAGGCACGTAAACAGCCAGCTCTCAAGTGCTAAATAGAGACACAGCCAGAGTGCTGGCTATGACAGCGCGGAAGCAGCAGTGATTCATTTAGACGCCTGTGGTTTCCCTTAATTCTCAAAATAAAATCCTGGTCCTTACTATGGTCTTGCAGGGTCTGGCGGGGCTGCCTCTCTACGCTGCTTCTGGGCCTCTCTCCAGCACCTTGGAGAGCTCCTGGCCTCAAAGAAGGAAAGGAAATTTCATGAGATTGCAGAATAGGCAAAAGGCCGCGAGGGTGGGGGGTTGGGGGTTGCAGATGCTGTTTCTGGAGTCAAGGTTCTAGCTCTATGACCTTGGACAAGACACTTAATCTCTCTGTGTCTTATTAGCCTCATGGAGGAAAGGACGATGTTAATAACAGCACCTACCTCCTGGGGTCATTGTGAGGATTCAAAGACTTTATATTACAATGTAAGGCACTTAGTCTCTGAGGCATGGTAAATCTTCCTCTTTTTTTTTTAAGACATGGTCTTTTTCTGTCTTCTGTCACCCAGGCTGAAATGCATGGCACGATCACGGCTCACTGCAGCCTCAACTTCTTGGCCTCAAGCAAGTAGCCTCCCAAGTAGCTGGGTCTACAGGTGCTCACCACCACGCCCTGCTAAATTTTTTGTATTTTGTAGAGACAGGTTTTCCCCATGTTGCTCCGTCTAGTCTCTAACTCCTGAGCTCAAGCAATCAGACTGCCTTGGCTTCCCAAAGTGCTGGGATTACAGGCGTGAGCCACTGCACCTGGCCTAGATCCTCCATATTTTTATTACCAGCTGTACTCTGCAAAAACCTCCTGGGCTCTCCATGAGATGCAGATCCAACTTCGTAGACATTCAAGCTTTTGTGTTGTTGTTGTTAAAGCTTGGTCTATCCTGTTTAAAGCTTTGCTTTCATATGTGATTCAGCACTTCCCACGCATCCACTGAGTGCATTTGGAATTGGAGGTGCAGAAGAAGGTGCCTGGCAAGCTCCCTTTTTTCTTTTCTTCTTGATTTGTCCCCTTCATCATCCTGTGTGACTCTAAACCCTTTAGAGGCCTACCACTGGCCTGTGGCCCAGCAGCAAGGACACGAGGAGGGGAGATTCTGCTCCCATTGCTCACGTGACAATGTTCTGACTCATTTCTGTGCTGGTGACTTCTATGAGGGAGGATCCTGACGGAGGTGGTGTATTTGGCTAATATGGAAAGCTGTTCAGCCTTGCACTGCTCACCCTTGACTCTTTTCTTTTCTTTTCTTTTCTTTTTTTTTTTTTTTTTTTTGAGACAGAGTCTCACTCTGTTGCCCAGGCTGGAGTGCAGTGGCGCAATCTCAGCTCACTGCAACCTCCCAGGTTCAAGTGATTCTCCTGCCTCAGTCTCCTGAATACCTGAGATTACAGGTGTGAACCACCACACCCGGCTAATTTTTGTATTTTTAGCAGAGACGGGGTTTCACCATGTTGGTCAGGCTGGTCTCGAACTCTTGACCTCATGATCTACCCACCTCGGCCTCCCAAAGTGCTGGGATTACAGGCATGAGCCGCCGCGCCCAGCCCTTTGACTCCTTTCTAAAGAAGATCTCTGGAGGCGAACCATGTGGCCCTTTGTCCACCAGTTTATGTTCACCCTCTTCTCCAGGCCACCATCCTGTTGTCCAGTCTGCTAGACTGGGGGATCCACGTGGGCAGGACCTGTCCATCACCACTGTAGAGTCAGTTCTGGGTACAGTGCCTGGCGTATGTGTGTCTTCAACAAGTGCTCGTGGTGTTTGCAATATTTTCCCTTCCCAGCATCAGGAAATAGATGGGATGAATATTTATGATCACTATCTGATGTCCTTAGACAAAGGGAGGAGAGGGACCAAAAGGTCCACTCTGCATCTTTGGGGGCCTTGTGGGGGTGTAGGTATACAATAACTGCAAGTCCCTATTAGGGCCTCAGCACTCAGAGAGGCTGCTGGCCTGCTCTTATGATAAATATGCCTCTAAAAATATATTGGGAAAAATTCATCTCTTTGTATCCCAGTGAACCAAAGGGAAGTGAAACAGGTCATTAAAATGAGACTTTTTGTCATCTCAGAGTTTCAGCTGTGACCCCAAAGCTAAAAACAATGAGTGCCAAGTAGACACCCACTGTAATGCTGAACCACATGTGTAGGCTTGGCGAAGGGCATTGCCAAAAGCTACTGCTGCTTTCAATAGATGTGCACCTGTCTCCAGGCTATGGAGGAAAAAGCCGAGACTCACAGGAGGTTAAAGAGATGCAAAGGATTAGATCTTTGAAGAGAGATATTGGTGTTTTATATGGGTTGCTCTCCACACATGTGTGAGAGCAAGCTTCGGGTCCAACACCTCAGGTCAGAGAAAGGACAGGACTTAAGGAGAACTATCGAGGCTCCCTGAAGCCTGGGTGGCAGCCAGGCTCATTCCTAAAGAGTCTACAGGTAATAGGCAACAGCTGAATACAGAGGCTGCCAAAGATGCAAGCTGCACTTACACTGAGCGTGGGGGAAGGAGCCTGTGATGGGTGGTCCAGGAAAGAACCAGCCATGGCCCTTCTAGAAAAAGACCCTGTCTGACATATACACGATGGAATACTATGCGGCCATAAAAAGGAATGAGACCATGTCCTTTGCAGGGACATGGATGAGGCTGGAAGCCATCATTCTCAGCAAACTAACACAGGAACAGAAAACCAAACACCACATGTTCTCACTCATAAGTGGGGGTTGAACAATGAGAACACATGGACACAGGGAGGGGAACAACACACACCAGGGCCTGTTGGGGGGTGAGGGGCAAGGGGAGGGAACGTAGAGGATGGGTCAATAGAGGCAGCAAACCACCGTGGCACACGTATACCTATGTAACAAGCCTGCATGTCCTGCACATATGTCCTGGAACTTAAAGTAAAATAAAAAATAAAAATAAAGAAAGAAAAAGACCCTGTCTGAATATGCCCAACAGTAAAAATGTTTAAATAGTTTTATTGAGACATAATAGATTTACAAAGAACTGCACGTACTTAAAGGATGCAATTTGATACATGCACAAAACTGTCTCCATAATCAAGATAAGGAACTCATCCATCACACCCAGAAACGTCCTTCTACTCCTTTAGCATCCATCCCTCCCACCCTTCCCTTTGCCTCATTAAAAAGCAATCACCGCTCTGCTCTCTGTCACTGTAAATCAGTGCGTATTTTTGAGCATTTTATAGAAATGGAATCAGACAGTATGCATGCTTTTTTTTGTCCGCCTTCTTTCACTCAGCGTGATTATTTTTAGATGCAACCATGTTGTCGTATCAATAGTTCACTCCTTTTTATCGCTGAGTGGTACTCCAGTGTGGGAATGTACAACGATTTGCTTCTTCATTCATCTGCTGATGGGCATTTGGGACGTAGGTGGCGGGAATTTGACTAATTATCTTCTGCTCTCTTATTTTTAGAAATATTCTGTTGTCACGTGTGTTGCTTTTATAATCAGGTTACCACTTAAGTGTTTTTTTTTTTTTTAATGAAGAGGAAGAAAAGAAGCTTGCCCATGTGGGCTTCCTGCCAGCAGTGAGGCAATCTCAGCAGGAGCTGTGGGCGTGCCATTGGGTGCACAGCTGTCAAGAGAAAAAAGTCAAAGGCAGCCAACGTGTGGTGGCTTCCTCAGCTTTAGGGGCTGCAGTCAGAGGGCTCATGGAGGAATTCACAAAGTGCCACACAGAGAGAGAGAGACATATGCTTACTGCCACATACAGGTTACAGGCAGGTGCAGGAAGCCTCTTCTGTCCTTCCTCTCCTCTCTCCTCCCCACCTACGACCCCAACACAGGAGGGTCCTAAAATGTCTGCTGGGGTGTTAGGGTAGGTAAGATGGAAATGGGTGGAGAAGCAATCACAACTATTTCCCCCACTATGACTTCCAAACCTGAAATCGGCCAAGTGGTGGAAGGAGAGTCTGGAGTTTGTATATTAGATTGGACTAGATTTTCTCTTACCTAGAAGTAGCCAAGTAACATTATTATATCAAATTTGTCGTTATTGTCTAAGAGTGACCACAAAAGCGACTGCATTCACCCAAAATGTTTTCCAGGGACAGAGATCAGGTAGAAATGGGCAGATACAAAAAAGAATGTTCTCATTTAACGAACCAGTTACCAAAGTTCTGATCGAATGGTACCATGAAGCAGTAATTTCTACTTTAAGGAAGACCAAAACACTGACATATATATGCTTATACCTTTAAAACAAACTTGCTTTGCCAAAATTGTTGCCTCTTTATACTTTCAGGGGCTCAACTTGAGGCCATAGGTGAAGGCCCTCCATGACCATTCCCATCACAAAGCATTTGGGGAAGCTCCAGCCTGTTCAGACCTTGTAAAAAGAATGCACAGAAGGATGGAAGCAAAGCAGGCCACCTGGCTATTGCTCGGCAATGCAGCCAGAACTTTGCTGAGAGGGAAACTGTGATTGTTTTCATCTCTGGATGTGCTAAAATGCTCTCCCCTTATAATCAAAAGAATCAAAGCACAGTTTTGCCCAGAGAGGAGAGACAACCTAATTTTACCAATACCTGGAACAGTGAAGCCAGACTGAGGTATTGCAACTTTGTTAGTTTGTGGGGAAAATAAAAACTCAGCAAGGTCCTTGAGCTCTTAGGTGCAGAAATCCATTAGCCTTCCTTAAGGAGAAGTCCACCCCAGGAAAGGCCATGACGATGGCACATCACTGAAAACTAGTCAGGCGCCATTGCATATAACAGATTCACTGTACGTATTAGAATGAAAGATCCACACTTGACCATCATTCTACATCAATGAGTCATTGCCAATGTACGTGATAATCATAGCTACATTTCGTTGAGCTGCGTCACTTTCATCCTTGCAACATCCCTATGAGGAATCTCATTTTACAGATGGAGAAACCGATGTTCAGAAACATTACATTACATGCCCAGTATTATATAGACAGAAGGCAGCAGAGACAGAATCAAGCCCAGGTCTGTTTGGTTCCAAATTCCAGAATCTTTCTAGCATGTGACACCAACACCATGGGCTGTTATTGAGTGAGATGGAGTGGGGAGGGGCTGTATGGTTAGTGTCAAAGTTGGAAATGTTCTTCTTCTGAAATGCCAGATGGTTGTCACCAAGAGGAAAGGCCAGCAGACTATCTTCCAAGATGTCTCATAAACTAATATGGCTTACTTTGGGGAATTTTCCATCATCCTAGATCTGCTACTTGGATGCTACAGAATCTGAAAAGGGATCCATCTCTCAATAGAGACACTTTAACCAAGCACAGAACACTGGCAGATAAAACCAGAATGCCAATGCCTTCATTTACTGTGAGAAATTCCTGGCACGGAGACCTAAAAACTCAGATTCCATAGAATGAGCCCAAAGTCTCCCCACAGACAGACTCCAAGGAGAAGCCAAATCATAGACTGAAAGTTTCTGGTGAGCCTGAAGTCAGAAAGGGGGAAGTTCAATAATCCAGTGCTTCAGGCATCCAGCTGAGATACCTCAGTGTTTTCATTCCGCAAGGAGGACGGTCTTGCCAGTGAGACCAGAGTCGCTTAAAATATGTGGGCTCCACCTCTGCCCTGACAAAACCAGAACTCTTCCAGTCACTGGTTAAGGGGAATACCCTAGGATGGATCCTGCTGATATTTGCCTCTGGTACTCACATTTCTTTCTTATTCCAGAGCTGACAAGTCCTTCCTCTGATGGACACATCCTTTCTTGATGGAAATACATTCAATCTGGTGGCTGTGGGGGCTTGTCTACCTGAGAGCTGTGCCTTCTCCTTCAGCTGAGTTCACATATCTGTACTGTGATGCACTGTGCCTAATTCCCCAAAAGGCAATCTTGCTTCCTTCATTTCCAAATCTGGGAAGGCAAATGTCTACTGTGCCCAGAGAAGGAAAGGTAGCTGCATCCTTTTCTGTGAATACCCTTCTATACGTGAATATTAGATATTTTAAGGAAAGAAGCAGTTTTAATTAAGATGTATATAAACATTATATGCAGAGAACCCAAAAAAGAAGAAATGGATATAAGTTTCCAAGTGCTTAATGAGGGCTTGGTGCCGTGCTAGGGGCATTTAATAAGCACAGCAATTCAAGGAAATAGTTATTAGTGCCACCATTTTACAGTTAGGAGAACTGAAACTCAGAAAGATTAAGTGACTGCTAGTTTCAGGAGAACTGGAATTTCAACACTGGCCTGTCTGACTCTGAGACTCTGCTAGGAACCCGTGCACCAAGAAAAGTGCTCATATCTGTGAAGATGCATTGTGAGCTGCCAATGAGGTATGGTAACTGTCTAAAACTGAAAGGAAAGCTGAGGAGCCATATTTTATAATCAGCAGACTGCTTTTTCAGCTAAAACATGAGTAACCTTCTAGAATGTTTTGCAAAGGCTTTGATACCTGCACTGGTTGCATTTCCATAATGATACCACTTAAATCCAACTGGACTATCTTCCTGCCACAAACCAACATAGGAACTCCTTCACTCATTCCATTCCAATTCCTAGGGTGGTGAGGTCAAAGGCAGCCAAGCTCCTTCAAACATAAAGTAAAATAAGAAGTTCTCATCAGAAGCCCATGGCTGTGGTTACAGATGTGCAGAGCTCACCAACACTTTAAAGAAATGTAAGTTGCTCATTTACAATAACAAAGACTTGGAACCAACCCAAATGCCCATCAGTGATAGACTGGATAAAGAAAATGTGTCACATATACACCGTGGAATACTATGCAGCCATGAAAAAGAATGAGTTCATGTCCTTCGTAGGGACATGGATGAAGCTGGAAACCATCATTCTCAGCAAAGTAACACAGAACAGAAAACCAAACACCACATGTTCTCACTAAGAAGTGGGAGTTGAACAATGAGAACACATGGACACAGAGAGGGGAACATCACACACCAGGGCCTGTCAGGGGGTGGGGGACAAGAGGAGAGGGAGCATTAGGACAAATACCTAATCCATGCAGGGCTTAAAGCCTAGATGACGGGTTGATAGGTGCAGCAAACCACCATGGCGTATGTATGCCTATGTAACAAACCTGCACATTCTTCACATGTATCCCAGAACTTAAAATAAAACTTTAAAAAAAAAAGACAAAAAAAGGAATATAAGTTGCTCAAAGGGATGGGGAAAAGCTTGCTGTAGCCATGATCTGGATGCAGTCTATTGGGAATTCTTCAATACCTCCCATCATTCAGATAGGCCCTCGAGATCACTGTCCTGGCGGCTCCTACTTAGCAACCCCCAAATATCCTCTCCTTGGCTTCCTGGCCCTTGTCATTGTAAGCTGTGAGAAAAGAAAGACAAAAAGAAGACCTTGAATGGCTCTCGCTCCTGGAGATAACAAGACCTGAAATATGGGGCAGAAGGAGCATGAGGAGATTATGGATTGTCATCCCGGTGGAATGCTAGTTTCAGATTTCTAGCACCAGGTCACTTCTGCAGCTGAGACATAGCATGACCAAGACAGCATGGGTCCTCACTCAAGAGCATTCTTGGTATATTCAGTTAATGGTTCCAGGCTGGAAGGAAAGGAAAAGGAAAGTAAGGAAAGCAAAAAAAAAAAAAAAGAAAGGCATTTATAATGTTTTTTTAAAAGCATATTTGATTTCATCTAGTTCCCCAAACATTTCATCTAGTTCCGCATCATTATCTGCATTTTATGGAGGAGGAAGCTGAAGTACAGAGAAGTTAAACACACACACTCAAGTCATAGACTTGGTAGGATCGAACTCAGGCCTAAAGGAGTGGAAAGTCCATGCTATTTTTCATTAAAGCATGGGTTCAGAAGATCACTAGTTGAGCATCAAAGTTTCCTAAGCCAAAATGAGTATTTTTAAAGAATGCTCTACATTGGTATTTGTTGTTTTCTCCCCATATGGAGTAGGTAGAATAATGCTCCCTACCCACCAAAATGTCCATGCCCTCATCCCTGGGCCCTGTGAATTGTTAGGTTATATGAAAAAGGGGAATTGAGGTTGCTGTATTAGTCCATTTTCATGCTGCTGATAAAGACACATCTGAGAATGGGAAGAAAAAGAGATTTAATGGACTCACAGTTGCACATGGCTGGGGAAGCATCACAATCATGGCAGAAGGCAAGGAGGAGCAAGTCACCTCTTACATGGATGGCAGCAGGCAAAGAGAGAGCTTGTTCAGGGAAAATCCCCCTTGTAAAACCATCAGATCTCATGAGACTTATTCACTATCGTGAGAACACATGGAAAAGATCTGACCCCATGATTCAATTACCTCCCACCAGGTCCCCTCCACCACACATGGGAATTCAAGATGAGATGTGGGTGGGAACATGACCAAACAATAACCTTGAGATGAGAAAATCATCCTGATTTATCCAAGTGGGCTCAGTGTATTCACATGGGGCAGGGGAGTAAAAAGAGTGAGCTGGAGAAAGCTGTGACACTGGAAGTAGAGTCAGAAAGATGCCACATAATTCACTTTGAAGGTGGAAGAAGGGGCCACAAGGCAAGGAATGTGGGCAGCCTCCAGAAGCTGTAAATGCACAAGGAAATGGATTCTTCCTGAGAGCCACCAAAGGAATTGGCCCTGATGATGACTTCATTTCATCCCAGTGAGACCAATGTTGAACTTCCAAACTGAAGAATGGCAAGATAATAAATTGACATTGTTTTATGCCACCCATGTGTGGAAGCCACATTATTATACAACAAGGTCCCAGCTTTCATAGTGGTAGGCCACGAATCTAAGAAGAAGACACGGTTTGAGTCCCAGCCTGACCATGCCTGGCTGACGCAGCATGATCCATCCATTTCACTCATGCTGGGAAGATCTTGCCAGGAAAACTTGAAATAATTGAGGCTGTCACCTAAAACCCCATCTTAGTTAGAAATGGTTTGGTTGTGTGGAACATAGCTCTACTCATCAAGGCTCACGTGAAAAATGAAAGCTATTTAGAAGCAGAGCGAAGCTTCGTGGAACCAGAAATTTAGTAGATGGCATTCTCGCTCTCTTCCTTCTTTTCTCTCTCACTCTCTCTCCTCTCCTACTCTTATCTCTTCTTTTCTATAAATATCTTATTTATTGTTCTCTTCTTGCAGACATGACTTTGCTTACATCTCTGTGTGTACAAGGCTTCAACAAGGCCATCCCAAGATGATGGCTTCTGTTCCATGATGTCCCAACATTCCAGCCTTGTTCCCCCCACAACCAACTGTGTCAGTCTTCCCATCCCTGATGGAAAGGTCTGAACACATTGAAACTGATAAGCTCAGCTCTAGTCTGATGTTCACTCTTAACTCTATCAGTTATGGTCAGGATGGAGGAGCCAGGAGCTGGGGCTTTTGCTATAAAAATCTGTCTCATTGGGTGCTGTGGCTTAGGCAGGCCCTTTAAGATGGTGTCAGAGAGCAGAGAGGAAATTACTGGCATCATCAGAACATCTCTGCATCCTAGGGCTGGCCTCAGAAACAGAAAGCCATCACTTCTGCTGGCTGAACTGCCCTCCTCCCTCCTTTCTGCACAGGCCAAGTCAAGCCTGTTTGCCTCTGTGACTGCTTTTCCTGTCCCTTAATTCTCTGATTGACATACTTTTTTTTAATATGTAAATATATTCAACCAAGTTACATTTAAATGGTGCTGGTCTGAGAACTATTCTACATATTTCTGGTGACTTTGCATGTTTCACTTTAACTCCCAAAGGAAGAGAATGATTGTCCAGTTGTTGAGAGAAGGAGCACTTCACTGCGGGCTTCAAGTTCTGATTATCAGTATTATTAATAACAACTTTATTTAGGGTTTTCATTAGTGTTCAGAAAATGCAATCCTTACAACAATGTAAGGCGTTTGGTGATGCTCAGATCTACAGAAAATAATGATTGTTTTCTCTTATTAAAAGTAGTGGCTGGTACTCTGTAATTGCCCTTTCTGATCTTCACATTACCCCTTCTAGCCAGGACTTTGCCCTAAGTCCCACAGTTAGTAGGAGCACCTGACTTGAAAGCCCAGACTCCCCACCCTCCCAAAGTGCCCCACCTGTGTCCCTGAATTCTTGAGAGTGTCTTAGATGGGATCTTCTTTTCTGTCCTTTAAGGCTCTGCTCAGACACCACCTCCTCTGCAAAATCTTCCCTAGCTCTCCTTGCAAACATGGCTGCTCCTTCTCCAGGGTTCTCCCAGCAACCAATTCATGCACAGATGGATACTGAGGGCTATCTCTGTGGCAGGCTGAACACCAAGGGCTGAGCATACAGCTGAAAATGAACCAGACCACAGCTGCTACCTTCTTGAAGCTAAGGTATGATGGGGAAGTGAATGTAGGGAGGAAATATCGAATGCCAAGGGAGTCCTCCTTGAGGGCAGCAGCCTTGCTTGGAAAGCCAAGATGCTGGCTTCCTAGGAACTGGCATTTATGTTGAATGTGAAGGAAGAGGATGGCACAAGTAGGTGGAGAAGGGAATCAAAGTATACTCTGGCAGGAGGACGACAGGGGCAGGGATAAAAGAGAGGGCAGCATGTCCAGGAACTGGAAGTCTTCCAGGGTGACCATAGTGCAGAGCACAAAGCAGTGAGAAGCCAAGTTGATCAGGGCTTTGGGTCCAGCTTCAAAATTTGGGGCTGTGTCCTAAGGTCAAGGGAATTTTGACTTTTTTTTAACATAATAATGCCAGTGTGTGAGTGAAAATTATTTGGCTGCAAGGAATAGAAATCAGCTCAAAGTAGCTTAAGTGAAATGTGGAAATTTATTATAACGACTCATAGAAATTTGATGAAACTTAAGAAAGAAAAGAGCCTGGAGTCATAATCTGGAAACTCTTGGGAAAGCCTAGAGTTGGTCTCTCTCCATCTGTGCTGTTGCCACTCAGTGTTTCTGCTTCACTATTTTCTCTTCCTCTGTTTGCAGTTATTTTCCTTGCTTCTCCAAAAACAGGGTGAATGACAGTCACCCTACAACCCTCATATTATAATTTATTATTCTATCTGTAGGACATTGTATTAGTTTGTTTTCACGCTGCTGATAAAAACATACTCGAAACTGGGAACAAAAAGAGGTTTAATTGGACTTATAGTTCCACATTGCTGGGCAGGCCTCAGAATCATAGCAGGAGGTGAAAGGCACTTCTTAACATGGCAGTGGTAAGAGAAAAACGAGGAAGAAGCAAAATCGGAAACCCCTGGTAAACCCATCAGATCTCATGAGATTTATTCACTATCACGAGGATAGCACAGGAAAGACTGACCCCCACGATTCAATGACCTCCCCCCGAGTCCTTCCCACAACATGTGAGAATTCTGGGAGATACAATTCAAGTTGAGATTTGGATGGGGACACAGCCAAACTATATCAGACATTATGCTAAATGGAATAAGCCATGTACAGAAAGACAAATACTGAATGATCTCACTTATATGTGGAGTCCAAAACAATCAAACTCATAGAAGCAGGGAGTAAAATGGCAGTGGCCAGAAGCTGGGGTGTAGGGATAATTGTTCCAGAGATATTGGTCAAAGGGTACAAACTGTCAGTTACACAGGATGAAGTTCCAGAGATCTAATGTACAGCCTGGTGACTACAGTCAGTAATACTTTCTTGTATACTTGAAATTTGTAAAGGCAGTACGTTGTCAATGTTCTCACCACATACACACAGTAACTGTGTGAGCTGATGAATATGCTAATTAGTTTGATAGTAATTATTTCTCAATGTATAGTACATGTATATCAAAGCATTGTTTTACACCTTAAATATACACAATATTCATCAATTATATTTCAATAAAACTGGATGAAAAAGAAAGAAAAGAGAAGGGGAAAAAGAAAGAGGAAGGAAGGAAATGAAATGAAAAGAAAGGAAGAAAGAAAAAAAAAAACCAAAGGGTCTAGCCATACAGAGAGACACACACAACAGTGGTTATTGACCCCAATTCAAACTTCATGGAGAAAGAATTCAATTAAGCCAGCTTGGGTCAGCGTATTCATCCCTAATTCAATGAGCTATGAGCAAGGCAAGGGAACTCCAGCTCTCATGACGCAAACATGGCTTCAGGAATCAGCACACGTCTCTGTAAAGGAGAGGCTTATAGGTTCGGCAGACCTCCAATGACAACTGCTGTAGACGTAATCAGATCTACAATTGAAGCAGATCACCACATCTGCCATGTGGAAGAAGGCCTGCAGGGGAGAAACAGTGGAGCTAGAAACACCAGAACATTACCCCACCCAGGTACGAGACGGTGAGGTCTTAGACAGGCGTGGTGGCTGTGGCACTGGAGAAACGCTCCAGAGATATGGAGGGAGGCAGAACTAACAAAACTTGATGATTTGTTGGATATGAGGTATAGGGAGAGGAATGCCAGGTAATTGTTGGGTTTCTGGCTTGACCAACTGGGTGGACAGTAATGTCATTAACAAAACATCTAGGACATTGGACTAGAAAGAGGGTGTGGGTGCGGTTCAGAGAACAAGAATTCTATCTGAGACATGTTGAGTTTCAGGCAGCCTGTGAGATGTCTAAGGAGAGACATCCAATGGGCTGTTGGACGCATTGCTCTGGAAGAGAGGGTTGCTCTTAAGAGACTGGCACAGCAATGGTAATTAAAGCAATGGAAGTGAAAGAAATGTTCTAGGAAGAGCACAGAGCATGAGAAGAGAAAGGCTTAGGACAGGTCCTGGGGAATTCCGACTTTTAATTGTTTGGATAGTGATATGGTTTGTCTGTGTCCCTACCCAAATCTCATCTTGAATTGTAGCTCTCATAATTCCCACATGTTGTAGGAGGGACCCAGTGGGAGATAATTGAATCATGGGGGCGGTTTCCCCCATACTTATTCATACTTATTCATGGTAGTGAATAAGTCTCACGAGAGCTGATGGTTTTATAAGGGGAAACCCCTTTCACTTGGTTCTCATTCTCTCTTGTCTGCCACCATGTAAGACTTGCCTTTTGCCTTCCAGCATGATTGTGAGGCCTCCCTGAGCATGTAGAACTGTGAATCCTTTAAACCTCTTTTTCCTCATTAATAATCCAGTCTTGGGTATGTCTTTATCAGCAGTGTGAGAACTGACTAATACAAGTAGCCCACAATTGAGAAGAAACAACCTGAGAAATGGAAGGGAAACCAGAAGAGAGAGTCACTCTAAGCAAATGTTTCTGAAAGAATGGAAATGTTGTCTTTGACAAACATTCCTAAGAGGCCAGGGAAATGACTGAAAGATGTCCAGTAAAACAACGCATTTATGGTATTATGTATTTTTTGTTAACATGTCTAGTTACTAGCCTGAAAACTCCTTTAGTAAATATGGTTTTCTGCCTTTGTTCCCAGCAATTAGTACAAATGTCTGGCACAGAGTAAAGCCTCAAAAACTGTTTATTGAATGAATGAACATGCCCTAGGCATTAAAAGATCTTAAAAATCACTTCTGGAGGAGAGAGAAAACATGGAACAAGTCTTCAGTCATTTGCAATACATGAACAGAGAAATCAACAAGATCTTTGAAAAGAACTACAGTCTCACTGATACTCTTTATGTGAATAGCCCACAGCCTACCTAGCTTAAATCACAATCCCGCCAGTGGTCACCACATAAAGAGTGAGTTGGGTGCTCAAAACCAATTTTACTTATGTGCTTTCAGTGTTCCAATTGTATTTGCATAATTAAATTTCATTATCTCCAAAGTCAAGGTCATCTTCAGTCTAATCCTTGCCTGAATTATCCAAAGGCTCTACCATTAACAGGTTTTTCCTCCATTTGTGAAGCAAAAGTGCACGTGTTAATAGACACTCACAGCCAAAATCTGACCTTGACCCCACCCAGCTGGCCAAAAACAAGGAGTCAGATGGAAAAATCTAAAAATCACCTTTCTTTTTGTTTGTAGAGAGTGTAAACAACCACTAACTCATCAGGTGGGTGATGCTTCTCCCCAAGGGCATCGATGTCATTTAGCCATGGGCACGGCCAAGGTACTGAGGACTCAAAAATGACCTTGATAACGACAACAAGGATGCCGTGTCACAAGGCATCTGGACCAGACGTGAAACTTTAGCTGATGCTGATGGGAGTCCGGGTGAGGAAACCTGCAGCCAATGCAGCCAAGGCGATCAGGAGGCAGCGGGCAAGGGGTGCAGGAAGAGGGGCTTTGATGGTGGCTGTTTGCCAGTTGGCACAGAGCATTTCTGCATTTCAGTAATTCCAACGGCCTTTCCATCTGGCGGCAGCCATCCAGTAAGCCAAGATGGGTACACACAAAGATCTCCAGGAGCCACGGAGGAAGAAGCAGTCTGATGTAATGCAGTTTCTTCTAAGGGTTATAAGGCCAAGGAAGGTTACAAGAGCACCAGAAGAAAAGGGGCTAAGGACCGGTCCTGGGAATTCCAACTTTTAATTGTTTGAGTAGCCCACAATGTGGACTGAGAAGAATGCACTTTCTTCTGAGAGTTACAAGGCCAAGCAAAGTTACAGGACACGAGAAGACTAAAGGAGTTTTCAGGCTAGTGGACAGACATGTTAGCAAAAACATATAGTACCATAATGGGTTGTTTAACTGGACCCATTTCAGTAAAACCCTTTCAGTTATTTCCCCTGGCCTCTTAGGAGTGTTTGTCAAAGACAACATTTCCATTCATTCTGAAACATTCGCTTAGTGTGACTCTCTCTTCTGGGTTCTTTCCCATCCCTCAAGTCAGATACAAAGCGCATGGACTGGGATAGAAGGCCAAGTCAGGTTACATTATATATAGGATTCACGTGCGCCATGGTGGTGGAAAACACCCAGTTCCTACGGGTGCAACTTACAGCAAGCCTGTCCATCCTGGTGTTAACCAGCTAAAGTTTGCTCGAAGCCTTCGGTTCATTGCAGAGGAGTGAGCTGGATGCTACTGTGGGCCTCTAAGAGGCCTGAATTCTCACTGGGTTGGTAAAGATTCCTCATACAAATTTTTTGAGGTTATCCTCATTGATACATTCCATAAAGCTGTCAGAAGAAATCCTGACACCCTGTGAATCACCATACCAGTCCACAAGCACAGGAAGATGAATGGGCTGATAGCTGCAGGCTGAAAGAGCTGTGGCCTTGGAAAGGGCCGTAAGTTCCACCACACTATTAGTGGTTCTCGCCGTGCAGCTTGGAGAAGGTGCAATACTCTCTGGCTCCACCGTTACCGCTAATATAAGTAATGTTTGTAAAATTCACACCTAAGAAACAATTTAGGACAGTCAAAGAAAAACCTCCAATGGCCAAACCTCTTTGCACTTGCTGATGTGCCAGCAGCCCAAGGCATACCAGCTCAGGCTATTACGCTTCTCCCTATTTAACAGATTAAGAAACTGCAGTTTACATTTGACCCAGCCATCCTGTTCCTGGGTATATACCCAAAGGATTACAAATCATGCTGCTATAAAGACACATGCACATGTATGTTTATTGTGGCGCTATTCACAATAGCAAATACTTGGAACCAACCCAAATGTCCATCAATGATAGACTGAATTAAGAAAATGTGGCACGTATACACCATGGAATACTATGCAGCCATAAAAAAGGATGAGTTCTTGTCCTTTGTAGGAACATGGATGAAGCTGGAAACCATCATTCTCAGCAAACTATCGCAAGGGCAAAAAAACAAACACCGCATGTTCTCACTCATAGGTGGGAATTGAACAATGAGAACACATGGACACAGGAAGGGGAACATCACACACCGGGGTCTGTTGTGGGGTGGGGGGAGAGGGGAGGGATAGCATTAGGAGATATACCTAATGTAAATGACGAGTTAACGGGTGCAGCACACCAACATGGCACATGTATACATATGTAACAAACCTGCACATTGTGAACATGTACCCTAGAACTTAAAGTATAATTTAAAAAAGAAAAGAAACTGAGGTTTAGTGAGATAAGATTTGAAGAAAGGCCCACAGCTAGTGGCATAAAAACTGGCCATGGAACTCATCTCTTTGTTCTCAGATCCAGCATTTTATTTTACCTCATCACTCATAAATTTCCCCTAGAACTGTTAAGAGCATCCAAATACCTGTTATTAATGAGAATACTAAACCTGGGCTGGCTCAGCAACTGTACCACTAATAGACAGTCCCATAACAATGGACATATGATCAGGAAGAGGTCTTCTCCTCCATGGAAAATCTGTAAGTTTTCATCACGGAATCATGCATTCTAACAGAGGCTGGTTCCAGGAAGAAGCAGGCAAATTCTGAAATATTCTCCCAGGGTGAACTCCCCTGCAGGTGATCCATCTGACTCAATTTCACTGCAGGGAAGATCCATCTCCAGAACTCTTTCACATGCCGAACATTCTAGGTATGAGACACGATAATTAACTGCATGTTCTGATAAGCTGGCTGACAATTAAAGCTGAGGTTGCTAAGCAGTTCTGAGAACAATTACAGATGTGGTTTTCATATTTTGTGACAATGGTCTAAGAAAGAAGCATATTATGATTCCTGGTGGATGAGGCCCCTGCTAGTCATGTTTTAATTATTAACTTAATTATATGGATGAAGCAATAAGTGGTAATTTAGTTCCTTCACTGACACTTAATTCTCACTCGCTCAGCCACCAGTCTGGGGACTCTTCAGAAGCAATTTGTTTTAGGAATTCATTCTAGATATATCCAGCAGTATCAGGGCTCTACCACCATGTGTCCCTCTGAAACAGAGGCAGGAATGGGTAGGAGGGTGAGTGGGAGAAGAAGTGATGTGTCCTGGTAAACTGCCATGATCTGGATACACTAAAATGAGCTAGTGATGGGAGAACTGGCCCAGATGGGCACTGGCTGTGAATATGAAGCTGAATGCGCCAAGCGCAGTGTTCAAACAACACACTTTCCTCATTAAGTCCAAAAATTATTGGGAGGATATAAGAGTGAATAAGAGGCCAGGCACGGTGGCTCATGCCTGTAATCCCAGCACTCTGGAAGGCCAAGGCCGGTAGATTACCTGATATCAGGAGTTCGAGACCAGCCTGGCCAATATAGTGAAACCCCGTCTCTACTAAAAGTACAAAAAATTAGCTGGGCGTGGTAGTGGACACCTGTAATCCCAGCTACTCAAGAGGCTGAGGCAGGAGAATCACTTGAACTCAGGAGGTGGAGGTTGCTGCAAGCTGAGATGGTGCCATTGCACTCCAGCCTGGGCAACAAGAGCGAAACTCCGTCTCAAAAAGAAAAAAAAGGTGAATAAGAGATTGGAAAGATTGTTCTGGGCTCCCCACTTAAGAGTGGAGGATGTGGACTCAAGGGTTTTAGAGAAAACATTTTTTCTTCCCATGGTCTTTCTAGAGTTTTACATGTTCTTATTTTTCAGAAAGAGCCACTCCATTTCCCTTGGAATGTTAGTGGAATCTGTTTAGATGTGATACTCCCCTGATCTCTGCTTGCTAGACCAAACAGGGAAGGACCTGGTGTAGCAGACAAGGAAAAAAGAAAGATCACGAGGAAGAGTTATGATCTAGAGAAAAATATACCCCTAGGGCTGTTTCCTAAACCCACGTGGTTGGGAATGTGGTCAACTTCAAAGGCAACTCAGGAAGCCACGTGGGAGCCCAGCCATCAGGGATAGACCACTGAAGTCAAGATTGGGAGTTATGGCTTAACGCTTAACCCAACCAAGTAGAGGCTTAAGCTGCTGATTGTTTAGTACCTCAGTTAAGATTGGTCTAAAAAATTAAGTCATGTACTCACCTTGGCAGCACATATACTGAAATTGGAATGATACAGAGAAGATTAGCATGGCCTCAGTGCACGGATAACAAAAAACTTGTGAAGCATTCCATAGTTTTAAAAACAAAAATATAAAAATAAAGTTTAAACGTTGGATCAGGATAGGCCGGGCGCAGTGGCTTACGCCTGTAATCCCAGCACTTTGGGAGGCCGAGGCAGGCAGATTACAAGGTCAGGAGATCCAGACCATCCTGGCTAACAGGGTGAAACCCCGTCTCTACTAAAAAATACAAAAAAAAATATTAGCCAGGCCTGGTGGCCGGCACCTGTAGTCCCAGCTACTCAGGAGGCTGAGGCAGGAGAATGGCGTGAACCCAGGAGGTGGAGCTTGCAGTGAGCCGAGTTCGCGCCACTGCACTCCAGCCTGGGCAACAGAGCGAGACTCCGTCTCAAAAAAAAAAAAAAAAGTTGGGTCAGGATAGACGTCTACATTTGTGACTTTTGTAAGTAGAAGTATCCATATATGTGAATGTATTTAGCAAACATGGATCACATGATGCTTTTTACTGTTTTGTTTTTTGAGAAGGAGTCTCACTCTGTCACCCAGGCTGGAGTGCAGTGGCACGATCTCGGCTTACTGCAACCTCCACCTCCAGGTTCAAGCGATTCTCCTGCCTTAGCCTCTGGAGTAGCTGGGATTACGGTTTTTTGTTTTGTTTTGTTTTGTTTTGTTTTGTTTTGTTATTTCAGTAGAGATGGAGTTTCGCCATGTTGGCAGGGCTGGCCTCGAACTCCTGACCTCAGGTGATCCGCCCCTGCTTGGCATCCCAACGTGCTGGGATTACAGGCATGAGCCACTACGCCCAGCCCTTTTTACTATTTTGTAAAGTGTGTTTTTGTGCTCACTGAACAGTATATCATATACATCTCCATAAATAATGTTTATCATTTTGTCATTTAGTAATATCATAGTTTTAAAATGGTTTATTTTGTCATCTCATGAATGCATAGTCTTAAAAGATATTTTATTAATTTTCTATTGTGGGACATTTGTTTTGAATTTTTCACTATAAATCACAGTGCAGGACAGAACTGCCATCTTTTCCTACTGGCCTGAGGCATTGCTGCTATCACATCCTAGTTTCCACACATACATGGGTTCGTTCTGGACTCTCTGCCCTGTTGCATTTGTCCTTCAGGCTATTTACACACCATCCCCATATTGTTTTAGTTATTATTACTTTGTCATGTGTTTCCCTGCCCCTCCAAGCCTCTGATTTATATTTTTAAATGTCTATGCTATTCTCTTACATTTTCTACTCCAGGTGCATTTTTTTCTTCAGTTTGAAAAACTCCATGAAATATCCCTAAGGTTCTTAAGGGAATTGCTTTGTATTTATAAATTACTTTGTGTAGAACTGACCTACTGGGGCTTCCCACCAGGAACACAATTTGTCTCTGTTTATTCACATCTTCCTTTGTGGCCTTCTGGACAGTTTCACAACTTTTCTTCATATCGAAAGCCTATATTTTCTAATTGATTACTCCTAGTATGTAAGAATGCTTTTGAATTTTTGAATGTTACTTTTTTATCCTCTCCATTTTTTTCTATTGAAGTGTTTGTCTTTTTCTTAGTAGTTCAGGTATTAGACTTTCTCAGGCTCTGAAGAAGCAGGTTACCTGTGGTGATGGGGTGGATGACCGCCTGCCTCATACCCACGTGTGATCACTGCACTGTGATCTTAAATCAGTCACACCGCCTTTCCACTCCAAAGTTTCATTGTCAATAAGATGATACATTTCTCCATTCCTCTCTCAGAGAAGTAGCAAAGATCAAGTCAGCAAGTACCTTCTTAATCCGCATTGCCCGACATGGTAGCTACTAATGCTAAGTGACTATTTAAATTTAAGTTAATGAAAAGTAAACAAAATTCAGAATTCAATTTTCACCTAAGGTCCCTTTGGTCACCTTCCAAGTGCTCATAGCCACATGTGGCTAGTGGCTGCATTTTCGACAACACAAAGAAAGGATACTCTCATCATTGTAGAAAGTAGGACTGGATGGCCCTGTTGAAAGCCTGGTGAAAGTACAAGTTAGGTTATCATTGCTGCTGCTGGAGGTTGGAATTCTCATATATACATGAGGAGAGGCACTCATTCACACAGGCCCACACTCCAACATCCATGGGGGCTGCCTAAGCACTCACAAAGACACTCATATTTCATCACTGTATCTAAAGCAGTCACAAAGCAAAGAAAACATAAATTAAACCTTTGAAAAATGGGAGCAAGGGTCAAATAATTGAATGCACTATTTTTCATAAATGTTACTATCTCGACCACAAATAGATTCATGAAACTTCTAATTACAGCAGCAAGAAAGTACTATTTTCTATGAAGTTGCTCATTCAGATTAGCCATTTACAAAAAAGGCATGTTATCTTCTAAACTCTAGCATCCTTTATTCATGGTCTTCAATATAGGACTTTGGGCTGTGAGCAGGATGGAGCAAAGAGCAGCCAGAGGAGAGCACCAGGAGCCTAAATCCTGCTCAGAAGGTGCCTGGATTTCTCTGGCACAAGGCAAGAAGACAGTGATGAATAACAGGTGCTCCGCCCACCACAGGACTTAATAAAGCAGCAACTAATAATAACAACAGCAAGAGCAATAGTTTCAACCATTTACTACATTCCAAGGCTCATGCTAAATGCCTTATATACCTTACTGCAGTAGCTCTTGCCAAAAGACCAATGAGGTAGGTATTTGGCATTATTCCAATTTTACAGATGCAGAGACTAGGTTCATAGAGGTTTAATAACTTACCTGAGGTCACGGGGGAAAGAGTTCAGAGTCATGGATTGAATGGAAGTATGCGTGACTTGAGAACCTATGTTCCTAATTGTCATGTTTCTCATCTCTGGTCAGGATGGTCCTAAATGGAGGAAATGATGCTACCTGCACAGGAATGTTTGGGCTCTGGTTCCATCCCCCATTCTTCTCAACCTCGGCTCCATCCTGAACTACAAGGACCTCACATGGCATGTGGACATCCCAGCCTGTACATCCAACTCCATCCACTCCCCTCCCACCTCCTATGAATAGTCCCCATGCAGGCCCTGGAAGTGGGCTCAAGGCTAGTTGTACAAGGATCTCAAGTACCCAGAGTAGGGTCTAGTGGGGAAGAGGATGGTCCCTTGGTCCCAAGACTCCCCTGTAGGGAAGGGCACAGCTGAAGGAGGATCAAAGGAGGGTCCTCTGAAGAACCATTACTCAAAGTTTGATGCTGGGACCAGCAGCATCAGCATCACCTGGGAACTTGTTAGAAATGAAAATCTGGGGGCCCCACCCCAGACCTCTTGAATCAGAAACTCTGGGATGGCAGCCAGCAGTCTGTGTTTTATTAAGCTCTCTAGGTGATTCCGACGCTAAGTTTTAAGGTATATATAGCTTGGATATTGAACCCTCCAAACCTCATGTTGAAATTTGAACCCAATATTGGAGATGGGGACTAATGGGAAGTGTTTGGGTCATAGGGATGGATTTCTCATGAATGGCTTGGTGCGCTCTTGGTGAAAATGAGTAGTTTTCACTCTGTAGAACTGATTGCTAAAAAGAACCTGGCACCTCCCTCCTCTCTGTCTTGCTTCCTTTCTCACCATATGATCTCTGCATGTGCTGACTCCCCTTTCCCTTTCACCATAAGTGGAAGCAGCCTGAGGCCCTCCGCAGATGCAGATGCTGGCACCATGATTTTTGTACAGTCTGCAACACCATGAGCCAAATAAGCCTCTTTTATGAATTACTTAGCCTCAGATATTCCTTCGTAGCAACACAAATGGACCAAGACACCTTGAGAACCACGGCTCCAGGGCAGCACTTGTTACACAAGTGTGGTCTAAGAGCCAGTGGCATCAGCATCATCTAAGAGCTTGTGAGAAATGCAAATTCTGGGCCTCCCCACAGACCTGCTGAATCAGAATTGATGAGGGCCTAGCCCAGCCATTTTTGTCTTAACATCCTCTCCACGTGATTATAAGCCATGCCCAGGCAGAAACATAGAAATTGCAGAAATCACAGGGAGGGCTTTGAACTTCCATAGGAAGTTCAAAGAATAACCTTACCTAGATTTCAAGAAGCAAGTAGACTCAAGGTCATTTTAGAACTTTCAAGGTCACGAATTATCTTCATATTTGGAGACACTCAACCTCACAGCATATTAAAAATAGCAATCAAAATATGCCCACATGGGACATAATTTATATATGATAATATAACCATGCACTGAATTTTAGTGGACTCAATGACTTAATGTTACCTTGAAAAAGATTTTGTTAATATTTTCTTTCTGAGTTTTGGAGAGTTTTTTTTTTAAACTTTCAGTTACTTTTGTAGGTCCTAGTGAAGCTTGCAGAGCTCTGGCATGGGTCTGTATTACCGAGGTCATCTTTATGAACTGGATGTAAATAGATAAGAGTGTGTGAAAGTCACTGGCTTGGCGAATGCTGGAGACACGTTCCAGGATTTTGTCCTCTGTTACTGTAGAGGGGAAAAAGCAGGACATTGTAGCTGTTTAATTTCATTGTTATTCTTTGGACAGGGGTCCAGTACACTACAAACACTGGCTGAAATTATCTAATCCATTTGAGAACCTCACACCAGGGAGGACCGCTTAAATCAAACAGGTCCGCAGAGAAATTAGTGTGAAAGGACAAGTGAATGTCAGTTCAAACCAGTGACTGGCGTTGCAGGATGAGATTTGGACTTTTAGGGCTAAACAGAAAAAACGTCCATCCTTTGGGGTTGTAATCCACGGCAGCAAGCCCTCCTCATAGACCTCAGTAAGATTCTCAGCAAAACAAATGACCTCATTAATTAAATGGGTTAGTACTCTCACCACGCTTTTCTTAATTGCTATTCTGACTTTTGGGAGAGGCATTTTCAAGCCAAATTGAACACCCAGAGCCTCCAGTAATCAATGCCACAATAAGCCCTGTGTGCTCTGAAAGCGACTGCAAAGACACCCGCACTAGATGTGCCCACAGCTTGCCTCCATCTGCTGAGGCTCCCCATGTGAGCCTAGTGCCTAAGTGCCCTACCCAACTGGCTTTGTCCTCCAACCCAGCTAGAAATCCAGAAAGTCCTTCATCATCATTCTCTCCCTACAGAAGACATTTTATTTTAATTTGAAGATATGCTCCACTTCCATTTTATCTATTGAATACGTATTATGTGAATGCCTTTGATCCTGTGCTAAGTATAAGAGATAAAGGAATAAACATCATAGGCCAAAATCACTCTTCCATGGGGCTTTTATTCTATTTGGTGAGTTTCTTCTACAGCCTTGAGTTCTGCTTGTTTTGTATGAGATGTCCCTTTTTTGTTTTATGCTACCCAACATGTATCTGTGTTGCATTTGAGAATAGTGACTTTTTCTTTTTTTTCTTTTTTTTTTTTTTTTGTTTTTTGAGACGGAGTCTCACTGTCTCCCAGGCTGTAGTGCGGTGGCACGATCTCGGCTCACTGCAAGCTCTGCCCCCTGCGTTCAAGCCATTCTCCTGCCTCAGCCTCCCTAGTAGCTGGGACTACAGGCACCCGCCACCATGCCCGGCTAAATTTTTTTTTGTATTTTTTGTAGAG
This sequence comes from Homo sapiens, assembly GCF_000001405.40. Lineage (NCBI taxonomy): Eukaryota > Metazoa > Chordata > Mammalia > Primates > Hominidae > Homo > Homo sapiens. Next base: position 10,852,380 of record NC_000017.11, on the reverse strand, counting down.
ACGGGGTTTCACCGTGTTCGCCAGGATGGTCTCGATCTCCTGACTTCATGATCTGCCCACCTCGGCCTCCCAAAGTGCTGGGATTACAGGCATGAGCCACCGTGCCTGGCCGATAGTGACTTTTTCACATGAATTTCTTTCCCCAGTGCCTAGGACTGCCTAACACATAGCAGTTGCATCAGTTAGGAATTGGTTATATTTGTTTGTAAGTAGAATTTGGTTGTAAGTGACAGAAATCCTCTCCTCCCCCCAAAAAAACATGCAGTGGCTTAAATCAGATAATGATTTTTTTTTTAATCATTTAGTTCAGGAGTAGAAGGTCCTGGGCTGTCCTGGTGGCTCCACAATATTCTCAATGCTCCAATTTCCTTTTATTTCTGTTTTCACCCTTTTTACTGCTCAGTTCCACCCACAAGACTTCTTCATTGTCCTCAGAGGGCCACTGCAGCAATAAAAGTGGCACTCACAGTCCAGACGGTAAGAAAGCAGAAGGTGTAAAGGGAAAACAAGCCAGGTATTTAGGAGGTGCTCCTGGAAGCCCCAACTGCAACTTCTCCTGGTGTTTCATTTTCCTGAACTATGTCTCAAAACCACATCCTTCTTTAAGAACGTGGTAATTTTTAAATGTTTCCACTTGGATAAACCTCCTTCTGAGAAGTGGAGCCTAACTTTTCTCCTCTTGAGTGCACACTGTACTGAGTGACTTGCTTCTAATAAATAGAATGTGGCAGAAATGATGGTGTGTGACTTCCGAGATTGAATGATAAGTGATACTGTGACCTCTTTCTAGGATCACTCATTCTGGGGAAGCAAGCTGCCACGTTGTGAGGCCACACAAGCAGCCCTGTGGAGACGTTCATACATGCAGGAACTGAGACCTCCTGCCAACAACCTGCATGAATGTCCCCAACCCATTGAAGCTAGGAATGAGCCACCTGGGAAGCAAGTCCACAGCCTCAGGCAAGCCTTCAGATGAGTTGCAGCCCAGGTCAAAGTCTTGACCACAACTTCATGAGTGACCCTGAGCTGAAAACATCAGCTAAGCTGTTCCCAAATTTTTGACACATGGAGACAATGTGAGGTAACAAATGTTTATTGTGCTAATCTGCTAATTTGGGGGATACTTTGTTACACAGCTTTAGATAACTAAAACAAAGGGAGACTATGAAATATTAATTTTGGTCATCAATGTGGCAGAGACTGCTAGTTTTCCACAAAAATCTACTTATCACTTCTTTGAGCACAGAGCTAGACTATATTTCCCCTCCTTCTTTACAGTTAAGTGTGGCCATGTGACTAAGTGCTCTCAAATGGAATGTAAATAAAAGTGATATATACCACTTGTAGGCTTGGCAAAAAGACCTGCATATGCTCCTCCAAACATTTTCCCTTCCAACCCGACTTTTCTGTTTTGCCAGATCAGTGTAGACAGTAAATGACAAGGCCATAGGAGAGAGCAGAGCCACAAATGGAAGGAGCCTGGGTCCCTGAGGAATCAAGTGGAAAAGAGTTGCCTTGACAAGGTGAAGACATGCCAAAGGTTACTATGAGAGCATGAAATAAATTTCTATTATGTTAAGCCACTGACATTTTGGAATCCTTTTCTTTTCTTTTCCTTTTTTATTTTTTATTTTTTGAGATGGAGTCGTGCTCTGTCACCCAGGCTGGAGTGCAGTGGCGTGATCTCAGCTCACTGCAACCTCTGCCTCCCAGGTTTGAGCGATTCTCCTGCCTCAGCCTCCCCAGTAGCTGGGATTACAGGCACACATCACCACGCCCAGCTTATTTTTGTATTTTTAGTAGAGACGGGGTTTCCCCATGTTGGCTAGGCTGGTCTCGAACTGGAATCCTTTCCTTATCTCAGCCTAGACTGTTCTACCAAATATAGAAATATTTCTGCCGCCCCCTTCCACCTCACCAAAATTGCAACTGTTAGAAAGAGAGATTGCAGGTGAATGCTAGAAGTCTTAGTCTCAGGAATAGTCCATGGTTAAGTATATATAGCACCTCCTGGCTGGTGCACAGAGGGAGGTCTGTCTCTGAGACTGTTCAAGGCACTCTAAAGTGGGCAGCATGATCTCCTGAGGGCAAAGTCCCTAGACCCTGCCCTCAGGAGATCATGTTGGTATCTTAAGAAAGTGAGGAGGGGAATTGGATCTTGGAGGAGAAGGAGGCGGGTGAATTGTAGGCCTGATCCTACCTCATTATCACTTCCATAGGCACCAAAGACTGATATCTAACTCAGGCTATCTCCACCCTGGGGTGTCTCTGCTCCATCAAGAAGTGTACAATCTGCCCATGTCCATTCTTATCTCCTCCTTGGCTTACGTAGAAATACTTCTTTCTTCACCCTTGCTTGAACATTTTCACCACTGTGTTGCTACCCTGAAACCCACATAAGGCTACCCAAGGGTACCTAAGGAACGACACCTTTCTGATATTTCATTCATTCATGCATGGAAGCTAACATGTACAAAGACTCTATTATGGCTGATCATAGTCTACAAGGTGCACCAAGCTCTGGCCCCTGCTTATGACTCCAGTTTCATCTGAGCCTCTTTTGCCTGGTTTTCTGACCTCCTGCCAAGTACCTTTCTAAGTCAGTCTTACCCAGGCTCAGAGCCTCCCCCTGCTAACAGGATACCAAATGCCAAGACCTTAGCTTGTAGGTCTCTATTGAAATGGTCCCTGCTCTGGGACGCCTCCATGATACTCTATGAACTAGGTCAGGTCCTCCCATGGTATAGTCTTATAGCTCCCGTACCTCTTCGTTCTAGTCACTATTGAGTAATTACTGGAGTAATGACCTATTTAATGCTTACCTTTCTCACTAGTCTGAATGCTTGGGAAGAGCAGGCACTATGTGTCTCTGATTTCCCATGCAACAGAAGCATCCTGGAGCCTGGTAGTGGGGAAACATTTCTTGAATGAATTCATGTGCTAGAGACAGGGAGGCAGGGGCTGAATCTCTTGCCCTGGAGAAGCTAAACTGACTAGAAGGGAAGGAAGCATGTAGACAAATAAACTGTTATATTTGATGAACTGTTTATCCCTTGGATTGGACTTAAAGGCAGTCCTCTTCCCAGTGAATCTGACTTAAGGAAAACTATGTTACAACAAAGATCACTCAATAGCCATAGCTCCAGAGATGCATTTCTGGACTGATCAGGGAAGAATTCATAGCTTTTCTTAAATGCAACTCGGACTGAAAAGAACTTGTTCTTATTAATTATTATTGTAATTATTCACTCACCCTTCCCCATCCCAATATATACTTAGAGATATAGCAGAGGTCCAGTGAAGGTGCCTTACTACCTTCTAATTTGTACAATTTTTCAGGCCCGTCTATGACTAATGGTGGAATCTTCAAGAAATCATGATGCATATCCTTGTTTTGGGGAGAAACAGCAGAAAGGGACTTATCCATGGTGCTTTCAAGTAGGAAACCATGACCTGAGGGAATGAGTGAATAGAATATTCCAGTGTTATTGTTGTTTGTGGCCATATAAAGCCTGCCCTGCCAATGCACTGTGGTATTCAGGGTTTTGAGAGATTCTGGACACATTTCTTTCCACTGCAAGTAGTTACAGAAACACCCTTTTGAGCAGCTTAAACAGTAAGAATGTGGACTGTCTCATGCAAGAAGTACAAAAGTAAGCTAGCTCCAGGCTGAGATGGTCTGCCTCCCAGTCTAATTCTCTGAAATTTTCTGAGCTTTGCCTGACACTACGTGTCTCTTTTTCCTTGGCCAAGTTCCTTCTGTGGTCACTGACTGTCCCTCACATCCATGGTACTTTGAAACGTTACCAAGGTCTGAGCTCTTTCCACAGCTGAGATGCTGGTGCACCACTTTGTTTTTCTGAAGGAGCCTAACATTATTCCCTTTTGCAAATATAATGCCCACAGTGCTCCAAAGAGGGAATGCTGTGTTCATCTCAGACCAAAAAATGTTCACAAGTATTCGGAATACAACCTCTACTGATGAGGCCCCTTCCATGGGGTGTGTTCACTGGTATTCTTGGTTAGAACCCACTCAGGTTGAATCCAAAGGTGTGCTTGGGCCCTGCTTTCTGAAAAGCCATGGCAGACTGGCCCAGACACTAAAAAGAATGCAAGGGCATGTCACATGGATGATGGAGCTAAGAAAAAAGTCTTAACAACAGGAAGGCCTTCTCTCCATCCACGAACATCTATGTCATTCCCCTCCACCACCCCAACACTGGGAAAGGATGTCCTGAGTTGAGAGAATGGAAGAGAATCATGGTATGCATTATTCTGCTTGGGTCATCATAACAAACTACCATAGACTGGGTGATTTAAACAACAGAAATTTACTTTCTCACAGTTCTGGAGGCTGGAAGTCCAAGATCAAGGTGCTGGTAGGGTTGGTTTCTTCTAAGTTCTCCTGAGCTTGCAGTCAGCAATCTTATCGCTGTGTCCTCACATGGCTTTCCTCTGTGTAGGCATGCACCTAGTGCCTCTTCTTCGTCTAAGGACACCAATCGTACTGGATTAAGACCCTTATAATCTTACTTAACCTTAATTACCTCTTTAACAAATACAATCACGTTGGGGGTTACGACAGCTTCAACCTATGAATTTGGGGGTGGGGGCATACTTAACACATAACAAAGAGTAAGAAGAAAACACAGACATTGGTGTTTTCCCAATACAGGGTCCCTGCAACCCACTGCCTGGCCTGAGGCCCATATTGATGAATAACTCAGTTGCATCTTGGAAAAAGTACAGCAAAGAAGAACAAATTTCTTACTCCAAGTGGAGTTCCAGAAAAGAAGCAGGGAAGTGACCAGATCCTAATGAGAGGGAGCTGTTTATATCTCTAGAGACGTATCACCTCCGATGGCTGCTCAGCAATTCTTTGTGCCCTGAGGCAGTATGGAAGCAGTAGAAGGATTTCTGAGGACCAAGAATGGGTAGAAGTAGAGATGAGAGTCTCCAACCCTGGAAAGGCCATAAAGATGGGAACAAGTGGAGGCTTAGCAGTGACCTGTGTGGTAGCAGCAGCTATGGATGACTTGAAGATCAGACTTCCACCTCTATCTCCATCTGCAGCTCCCTCACTACCACTACCACTACACCATGACCACCATCACCACCACCACCACACCCACCTCTGCCAATACCATCCACATTCATCACCATCACCAAAACCAAAGCTAACACATCCAACAACAACAGTGCTATCATCATCACACTCACCAACACTATAACCACCACCACAATCGCGACTCTCCTCATCATCACCACCTTCATCACCACTGCAACCACTTCTACCTCTGTCAGCTCTACCTTCACAACCACAGCCTGCATGGCCTCCAGCCTTTAACTTTACTGCCTCCAAGACCTCCACCACTATCTCCACCATCGCCTCTATTTCCACCACCACCACCGCCTCCATCTCCACCATCACCTCCACTTCCACCACCACCATCACCATCTCCACCATCACCTTCATTTCCACCACCACCATCACCTCCACTTCCACCACCACCACCGCCTCCATCTCCACCATCACCTCCACTTCCACCACCACCGCCTCCATCTCCACCATCACCTCCACTTCCACCACCACCATCACCATCTCCACCATCACCTTCATTTCCACCACCACCATCACCTCCACTTCCACCACCACCACCGCCTCCATCTCCACCATCACCTCCGCTTCCACCACCACCATCACCATCTCCACCATCACCTCCACTTCCACCACCACCATCACCATCTCCACCATCACCTTCATTTCCACCACCACCTTCATCTCCACCATTACCTCTATTTCCACCACCACCACCTCCATCTCCACCATCACCTTCATTTCCACCACCACCATCACCTCCACTTCCACCACCACCACCATCTCCACCATCACCTCCATTTCCACCACCACCTTCATCTCCATCAACACCTCTACTTCTACCACCATCACCACCACCTCTATCACCTCCATCACTTTTCTTTGGCTCCTATATGTCCTCCAAGCCTCATCCTAACCACCAACCTTCATTTGTTTCTTTTATTTTGTTGGGTTTCTTTCTTTTTTTTTTTTTTTTTTTTGAGACACGGTTTCACTCTCATTGCTCAGGCTGGAGTGCAGTGGTGGGATCTCTGCTCACTGCACTCTTTGCCTCCTGGGTTCAAGTGATTCTCCTGCCTCAACTTGCCGAGTAGCTGGGACTACAGGTGTGTGCCACCGCACCCGGCTAATTTTTGGATTTTTTTTTGTAGAGATGGGATTTCACCATGTTGGCTAGGCTGGTCTCGAGCTCCTGATCTCAGTTGATCCACCCACCTCGACCTCCCAAAGTGCTGAGACTAACCATTACCCTTTTGAGGAAGTCTCTCCCATCACCACCCTATGCCAATCGTCCTTTGTATTTTCTCTTTTTTAGACAAGGTCTTGCTCTGTCACTCAGGCTGGGGTGCAGTGGTGCCATCTCCTCTCACTGCAGCCTCGACTTCCTGGGCTCAGAGTATTCTCCCACCTCAGACCCCCAAGTAGCTGGGACTACACATGCGCGCTACCATGCCTGGCTAATTTTGTGGGGGCGGGGGGGGCTTTGTTTGTTTATTGTAGAGAGAAGGTTTCCCTGTCTTGCCAAGCCTCTCCTTTGTATTCTCAATTGCGCAGCACAGACATGGCTGTATTGAAGAGTTTTTGCTTCTGGATTGGAATTGTTGATTCAGTTGCCTGTTTTTTCACATAAATTGTATAGTTCTCTTTATTTCCAATGCCTAACCTAAAACAGTGTCTGGTATATAAGAGACCTATATAATCAATATTTGATGGTGAGATGCATACATGACTACATGAGTCTTTTAAATTATTTAAAAACTAGTAGGTCTTAATTATTTGACATTTTGAAATTGCAATGAATATTACCGTGAGATAGTATTTATCAGCAATGTGTAAGATTCGATTTTCTAATTTCCAGTCCACCGTGAATTACCAGGCCAGACACAGATCGCGAAGGAATAATTGAAGTCGACTTCAGATAGCAGCACTGCTCCAAGTTCACCACTAGGTGGCAGGCACACCCCAAGAGGAGGCCACCTCCGCCCTCGACCACAGCCCCGCCCTTGGGCACCGCGTCCCACTCAGCCCCAGCTCCTTCCTGGGACGCCCCCCCCCCCAGGAGGGGCAGGGGCCAGCAGATAACGATTGCCCTGGGAACTTCCCCGAAGAAAGACGCTCCTTCCTCCGCCACTCCCACTCCTACTTCTTGTAAACTCCACCAGTCTCTTCATTCTTCACGTCCCCAGCTCCCCGTCCCCACCTCCCCATACACAATTGCCCTCGCTTTAGCGCTCCCGGCTCCCGGCGCAGAGCCCAGGGGGCTGCTGTCTCCCACGTCACTGCTCAATTATATGCACCGAGAAAGAGAAGGGACAGACCTTCCTGGAGGCTCCCCCGAAGGACATCTTGAGAACTGTCTGGTGTGTGAGGCTGCAGCAGACAGGAGGAAGAGAGACAGGAACAAGGAAAAACTTCAGAAGAGTCAAGAAGAGAGAGAAAAGCAAAGCCGGAGGGAGCTGGAGGTTAAGGATAACGCCTTAGACGCTGCGTAGCCTCAAGACAGCTTACGGAGCCCAGCCAGAGTCAGGGAAGTCACCTGTACTTGGGTCTCTCAAGAGAGCCAAGAGGACCAGACCAGCAGAGACTTAGGCTCACAGAATTGCGTCTCCTTGGTCATGAACCCTGATGGGAAGGGAAAGGAGGCAAAGACAAACGTAGTGGGAGGTGGAGCAGTTGGAAGATGGTGGTCCCTCCCTGGGCTGCCTAAGTTGAGTAATTGCTTTGCATAACTTTCCTGGGCCCTGGGTTTAAAAAAAAAAAAAAAAAAAAAAAAAGGCTTCTTGCCCTCCTTGGAAGGAGCCTAGAGTCTTATGGGCAAAGGGGGCCTCGTCTCCTCCACCCCAACCCTGGGGCTGGAGCCCCTCCCTCCCAGCCTGCTTCCCTCCTTACTTCCCCTGGCTTTGCATCTTGCTCTGCTCTTGGGCGCAGTTTGGGAGGGGGCTGGGACTCCCTCTGAGCACAGTTTCCAATAGTTTCCCAAAGTTGGTGGTGTTTTCTTTCAGCTTTCTGTGTGTTTGGTTAGGACAATGAGCTACCTAATGGTTATTAGACTAATAAAAAGACACCAAAACAAACAGTGGAAGACAAGGATGTCAACATAGGCACCTCTTTGTTAGGCTTGTCACCGACAGCCAGTGCTGACAGCCCACCCCGGACTCCTTCCCATGGTTAGAACCTCACTCCCCCTCTGCACTGGCATTGGCAAGAGATACCCAGGATCCTGTGGAAACTCCTGCTCAGGGCAGTCGCCTCCTCTGAAGTTACCCTGAAGGTTCCTATTTGCTCATTCCCCTGCCTTGGCGTGGGCGGGAGGGAGAGTGTAGCTGGGTTGCAAGTTCAGTTGCTCCCGAGATCTGCTACAAAGAAAGTGACTTTGTTCCAAAGCTAGCTCAGGGGAAGAAGCACAGGCTTCCTGCCTTAAGGGTACGGCTTCTCTTTTGGAAGAGAAAGCAGGGGTTTTTAGAAGGGGATTTTGCACGCGTGGTATGCAGGGGAGGAAACAAGCAGGTGGGGGTCTGCGTAACTTCCAGTGCCTTATCTATATGTGCCTTATCTACAGGGCTGCCTTACCAGAAGTGGTCAAGTTGGTGCCATCGCAGGCAGAACTAGGTTGTAAAGTGGCCTTGTCTCGAGGTGCTCTTCAGATGAGAGAGAGTTTTGTAGCAGGCATACTTTTGGTTGTAAATTGGCTTTTGTCTGTCAAGGCAAACTCCTGGTGGGAAAGGTTTCCACTCTGGAGCTTTTAAATACGCACACAGTTAGATAAGCTTACCCTATAGGCAGTGTCTGGTGAAGGGAAGGTAAAAGGTTATAACTGCATTCCTAAAGAGCTAAGTAGGAAGTGGGGCACAGGAGAAGAGGAGGAAAGAGGAAAAAAAAGAGAAAATATAATTTTAAATATTAACTTATTATCCCTTAGAAAATGAGAGTACTGGCCGGGCACGGTGGCTCACGCCTGTAATCCCAGCATTTTGGGAGGCCTGAGGCGGGTGGATCACGAGGTAGGAGATCGAGACCATCCTGGCCAACATGATGAAACCCCATCTCTGCTAAAACTACAAAAAATTAGCCGGGCATGGTGGCAGGCACCTGTAGTCCCAGCTACTCAGGAGGCTGAGGCAGGAGAATCGCTTGACCTGGGAGGCGGAGGTTGCAGTGAGCCGAGATTGCGCCACTATACTCCAGCCCGGGAGACAGAGCAAGACTCTGTCTCAAAAAAAAAAAAAAAGAAAGAAAGAAAAAAGAAAAGAAAAGAAAAGAAAAGAAAAGAAAATGGGAGCACTCAGTTAGAAGGGGATTTTGGAAATGACCATGGCATTCAGAGTCTTTTGGCTCAGTAACCAGTTCCAGCATCACAAGGGAGAAGCAAACAGAAAATGTAGCTCCTGGCCGAACGGCATGTGGGCCAAAGCCCTCTATGCATTGCCAGGTACCTTATGAATATTCATGTGACTCCTTATTCACCATTGACTGGGCACCCCTCCTGGGCCAAGGCATTGTACTAGGATCCAGGGCCACAGTGGAAATTGAGACACGGCCCTTGCAAAATGCAGGCAAGTGATAAATGGCACCGTGAGGAAGCAGGCAGCCAAATCTGGAATGAGGGAAGTTCTCTAAGACAGAAGTCCTGTGTCTTCAATAAATAAATGTTATGAATAGAAGAGGGAAAGGCTGTTAGAGGCCAAAAGAAGTGCTGGAGGCAGACCTACTAAAAGTAATCACTGGAACTTGCTGGGATCCTGCTTTGAAGAAACCTGACTCTAAAAGGGTGGTTTCGAGGCTGGGCACGGTGGCTCACAACTGTAACCCCAGCACTTCGGGAGGCCAAGGCAGGAGGATCGCTTGAAGCCGGGAGTTCGAGACCAGCCTGGGCAACAAAGTGAGACTCTCTCTACAAAAAAATTTAAAAATTAGCCAGGCGTGGTGGCGGGTGCTTGTGATACCAGCTACTCGGGAGGCTGAGATGGAAGACTCTCTTGAGCCCAGGAAATCCAGGCTGCAGTGAGCCATAATTGCACCACTGCATTCCAGCTTGGGCAACAAAGCAAGACCCTGTTTCAAAAGCAAAAAAAAAAAAAAAAACAACGTTGTTTTGAGACAATCAAGGGAATGTGAATGTGGAATGGGTATTCACTTTAAGAATGCTTCAACTTCATGTATGGTTATGATGGCACTGTGGTTATTATTTCAAAAAAGAAGGAAGGAGGTCATCTGTTAGGGAAACACAACTCTCTATTTGCAAGGCTTTACTGAAGAAGAGACGTATAGAATTAACTTTAAAATACTAAGTGAAATAAAGTATCTTGACCAATGTGGGGGTTAGGAGTGCCAACCTCTGTGCAGTAAAAACGTCATATGTAAGTTTTGACTCCCCCAAACTTAATTATTAATATCCTATCATTGACCAGAGGCCTTACTGATAAGATGAAGAGTCAATTAACATATAAATGCAACAGTATCTACTCATATATATATATATTTTTTTTTTGAGATGGAGTCTTGCTCTGTTGCCCAGGCTGGAGAGCAGTGGTGTGATCTCGGCTCACTGCAACCTCCACCTCCCGGGTTCACACCATTCTCCTGACTCAGCCTTCCAAGTAGGTGGGACTACAGGGGCCTGCCAGCACGCCTGGCTAATTTTTTTTTTTTTTTGTATTTTTAGTAGAGATGGGGTTTCACTGTGTGAGCCAGGATGGTCTCAATCTCCTGACTTCGTGATCCACCCACCTCGGCCTCCCAAGTGAGCCATGGTGCCCAGCCAGTATCTACTCATATTTTATGCATTTATGACATATCTATCTTTTTTCTTAATTTTTTCAATATTTCTAGGCTATGCAGTTTGTATGTAGGTTTCTTCAAATCGTCACAAGTCTCAAAAAAGTCAATATATTTATGGAAGAAATATCCAGGCCAGGCATGGTGGCTCATTCCTTGTAATCTCAGCACTGTGGGAAGCCCAGGCAGGAGGATCGCTTAAAGATGGAAGTTCAAGACCAGCCTGGGCAACATAGCAAGACACCATCTCTACAGAAAAATTAAAAGTTAGCCAGACATGGTGGCATGTGCCTGTGTTCCTAGTTACTCAGGAGGCTAAGGTGGGAGGATCGCTTGAGCCCAGGAACTCGAGGCTGCAGTGAGCTGGGATAGTGCCACTGCACTCCAGCCTGGAAGACAGGCAGACCCTATCTCAAAGAAGAAAAATTGCCAACATATAAGTGGACCCTCGAAGTTCAAACTTGTGTTGTTCTCAAGGGTCAACTGTACATACACAAGGGAGACATATGAAAAAGAATGAACGTTGATAATTGTTGAAGCTGGATTGTGGAAGTTCATTAGGTAACGTGCGCACGTGTGTGTGTTTAAAATTTTTCGTAATAAGCACTTTTTATTAAAAAAAAAAAAAACTATTCCAAGGAGTTTAGGGGATGCAAGTAGGGGACAGACAGACAGTCATCAAGAAGTATAATAGAGCAGAAGAGCGAAGGCCCAGAGGCTGTGCAGGGCCAAGGCCAGACTGACTGCGTCAGCTAAATGAAGATGGGCTAGGCGCGGTGGCTCACGCCTGTAATTCCAGCACTTTGGGAGGCTGAGGCGGGCAGATTGCTTGAGCCCAGGAGTTCAAGACCAGCCTGGACAACATGGTGAAACCCCATCTCTACAAAAAAAATACAAACAAAAAAATTAGCCAGGCATGGTGGTGCACATCTATAATCTCAGCTACTGGGAGGCTGAGGAGGGAGAATCATTTGCATCTGGGAGTCAAGGCTGCAGTGAGCCAAGATCACGCCAATGCACTCCAGCCTGGGAAACAGGAGTGAGACCTTGTCTCAAAAATAAATACATACATACATATGTACATAAAGATTGACAGAAAGAACATTCCAGAAGGAGACAGCCCACGTGCACAGGGACGGATGTTCCAAATGACATGCCACTGCCCAAAAGTGTTTACTAAGGAAACCAATTCATCTGGTTTGCTTGGAACTTTCATGGTTTTAGCACTGAAAGTCCCACATTTCAGGAAATCCATCAGTACCCAGTGAGCCTGGATGGCTGGTCATCCTACCTTACCACTGTCTCGTGCAACACTGGACTGGCCAGGTGAGGGGGCACAGCGCTGAGCAGGAGCAGCTACAGGGTGGAGAGTTAGGGCACTGTGGATAAGAGGCTAAGAGCCATCCCCAGGCAGTGACCATCCCTGCTCCCATTCCCTTCAACACCACAGCTGCAGTAGCGGCCTCTTCATCCCGGGACACTGGAGTCAGCTGCCCAGGGACCATGATGGCTCCTCATGCCTCCTCATCTGTCCTGCTAGGAAGGGGGTCTGCAGACAGAACAGCTTCTACCCCGGACATGTTCTCCTCTGATGCTTGCTGCCCCTCCAATTTACATTTATATTTAAATATGTACTTATACACATGTGCATTATGTGCATATATATTATGTATATATTCTTTAAGCACTTGCTATGAGCATTTTCTCATTTAATCTTCATAAAAGCTCTGTGATGTAGTAATGATCCCACTCAATGAATACATGAGGAAATTAAGGCCCAGAGAAGTAATTCGTCCAAGGCCAAATACAGAGATAGCAATATACCTCACATGGCTACCTCATGGAGTTGTATGGGAAATAAGTGAATTGCTATATATATAAAGTGCTTAGAAGAGTGCCTGACATGGAGGGAGTGATGAATAAGGGTTTAACTTAGGATGGTATTACTCTGCCACACTGCCGTGCCCTGCAGAGGGTGGGGGAATAGCCCGAACTTTGTAAAAATAAATAAATAAATCATTTGATTATTTGCATTGCAAAATAATTCACTCTAGGGTTCCTCTGCGAGCCAGGCCACTTGGTTTTACAAACTGATTTGAGTATAAAGTCAGAGGCACCTAAGGCAAAGCAACTCACATCCTCAAAAACCTTCAAAGTCAAGTTCCCCTGGACACTCAAGGCAGGCCTCTCCCTGCTCATTGCCCTGAGCAGAGACGCTCATCTTCACAGAGGACAGAGGGCGTACTCAGCCTGATCCCTCACAGCAGCTCAGGGGACAGGCTCATCCTCCTAGCTCTCTGCTTCTCTAGGCATGGATCACACAGCAACCTCTACAGAGCCTTCTAGGCTCAGAATCTCCTGCTCATTGCACAGATGAGGAACTCAAGATGCCAAATATGGGAGAGTCTCATACCTGCCTTGACAGCAGCTTCCTTGGATGGCTCCTAGGAAAGCCCTCCCGGCAGACCACAGAGGAAGCCCCTCAGGGTACTGTTCCCAGTAGCAAGGATGCCCACCCACCAGTTATCCTGAGGAACAACAGCTGCCCACGTTCTCAGGTTAGTGTGGGCCAGGGCAGGAGCCAGCATGCCTTCCAGAATCATAGGCAATTTTGCTGACCTCAGTGTATCCGTCAGCATCTTGAGAACTGGCCACTCAACAGCTCACACCCAGCTTCCCGAAGCACAGTCTGGTAAAGGTTTATAGAGGAGAAAACCTTTTCATCCTCCTTGCACTGATTTGCATCATTCTCTTCTCATCATTGTGGCAGCAGGCATCCCATAAAAAGCAACAGGGCACCATGAGGAATGATTGGAAGAGCGATGGGGAACAAGCTCTTTTGCCTCTATTTGAGATGTCAGGCCTGGGATGGAGGTAAGTCGTGTTGTGGGCTCCTGGCAGTTTGTAACATAGGGTGCCCACCCGTGCATTGGAAAGTTCCAAGAAGTGTCCCTGCCATCTTGCAACCAAGGATGTTTTCTAAGTCTGCATGTGCCCCCTCCAACATCCAGAACACAGAGAGTTCCCAGATCAAATTATTAAGGCCTGCACTGAACAGAGCCAGTGTAGCCTGAGTCAGCCGGAGGGTCTGATCCACTCTTTGGCAACTCATCCCCACCACCATGGCCACTACACACCTCCACCAACCCAGAAACTCCAGGTCCTCTGATTTCTGAGCCTGGGTCAGGAGAAGCTGCCCTGCCCAGGCACCAACGGAACGCACGCCTCCATGAAACTTGAAGACAGACTGCAGAGAAGCATCATGAATTTTTCACAAGATTCATCTAATTGTGGCTGAGCAGAGCTGAGAAAGCCACAGTCCGAGGACCCATGCCAGCAGCTCACAAAGAGTTAACCCATTAGGCCATTGCCTGGTGAGCTCATCCATCCCTGCTGGAGCCTGCTCAGTTGCTGGGATTCACAACACACTGACTTCTGGACGTGGTCAGGGTGGCTTTCTCTGGCTGGCATGGACTTGAGCAGAAACTCATTGCCGGCTTCCTCCTTGCACGAGCACCAAGTGATTCCCAGGTCCCCCATCCTCCCCTGGGACATCGAGGACAGTAAGTAAGGAGGGAATGTTTCCTTCTGCCCTTCCTTCCATCTCGCTGAAGGAAGGAGCAGATTTTAACTTTGCTTTGGAGCGTGTTGTCTTTAAACTGGGGTTGGAAGGCAAGCATGAACAACAAGCGGAGAAAAGGGGGCTATGCCCTGGGAGGGGGTGAAGTCAGCCTGGAGGCACTGCCTGCTGAGGGTCTTGGCAGACAGTGGTGGCCAGAGGAAGGGGGGCCGCCCCTTGCTGTGTACTGGGAAGAAGGGAATTTGTGGGCAGAGAGCTGCTTCAGTCCTGCGTCTATAGCATCCAGCCTTCACTCTTAGCAGCCATTGTGGGAAGGGCTGGGCAGGGACTCTCCTCCCAAATCTAAGTGGAAGAAGCAAAAAAGCCAGACAGGAAAGTGCAAGGCCACCCCCAGACCCCAGAGTACATGGGTGGAATCTCGGACCCCAGCCGTCCTCCTGAGCACCCTGTGTCAGACCTCTGCAGCTGCCAATGTCTTCCTCCTGCAGCTGTGGCAGGTGTCTGGGGCAGGTGCCAGAAAAACAAGGTGGAGTGCGTTGGCTGCCTCGGGAGTTTTATCTCAGACAGGGGGAACAAGGCAGGCACATGCAAACACGGACAAAGACGTGGCTCAGTCAGGCAACTGTGTGCCGTGAGAACCCTGCATCCGGGTAAAGCCAGCCGTGGTCACACACGCAATCGCCCGAGCTATTTTTCTACCCTGTCACTGGCCAGGGTCTGGGCACCAGCCGGGTGGCCCAACAAGGGAGGTGGGTGGCACCCTCTAGGTTGACTGTGACCTTTGGGAAACTTCCCTTCCTAGAAGCGCTATGAGCAGGTGACAGATGGGTGGCCATGGCCATGGTGACAGCAGCGGCTTACTCAGAAACCCTCTAGCTTCTATTAGCCCAGACACTTGGCCCCCACTCACCTTATCAGAGGGGTGGACAGTCACCAACTGAATGTCCTGGTGAGGGGAAGACAGCACCGCCAGAGAAGATAAGGGACCGTGGGGATGACCACTGGCAAGCTGGAGCTGGGTGGGGCCTTAATGGGGACTCCGTGAGGGAAACAGGAGGACCCTCCACTTCTTACCACTCTGGGTCTTCCACAGGAATAATACATGGTGTTATTCCCACCACTTCCATCCTGCCTTCCCCGCTTCTCCCCCAGACTCCCCTCGCTGGGCCCAGCCTCCCAGCAGTGAGGTAATGTGTGCCTCTCTCCTCTGCTTTCAGCTCTTGCAACTTCCAGAACAGCCCAGGTGCTATCAGAGCTCTCTAGATGGTGGGGCCTGAGGGGCAGAAGCTCAGGAAGGGCCAGATAACTCCAGGCCCAAGCACAGCAGCACAGCGGGATCTCTTACAATATTAGGGGTGCCAGATGTATTGCGAGATGCCCAGTTCAATTTGAATTTGTCAAACAACAAATACATTTTTTGCATGCGTTGGTCCCATGCAATACTGGAACATTCTTACATGAAAAAAACTATCCGTTGTTGATCTGAGGCTGAACTGTAACTGGACACCTTGTAGTTTTATTCTCTAAATCTGACAACCCTCTTAATACCAACTGTATTTCAGCACGTTCGAAGGAGGACAGCACCAGGAAAAGGCTGGGGAGTGAGTTCAGAGGTGGAGATGTACAGGTGTAGGGTGGTAGAATGCAAGGAAGGCGGTGAAGAAAACAAGAAGAAAAAAAGGCAGGGCCCTCTCCTTGAGAAAGCATAAATAAAAGAGCAGGATTGGCCGGGTGCAGTAGCTCACGCCTGTAATCCTAGCACTTTGGGAAGCTGAGGGAGGTGGATCACCTGAGGTCAGGAGTTCGAGGCCAGCCTGGCCAACATGGCAAAATCCCGTCTCTACTAAAAATTCAAAAATTAGGCAGGCGTGGTGGCATGCACCTGTAATCCCAGCTACTCAGGAGGCTGAGGCAGGAGAATAGCTTGAACCTGGGAGGTGGAGGTTGCAGTGAGCTAAGATCACACCACTTCACTCTAGCCTGGGCAAAAGAGCGAAACTCCATCTCAAAAAAAAAAAAAAAAATCAGGATTTGGAGGCTGGCAGCTCTGAGCCTGTGCTCCTAGCTGCAAAATGGGAATGATAATAGTATTACCCTCCTAAAGCAGAGGATTAAAAGAGACTCCCCAGGCGAAGAAAGTGGCACATGCCAGGCATCTTACGTTGGATTTGTGGCATGGTGACAGTGGTGACTTTAAGGCCACTGTGCCACAGGCCCCTTGCTGGCCTCTTGCTGCTTGCTGGCCCCAGCTCGGGGACCCCGGCGTCCTTGGCAGCTCTAACCAACAGTCCTAGGCCTATCTCCTCAGCCAAGGCTGCAGTTCTGTTCACTATGTCCCACTTTGGGCATCCTCCCCACTTGCTTTTCCCATAATTTGAAAATAAACGTTAAAACCGCCCCAAGGAGGGGCGGAATAGACTTGAACACAGAGTCTGGGCCAGGCTGGCTGCAAAACTCACATTCCAATCCAGATGCTCTCCTCATCTGTGAGTCATCTTGGGCAAGTCACTTATACCTTTCTGATCCTCAGTTTCCTCACCTGCAAAGTGGGGCAAGAATATAGCTTCCCCATAGGAGTGACTGGGTGGGAGGATGAAATGAGGCAATGCAGACAAAGCATTTAGCGTGGCTCCCACCACACACTAAGCATTTGATAAATGGTAGTTTTTATTATTGTATAAAAAGCACCTGCCCTCCCCAGCCGCATGGCTTCTTTGGCTTTGGAGAAGCAGCTGAGGTACATTGGAGATTTTTGTAGGAACTTCGGCCAGCAGAAGGAAGCCTGCCTTGGCGAGGTGAGCGGTCACTTAGGCCAAAGAATGGAGGCAGGGAGGAGTTGGTCAGTGTGTCCTGCCTTTGCCCCTTCACAGCTGCCTCCATGCCACCTTGTGAGCTACTTCCATCCTAACACCTGGCTGTAATATCAAAGGGAGATTTTTACAACCACCGGGTGGGAAGGAACAGGACCAGTGACTTGGTAAAGCGGTGCTAGTCAGGTTCTAACCTTCTGTAGTTAAAAAAAAAAAAAAAACAAACAACGCTGGGCGCAGTGGCTCACGTCTGTAATCCCAGCACTTTGGGAGGCCAAGGCAGGCAGATCATGAGGTCAGGAGATTGAGACCATCCTGGCTAACACGGTGAAGCCCCATCTCTACTAAAAATAGAAAAAATTAGCCAGGCATGGTGGCGGTGCCTGTAGTCCCAGCTACTCGGGAGGCTGAGGCAGGAGAATGGCGTGAACCCGGGAGGCAGAGGTTGCTGTGAGCTGAGATCTCGCCATTGCTCTCCAGCCTGGGCAACAGAGCAAAACTCTGTCTCAAAAAAAGAAAAAGAAAAAGAAATGCACAGATCTAACAGCACCATATTGACAAATGGGTCCCTCATGCAAACCCCACCAATGTCACTGCATAGAACATGTCCATCGACCCTGGGAAATTTCCTCGTGTATATTCCAGTTGGTTCCTCCTCAAGCCCCACAACAATTTTCTGAGCTTTGCCACCTTAATTAGTTCTTAGCTGGCTTCAGAATGCCAGGTAGATGGAAACATGCCATATAGGTACTCTTTCATATCCGATCTCTTCCACCCAGCATGTCTGTGTGGCTCATCCATGCTGTTGTGCGCTTCAGAAGTTAGCTCCTTTCTACTGCTTAGTAACATTCCATTGTGTGATTATACAACCATTTATCCTTTCTTCTGTTGAGGGACATTTGGGTTGTTTTCTTTTTCTTTTTCTTTTTTTTCTTTTTTATTTTTGCTATTATGAATAAAGCTTTTATGACTATTCTTAAAGAAGTCTTTTTGCAGACATGCCTTTTCATTTCTCTGGGACAAATAAACATTTGGAAGTGGAACTGCTGGGTCAAAGGGTAGATGTATATTTAACTTTGTAAAAAACAACCGATTTTACATTCCCACCAGCTCGGGTTGTTCCACGTTCACACCAACCTACGGTATTGTGAGATTTTCCCATTTTATCTATTGTAGTGCATGTGTGGTGATGTCTCGTTGTGGCTTTAATTTGTATTTTCCTGTTAAACATCAATGTCAAGCACTTTTTCCTGGGTTCCTTGTTCACTTGTTATATGTAATGTTTATTTAAACATTTGGCCCATTTTAACTGGGCTCTTTGTCTATTAATCATATGTAGCATTGACAGATACTTTTTTTTTTTTGAGATGGAATCTCGCCCCATTGCCCAGGCTGGAGTGCAGTGGCGAGATCTCGGCTCACTGCAACTTCCATCTGCCAGTTTCAAGTGATTCTCATGCCTCAGCCTCCCGAGTTGCTGGGATTATAGGCGTGCACCACCACACCCAGCTGATTTTTTGTATTTTTAGCAGAGACAGAGTTTCACCATGTTGGCCAGGCTGGTCTCGAACTCCTGACCTCAAGTGATCTGCTGCCTCGGCCTTTCAAAGTGCTAGGATTAGATTGCAGGTATGAACGACTGTGCACAGCCCAGATACATATTTTGTAAATATTTTGTCACAGTTCAGAGTTTGCCTATTCATTTCCTTCATGGTGTCATCTAATGAGCAGGCATTTTAAATTTTGATGATATCTATTTTATTGATTTTTTTTTCTGTCTCTATCTTGTCTACAAAATCTATGCCTGTCCCCAGGTCACAAAGATTTTTCTCCTGTGGTTTCCCCAAAAATCTTTATAGTTTTACCTTTTACATTTAGGTTAGACCCAGGATCCAGCTCTAGTTTTTGTTGATGACGTCAAGTGGGATCAAGTTTCATTCTTTTTTCCATGTGAATATCCAGTTGTTCCAGCACCATTTGTTGAAATGACTTTCCTTTCCACGTTGAATTGCTTTGATGCATTTGTTGAAAGTCAATTGTCCTCTGTGTTTTTTCCACCCTCTTCCCTTCCCTTTTCTTGTCTGGCATCCCTGTCCCTACCACATATCCATGTAAGAGGTGAATAAGTTATTTCTTTAAACCAGGAAGTGGGCCCCAAGTTATACAGTCAGGGATCATCACTCCGGGGTTCTGGGCCTGTCAGGTGGATCCCCAGACCCCCTCTCATCCTCTTAGCACTAAGGGTCTATGCAGTTGATTTGACCTTAGAGGTCAGCAACTACCTAGGGAAAACCAGTGCTGTTTGGGGGATGGAAGGTCACAGAGCTCTAGGGATAAATCTGCTTATGGAAAAGGGAAAGGAATCATGGTTCACACTGAGGCTGAGACGTATCCAAGTCCATGTTCAAACTTCCCTAATTATCCCCAGTGCCTTTGTACAATTGGCTTGTTCTAATCAGAATCCAAAGGAAGGAACGTATTGCATTTAGTTATATCTTTTAATTGTCTTTGTTTAAGCATTTTATTGACATAGATTGCACACACACAAAAACGGTCACAACTCAAGTGTACTGTGCCAGTAGTACACACCCTTGTAGCCAGCTGCTAGGTCAGGAATCAGAACATAGCCAGGTGTGGTGGCTCACGCCTGTAATCCCAGCATTTTGGGAGGCTGAGGTGGGCGGATCACGTGAGGTTGGGAGTTCGAGACCAGCCTGACCAACATAGAGAAACCCCATCTCTACTAAAAAATACAAAATTAGCTGGGTATGGTGGCACATGCCTGTAATCCCAGCTACTTGGGAGGCTGAGGCAGGAGAATCACTTGAACCCAGGAGGCGGCGGTTGCGGTGAGCCGAGATCGTGCCATTGCACTCCAGCCTGGGCAACAAGAGCAAAACTCCGACTCAAAAAAAAAAAGAATCAGAACGTTGCCAGCACCTCAAAAGTCCCCATTTCAGTCACTACCCCCACCAAAGGCAGCCACTATCCTAAGCTCTCATAGCATAGACTGTTTTACACATATTTGAATTTTACGGAAATGAGATCACATCGCATGCATTCTTTCTCTGTCTGGCTTCTCGTTGCTGTATAGTCCCAGACTGGCACTGTTTCTTGGTGCCAGCCTGCAGCCTGCTCAGCTTGGTTGTGTACTGTAATTAAGTCCCCACCCACTAACTCAGCCTTCTGAAGCTCCAAACTGGCCTCCAGGGGAGAAGGACCCATCCGCCCTTCTCCAGTTGCTGCCCTGCAGGCGAGCTGACATTCAAATCTGAGGTGAGTCCAGGAGGCCCTGCAACTCCAGGCTTCTCCTGCTCCTCCATAGGCCCATCCTCTCTGGGGCCTCAGTCCTTGCCCAGTCTGGGGCATCAGGACCTTAAAGGAAACTGAGTATACTTATTTTTTAGGGCTGCCATGACAAATTGCCACAGACTTGGTGACTTGAAACAACAGAAATTGAAGGTCTCACATTCTTAGAGGCCAGAAGTCTAAAATTAAGGTGTTAGTGGGGTTGGGTCTTTCCAGAGGCTCAGAGGGAGAATTCACTCCTTGCCTCTCTCCCAGCCTCGAGCAACCCTTGGCATGCCTTGGTTTGTAGAAACATTCCTTCCATCTCTCCTCTGCACATAGCCTTCCCCTCTGTGTGTCAAATTCCCTTCTCCCTTCTCTTAGAAGGAAGATGCCAATCATTGGATTTAGAACCCACTCTCACTCAGGATGTTTTAATCTCAAGATCCTTATCTTGATTGTATCTGCAGTGACCCTTATTCCAAATAAGGTCACATTCTGAGGTTCTGGGTAGACATATCTTTTGGGGGCCACAATTCAACTCCCTACAGTGAGTGAAGGATCTCCTGAATCACACAAACCAAACTACCAGTAACTTAATTGAAGCGGAAAAGGGTGGTTCTCACTGGACCAGCCCCCTGAGTGTTACCTTGTCCCCGACAGAGCTGCAGCATCTGGGCCACATCCTCTGAGCAACTGCCAAGTGCCAGGCTGTGAGCCAGGTGCCATGGGGTAGAAGATGAGGAAGCCCAGCCTCTATCCTGAATTTTCAAGCTAGGCAGGAGGAAAGGCTGGCCAGAGCAGCCTTTGATCCACCACATTGATCTTGCCTACCCCAGGGGACCTTTGCAATGTCTGGAGATATATTTTATTGTGATGATAACAACAGGGAGGAAGAGGTACTGTTGGCATCTAGTGGGTAGAGACCAGGAATGTTGCTAACTATCCTACAATACAAACATCCTACAATCCTATAGTCTGCCACAGCAATCCATTTTCCAATCCACAATGCCAACAGTGCCATTGTTAAAAAGCCCTGGTATACAGAAAAAATGGAATCTTATTGGGGCTTTAATAAAATGTTATAAAACTCCTACAGCCCATGAATTGGTGATTTTCTGAAAACCTCAATTTTCAGATTTCAAGCTGATTCATTACCTATAGACTTATCTGAAATAGCTAAGAAAACTCCTTCATTTTATAAATGGAAAAACAGAGACCCAGAAAGAAAATAATTGCAATGGCAACCAAGGCCATTTCCTGAACACGTAGAATGTGTCAGACAATATAGCAGTGTTATTTGAAATTTGACTGTACCGCAACCCTATGAGGTAGACACTCCATTATCCCTGTTTTATATGGGGCTCGTAAGGCTCAGGGGCTGAAGTAACCTGACCGAGGTCCCACAGCATGTAAGTGGCAAACTGTGTTCAAATTGTGGTCACTCTGATGCCAAAGACCTGGGTCTTTCCATCACAAGCAGCTTCTGCAAGTAAGTTTAGTGACTTGCTGGAACTGTGAATAAGTAGGCTTAATTCTTCCCAGTACAGAGTTCCACTCACAGCCCTGCCCTGCCTGCCTGCTTCTGTTTATAGATGCTCCTTGCCTTTTGCCTGGTCACAGTTACAGAGAGTAGCGTGGGAGGGAGAGGAGGGTAGGCATTCCCTCTGCTCAGGGGAAGAGAACTGCTTCTCTTTCAGTCATTGCCTAGAAGTGCCTCCCTGCCCATTCACTCTCCCAAAGACACATCCTCCCTCCCAACAAATGAATAGTTGCTTTTCTTTGGGATTTCATGGACCATTGCAGATAGATGATGATGATAGATAGATAGATAGATAGATAGATAGATAGATAGATAGATAGACAGACAGACATCTACATAGTGGACAATTTTTTTCTGAGCAGTTACTAACAAAACCAATGATCCTCTTCCATCATAATTATTTCATAAAATGAAGACTATTCTAATGCCAAGGAAGGACTCCACTCCATTACATTATGATCTCAGAATAAAAAATAGTCCTTCGAACTGAATAAATGTAACATTATGAAAAACTTACAACAGAATTCTTCTTTCTCACGTCACGTAGTGGGTCAATGTTAGGGGATTATGAATCTAAGTCATTCTGTATTCATTGAGAGATTATTTTACTACAGGATGGAGCCACAAAGTGATAATCTCAAGATTCTTGTAGTTGAGGAACCTTTGGGACCCATCCAGACTAGCTGCTGTGCAGTGCAAGGAGCTTTGAGGCCGAAGACCTTGGCCTGATGTGGGGGTTGGTATAGTTCGCCAAGCTCCTAAACCCCACTGGGCCTCAGTCTCTGCCCCTAGAAAATGAGACTGAACTAGCGACCGCGTTGCAGAGCCAGAAAGAAGGTCTTAGTTACTTCCAGCAAGGCCCATTTTCCTCTCTCAGAATCTACAGTCCAATGTCCCTGCAGTGGCCCCAGCCTCCAGTTCAACACTTCCTGTTCCTGAGCCCCCTCACTCCCAGATGGCAGCTCCCAGGAGCAAGCCCTTCCCCTGCCCAGCCCCAGCTATCTTCTCTGGCACCACTGAGAATCACTGCATTTAATTCCTTCATCACAACCTTTCCAGCCTCAGGAAACAGCCATCATATCGCCCCATGTCTTCACGGAAACGGGATCGAAATGACTACTGAGAAAAATAAATTCTGCTGAAGATGATCAAACATCCTCATATGAGACCAGGTTGCAGTAAGCAGCACAAGGTCTCCTAACAGCTTTATGAACCCATCCCTACCCCCAAGCCCACAGGGGGAAAAAAATCACCTTTTAAATGGCTACTTTGCTTATGCAAATATACCACAGGCTCCAAAGGGAAGCACACACTGGGTGCCTACAGTTACAAAAGCACCTTGTAATATTTTCAGAGTCTTAGGAAGCAGAGATCCAAACTGTAACATTACCAAGGCCAAATTCCGAAGGCCTTGGTTACAACTCCTATTTCCCCCTGTTAATGGTGAGGGATCTGTAACTGCTTGTTCTAGAGAATGGAATCATTATTCTTGGGGTCAGGGAAGACACTAGTTCAGAAAAGTTCAGGCCTGAGCAGTGAGGGTTGGAATGAACAGGTTGGAGGGACTCCGCTGAAATTGACGTCGTCGGAAGGATTGAAGGAGAACGCATTCAGTAAAGGACTCCTCTCTGTGTAACATGTGTCTGGAGCTGGTGGCTCCCAAGCCCTGATACATGTTACATTTATCTGCAACCTGCCCCTTCCTCTTGACCAAGGTTTCATGGTGACCAGGATGAATAGCCCACCTTCCCCAATACAATTTTTTTGCTATGGAAAGAAATCTCCCACATCCCACTCATAAATAGAGATATTTGTAAATGCTGACATGAGTGGGGCGTTGAGTAGCCCAACAGGAAACAGAAGAAGAAGCCAGAGGAGGAATCGCAGGATTCTTGGCCAGGAAAGAGGGTAGAAGCCAAGGTCCAGAGGCCAAGGTCTCCTTCTTCATCTGAAGAGGCAGAAAGAGCAGAAGCCTCGGAGAGCTGCTTAAGGAAAGTCATCCCAAGCAGGCAAGGGACCCTCAGAGAACAGCCAGAGAGCTTGAGGACTCGGGGTACAGGAGGAGAGAGCCTGTGGGCTCTGTCCCAGAGAGCAGCAACCGCCTGAGCTTACTGCAGGGGAGGCACCAGGCTCCTGCTAGAAGATAAATAAGTGTGTAAGTGGTTTCTATATAAGTGGAGCAGGTCCTGTGTTTGTCCTTAGCAACCAGTGGAAGGAAGAGGAAGGGAAAGAAGGGAGAGAGAGTTGTTCATTTACTTACTCATTCAATTAAAGATGTGTAAAATCTCTTGGGTACAAAGCAATGTACAGACACCTTGGAGACATTTGAAAGATGAATCAGGGCAGTAACTTTGTGAAACCTCCAGGCAGGGAACCTGGGCTCTCTCAAACAGAACCTATCCTCAGGAAAGTACCTAATATCAGTCATTTACATCTTATTATCTTGTTGTAAATATATAGACCTTTGCCTTGAACCCACATTTCTGATTATGAAATGAAAGGCTTTAATCTAGGCTGGGTGCGGTGGCTCACACCTGTAATCCCAGCACTTTGGGAGGCTAAGGAGGGTGGATCACCTGAGGTCAGGAGTTCAAGACCAGCCTGACCAACATGGTGAAACCCTGTCCCTACTAAAAATACAAAAATTAGCTGCGTGTGGTGGTGGGCACCTGTAATTCCAACTACTCAGGAGGCTGAGGCAGGAGAGTGGCTTGAACCTGGGAGGCGGAGGTTGCAGTGAGCCAAGATCGCACCACTGCACTCCAGCCTGGGCAACAAGAGCAAAACTCCACTTCAAAAAAAAAAAAAAAAAAAAAAAAAAGAAAAGAAAAAGAAAGAAAAGAAAGAAATGCTTTAATCGGACATGAAAAGAATTTGAGAAAGCACTGGTCTGGTGAAGTATTTGGCGGGCAAGCAGTGCTTCTCTGCAGCCCAGCCCTGAAATTGCTCCACATGGGTGACCATCTACCTCCCCTGAGTCAGGGTCAGTGATGAGGGAGCCCCAGTGGCTGAGAGCTATGCAGATGGGCTCTCGATTAGACCCTGGGGTGGGCAATTGAGTGAGACTCCATACCTTTCCAGGCCTGAGAATAGGAAGCTGGAAATTGGCCTTGATGTAATTAACATGGAGGGTAGGGAAGGGTGGCGTTTAGATCTTAGAAGGTTGCACTGTGGGGGCCAGGCACAGTGGCTCATGCTTGTAATCCCAGCACTTTGGGAGGCCAAGACAGGTAGATCACCTGAGGTCAGGAGTTCAAGACCAGCCTGACCAATATGGAGAAACCCCATCTCTACTAAAAATACAAAATTAACTGGGTGTGGTGGTGCATGCCTGTAATCCCCACTACTCAGGAGGCTGAGGCAGGAGGATCGTTTGAACCCGGGAGGCGGAGGGTGCGGTCAGCTGAGATCACGCCATTGCACTCCTGCCTGGGCAACAAGAGTGAAACTCCATCTCAAAAAAAAAAAGAAGGTTGCACTGTGAACCTGTGACATCACTGTCCTCTGCTGACAGAGCACGTGAAAGCCCAGGCTGCACGAAACGGTGTTCTCCAGACTACGCATAGCCTGGTAGGAGTGACAGGGTTCAAATCTGAGCTCAGGCTGTTCCTTATCGTGTGATCTTCAAGAAGTTGCTTCACCTCTCTGAAGCTTCACTATCTCATCAGTAAAACAGGACTAATGCCTAATTCACAGGTTTATTGTCAGGTTTCAATTTAACAAAGGAAGTGTTTGATGCAGTGTCTGGCACAGGACACACATGCAGAATTTATCTGTAAAGCATCACTCTTCTAATAGACAAACGATATCATTTATGGAGTATTTGCCATATGCTAGGCATTATTTCAATGCATTACATCCCTTAACTCACACCGTTTTGAAAATTCTATGAAAGAAGTAACATTATCCTCATCTTATAGATAAGAAAACTGAGACAAAGAGAGGTTGAGTAATTCCATCAAGATCAGACAACTAGAAAGTGGTTGGGTCTGAAAATAAAATGCCATTCAACAAAATATAGCTGGCCGGGTGCGGTGGCTCATGCCTGTAATCCCAGCACTTTGGGAGGCCGAGGCAGGTGGATAACTTGAGGTCAGGAGTTCGAGACCAGCCTGGCCAACATGGTGGAAACCCGTCTCTACTAAGAATACACAAATTAGCCAGGCTTCATGGCAGGTGCCTGGAATCACAGCTACTCAGGAGGCTGAGGCAGGAGAATCACTTGAACCCGGGAGGTGGAGGTTGCAGTGAGCTGAGGTCACGGCCACTGCACTCCAGCCTGGGTGACAAAGGGAGACTCCATCTAAAAAAAAAAACAAGCAAACAAACAAAAAACTATAACTTGTTTGTTTCTAAAATGGCATCACTGTTCCTTGTTTTAAATATTAAAAGCTATTGAATAAAATGTTATAATATTTATCTCTTGCAAGAAAAAAAAATTATACCAGCTTGGGTGGTTTCTTATTTATGTGAATTTCATTTCATTTTCTTTTTTGGCTTCAGCACAAAAACCTTGTTCACCCTCCACTGAGAGCGGGGCTAGAGATGGATGCTGAGTACAGGAAGGGTGTGTGAGGATTCCTTTGGCTCCACTCTTGTTTCCAACTATTGCTGGTCCTAGGCGCCCAGTCCTGAGCAACCATGACGATGGAGACTCTCCCCAAGGTTCTAGAGGTCGATGAGAAGTCTCCAGAAGCCAAGGACCTGCTGCCCAGCCAGACCGCCAGCTCCCTGTGCATCAGCTCCAGGAGCGAGTCTGTCTGGACCACCACCCCCAGGAGTAACTGGGAAATCTACCGCAAGCCCATCGTTATCATGTCAGTGGGCGGTGCCATCCTGCTTTTCGGCGTGGTCATCACCTGCTTGGCCTACACCTTGAAGCTGAGTGACAAGAGTCTCTCCATCCTCAAAATGGTAGGGCCTGGCTTCCTGTCCCTGGGACTCATGATGCTGGTGTGCGGGCTGGTGTGGGTGCCCATCATCAAAAAGAAACAGAAGCACAGACAGAAGTCGAATTTCTTACGCAGCCTCAAGTCCTTCTTCCTGACTCGCTGATGGTGGTTTCCGCATCTCCCTGCCACCTTGACTGGGAGAAGATCTGATGACCAACATCCGACATCCCTGTCTCCTCTGTGGGGTGCCATAAAACTGATCCAGGAAAATGCTCTTCCTGACCCTGTGGGGAAGATAGAGCTTGGGGCTCCACCCTCCATGCAGCCGGGAATGTTGCCAGATGTATCCACTTGATCTCTATTCTGACTGATGCTTCCTTGGATCCCGGCTGTGGCCTTCCCTTTGGTCACTCTAACCCCCTGCCCCTGCATCCAGGCATCATTCATCCAACTCTCTCTGCCAAGTGCAATGCATGCTGGGAAATTCTTCGAAGGTGGGCTATGCCCAAGGGAGAACCTCATGTTTACATATCTGAGTGCCAGAGCTGGATTCTTCATTTGCATACTTCTGGAACCAAAACTGACCCACGGAGGTCCTTTACAGAGGAGGGAGGGATGGCTGAGCTCTGACCCATTGGGTTTGACAGCCCTAGCTCCCTTAGCAGACTTTCAAGATCACAAGTATCAAACATTCCAAAGACTGAACAATGAAGGGAGGCCTGGGAAAAATACTCTCCAAGATGGCACGTGCCCCTGGACATGACAACATGACTCTAGGGGTTAGTCAGCTGAAGAAGTTTAGTTCCTAATTATATAATATTTACATCAGAGGCAGTGGGGTAGGCTAGGGGATGTCACTGTTTCCGCTTGACCTTATCTTTCTCATTGACCACTGTCTTCTCTGAACTTGATCATTAGCCAAGGACAAAATGCATGTTGCCCTAATTTCTTTCCTACCCCTGCCTCTATCTCTGCATCTAGAACAGCTAAATGGAAAGATACAGAGGGATCCTGTAAGGTTGTTTTCCCTTTCACGTCCATCAAGATCAAAATTGAGAGAATCAAGTTCCATATCTGAATGATCTGTAGGTTTCTAGAGATGGAATTCACGTCAGAAAATTCCAACTTCTGTTATCCCTGCCCCCACCCACCAAAAAAGCCAACATTTATTAAGTGTCGCATTCTGGGATAAGCCCTGGCTGGGGGCAAGACACGGTCCCTGATGTCTTCTTGCTTCCCGAGGTGAGAGAGGCAGCCAAGCCAACTGGCGAAATGTGGGTGGGTGTGGGAACACAGGCGGTGTCTACCCTAGACTTGATAGAGGACGGAGAAATTCCTGGAGGCCATGTCCTCCAACCCAAAAACAAAAGGAAAGATAAGAGTTACCAAAGAGGGGAAAGAATGGCATTGGAAGCAGCAGGAGCTGCTATGCGTGTGCAGGAGTAGCTTGGGGAAGGAGAAGCATGATGGAATTAGGAAACTGCACGGCCATTTGTCTGACCTCCCAGATGTTTTTACTTCATCCCTCTCTTTCCCGGCTTCCCACCTCTTCACCAAGTGCCTAGCGCAGCTTCTCCTGGAGGCACATTGAGGGCCTCCTGGTGTCTATGGTAGAGACGGGAAGTGGGTTTCCAGAGGGCCTGGCAAGCAAAGAGTCCCTGAGAAGTGCTTCTGTAACTCCCTGTGGCAACCAAGAGGCCCGTAGGTGAAAGAACAGAAGCAGTACCTGTGAGGGAGCCAGCCACGCTGCCCTAGGCCAAAGACCCCTGGAGAGCATTTGGTAATGAGGTGTGAGAGGAGAGCATCCTGCACCAGAATCACCCTTGTCTTGAGCTAATTCTCTTCACTCCTCAGCCTTGTGGCCTTCCCAGTCACCATGGCCCTCCAGATATCCCCATCCTGCATGGCAGTTCCATATGCAGAGCCAGAATCCATCCTTGTTCCTTCTGCATTGTGAGAAAATCCATGGAGGAAAGCACTTGTGTCATGGGGACCACCCCTACCTGACCCACCCACGGAGTCAGAGTTTGGGGAACTCATGGCCGTTGAGGCTCACCCAGGATGGCCATAGCCTTCATGGAGACCCATGCCAGTGTGGCCATGTCTCTAGCTCACCTCTAGCCCTGCACACAGGTGGTCAGGACCAATCTTGGGAGTGTTGCAAGTGCTATGTCGTTAATTGTAGTTTTAGTGCCTCAGTGACAAACCTTGCAGATCATTTCCCTTCTTCTGAGATGAATGCAGATTTGATGGCCCTATAATATTACTCTTGCATTCCTCGATGCATTCTTAAATGGGAGCAAATGGGATGGGCCCCAGATCACTCACTGGAAACCCACACTCCAGGTGCCTCATTTCCTCTGCCCAGGAGATTGTAGCCTGGGCACAGCTATATGAGGAGGGCCCATTTGGATACTGCTATCATGGATGTCTTAGTGGAAGGAAGTTTAGGGATAACCACAACTCTAGAAGTCCAGGTTCTGGACTCACTTTGCAGACTCTAGCAGTACCTGCCTCCATTCCCTGCCCACTCAAGCTAGTTTCTCAGCAAAGAGAATATGAGGAAATATCCCCAAACATCGTCATCCCCACTGGGATCCTCCACATGAGTGTGGGCTGGAAAGGTTCCAGGGTCACACTGAGGCAGGACATTTTTTGCCAATGCCTGTTACCCCATGGAAGGCTGAGGTACGGATGCACCTGATCTGGAAATGCAGCCCAGGTCAGACTCCACATTTCTGCAACAAAGCATCACCTGCAATGACTCTTTTCACGTCAGTGGGTCAAAGGACAGAACCAGCTTCCGTGTTTTAGGCTCACTAGATTGTCTCATGCTCCCCATGGCTATTCTGTTTGGGAGAATTTGATCTAACCCGAAGCCTAAAGGAATCAATGTAATGTTGAATTGTATTCTATGTAACACTGTCTGCTGTGTTTTCATTCTTCTCTTCAGGAATTTCAAGACCATGTCCACCAATTAATTCATCTAAAATGCACCCCACCCTCCATTGCCACACATCCTTCTCCCCAGATTGCTGCCTGGGAGAAAATGGACAGGATGGATTTTGTGCATGGTTCCTCAGGCATCTTGTAGGAGCTGATGACCCTACTCTGAGATGCTGATGGGGCAGAGACCAGCAGCTTCCAACTCTTTCCATCCTCACAAGCCAAGTATTGAGACCAAAAAAAGAGATATCGAGAAAGAACCATCCAGAATGAATCAGTGTTTTGGGGCAAGGCAGGCAGCTGCTCCAGGGTCAGCCTATCAATGTCCCCAGTAACTGACAAGAGCAGGCACAAGGAGCAGGTGCAGTTCAGCTCCCCAGGTCTCCTTTCTTCTAAGCCCCTTCTCCTCATCTCCTGTGCTGGCCTCCTCTGCCCCTCCAGCCTTTTAATCCTGACTCTCTTACACTTGGCTTCCCACCAAACTCACTGTGGCCTTGACTTTCTGCTTGCACTAGCTGGCTCAATCCATAAAGGAAATAAGAAAGCAACTGGTGGTATGTCTGGGTAGAGCAAAGGATATTTTATTCCTCCTTCAATTCCTGCAACATTGCCAGAGTCATGACCCCCCACCCTTCTTGACCCTCATACCCATCTCCTCACTATCTCCTGCACTCAAAGATCAGAGGGCACCAGAAAACCAAAACCCAGAGCTCCAAACATGTCTGATATTAAATGTGGGCAAGGAAACTACCCAGGGGGTGTACCTGGGGATGCTGCTGGGTGGCAACAACCCTGTGCCATGGGGGTTTGGAGGGTAGGGTTGGGGAGGGGAGGACAGAAGAAGGAGGGGTGCTCAGAGGCGATTGGCAAGGAGGCATTCTGGGGTGGTGTCTGAAGAGCAGAGGAATGAAATGATGACTGTTTATTGGGTGTTCACTACATGCCTGAAGCTGATCTAAGCACTTTATTCATTGACTCATTCAATCCTTTCCAAAATCCTGTCCTGAAATACTGTTACCATCATCCTCACTTTACAGGTGAGATAAGTAATGCACAGGGACATCAAGCTAGGACAGCATGATTGAAACCCAGCTGGTCTAGTTGCAGAGGCCACGCCCATACCCTCCACCTCCACACAGCTCTCTAAAGGCCTCTAAGGAGCAGCAGAAGGCACCGGCATCAACAAGGTGGGGAAAGTGGAAAGGGAGCTGAGGTCACCAGACAGGCTGGGAGGGCACACCAGGCAGGGGCCCAGGACGGGGGTAAAATTCCTGGCCAGGAGCCCAGAAGGGAAGACAAAAGGAGCCACCAGCCAGGAAGAAGCCCGCATTCTGAGCACCTCCTCTGTGCCAGACCCTGTGCTGGGGGCTTTCACACAGTTTAGTTTGTTCTTTTTCTCCCCTGTATGCAAACCTTTGTAGCACCTTTTCCAGTTAAGTAAATGGGGCTTAGAAAAGTAAGTTACATGCCCCAGGTCTCAGCCTATAAGCACCAGTCAGAGGCATAAGCCCACGGCTACCTCCAGAGCTCATATGCTCTCATATCCTGAGCTCCAGGCCATAAGCATGAGGTTCCATTCTATGGGCATGGTCACGGGCAGGAATGGGGGCTCCAATCACCACACTGTCAAAGCAAGGTGGCCTTGGTACATACAGCCTTTGTTCCAGGGGCCAGGCTCACTTACTGAGCAGCAGGAGGATTCAGGACCTGCTGACACAGGTTGTGTTCACATTGCATCACATTATAGGCCAAGTTCATAACCCCTCATAAGGCTAAGACCACCTCCCACAGGGAGTGCCTAGAAGCAAAGGGGCAATCAAGATCCAATACCATGCTGGGCATGGAGGCTCACACCTGTAATCCCAGCACTGTGGGATGCCGAGGCAGGCAGATCCCTCGAGGTCAGGCATTCAAGACCAGCCTGGCCAACATGGTGAAACCCCATCTCTACCAAAAATACAAAAATTAGCAGGGCGTGGTAGCAAGCACCTGTAATCCCAGCTACTTGGGAGGCTGAAGCAGGAGAATCGCTTGACCCCTGGAGGCAGAGTCTGCAGTGAGCCAAGATGGTGCCACTGCACTCCAGCCTGGGCAACAGATGGAGACTCCATCTCAAAAAATAAAAAATAAAAAAGACCAAATACCACTTCTCCAGAGAAGAGCTGCTGAGCACCTGGTCTTCCCACAGGCAGAGGTGCTTTAGGGGCCACTTGCTCTGTTCCTTCATTCTCAAAAGACCCTCCCTCTATCTCTCAAGACTAGAGAGGAGTCACTGAAGGACCTTGGGCTTGGTACTGAAGGGCCTTGACCCTACTACACCAGCTCCTGGAAAGAAGCCCCACCCCGCAGAAACCAAGGCAGACAATTGCCCTCCCAGGTCCTACCTTCATTCCCATCCCCAGAGCCCTGAGCCTGTGCTCCTAGCACCTGCAAGGAGGTCCAGTTCCTATTGGCCGTTTCCTCCTATCCAGACCTGCACAGAGCTCCAGGCACTCCACCAGCCCAGCTGGGCTCTGGCTCTGTGCAGTCAGCTTCCCCTGGTCTCCATGGGAGGTGGGGGGAGTCCTCTATGGCTAAGGGACAGTGCTCACGTCTGTGGACTACAGGTGCAGGAAAGAGAGATTGCAGGCCTTCTCCAAGTCCAGGTCTCCTATTCCAAAGAGAACGAAGTTTAGGTAAAGGTCACCTCCAAAATAAGACCATCTCCCACTGCACAGCAGGGCTCTCTGGCAAAACCACCAAAGTGACTGCAAAGAGGAGGGGGAGTGATGGCCAGTGGCCCCTCTGATAATCATGTAGACCATGTTGGGCTCTTTTTCAATCAATAAAGGAATGTAAGTATCAATCATCGTCCTTTTCCTGTGGGGTTGCATGGGAGGAAGACCTGAAAGAGAAGGGAAGCAGATTCTATTCAGGCAGCCTTTGCCTATCTCATTCCCTAGGGCCTGGGGACCTTCCCTTCCTCTGATCCCTTTCTCAGACATGGTCTCTGATCCCTCCCTCAAGAGTAGCTGTTAGCCTAGCATTTCAAGGCCCCGAGTACCTGCCATGCACCAGACATCAAAACTGGAGATGCTGTGAGAAAGATGAGCTCTCATCTCAGAAAGCAATCAAGAGAGTCCCCAGAGGAGAGAAGCAAGGAGATCATCAGTTAGGATGGAGACAGAGGGAGGACAGAATGCACAGAGGGTGTGTGCCCAAGTCATTCTGGCTCCAGGCTGCCTTTCCAGCTCTCTAGAATGGAGATATGATAGGTGTTCACGTAGGGGTGGGAGGTGAGAGGAAAGGAATGGGGAGATGGAGGGGGTGGGGACTGGGAGCTGCCTGTGGGTTAGTAGGAGAACCCCAGCCTATAAAAAGCAATGCCCTTTTGATTCTATTCACACCTCTATTTCACGGTCTTGCTTTTTGCTGTTTCCTTGGAAACCTGTCCATCATAGCCTTCGATTGTGTTGTGCAGCTGTCATGTCTAAGGAAGGCACTTAGGGGGATCAGTGTCTCCCCACATGTCCCCATCTGGCTACACTTCTAAGTCCTGAGACCCAGCCATCAAAGAAACAGCAGTGCAATTTTTTCCCTTTCCTGGAATGTTGGTCTCCCAGAAGATTCTTCCCTAGATTCCGTCTCTTCCTCATTCTAAATAATTCTCTGAATGATTTTGTCCATGACAATGGCTTCAGTTATTCTCTGCGTGTTGGTGACTTTGCAAAACATACATCTAAATGCCTACTGAATATACAGTGTTAGCCTCCTATTGTGATTATAAAATAAAAAGGAACACCATAACTTTAGTAGCTTAAACCAACAAAAATTTATTTCTCACAGTTCTGGAGGTGAGTAGTCCAACATGGATCTCACAGGGCTAAAGCCCAGGTACAGGCAGGGTTGTGTCCTTCTGGAGTCTCTAGGGGAGAATCTGTTCCTTGCTTTTTTCAGCTTCTGGAGGCCGCCTGCAGTCCCTGGTTTGAGACCCCTTCCATCTTCGTAGCCAATGTCCACAGAAGACGGCTGGTGTTCTTATGTCATCACAGCTTTTCTCCGGCCCTCCTGCCTCTGTCTTTCATTTATAAGGACCCCTATGTGATGCTGTATATTGGGCACTTATATTGAGACCTTACATTGGGCCCTCCTGGATGGCCCAGGATAACCCCCAATCTCAAAATCCTTTTATGAGTCTGCTCAGGCTGCCATGACAAAGTGCCGAGACTGGATGGCTTAAACACCAGAAATTTGTTTTCTCACAGTTCTGTGGGCCAGAAGTCGGAGAGCAAGGTGTCAGCAGGTTTGGTTTCTTCTGAGGGCTCTCTGTTTGGCTTGCAGATGGCCGTCTTCTCCCTGTGTGTCCATGTGGTCCTTTCTCAGTATGTGTCTGTTCCTTAATCTCATCTTCTTACAGGGACACCAGGCAGATTTGATTAGGGCCCACCCTCATGACAACATTAACCTAATGACCGCTTTAAACACTCTGTCTCCAAATACAGTCCAATTCTGAGGTGCTGGGGATTCAAATTTTAATATAAGAATTTGGGGGCAATGCAGTTCAGCCCATAACACCCCTTAATCACAACTCAAAGTCCCTTTTGCCATATATAGTAACCTACTCATAAATTCCAGGGACCTGGATTTGGACATCTTTAGGGGGCCATTGTTCTGCCTACAACAAAAACCTTCACCTTAATGCCTCCAGCAGCGTATACTCGACCTGCCTCAGACTGAATTCCTCCTCTTCCTTCTTCTGTGTCGCCTGTCTCAGGAAACAACACCACCATTCAGTACCATTTAGCCAATTGCCCAAGCCAGAAATCTGGTTTTCTGGAGGAAATGTCAGAGACAACTACTTGCCTGTTGAATATCCTTTTCCCCCATCTTCTTTGGTAATAAAACCTCTAGTTTTTTTGAAGGCAGCAATATGCCTGGCTAAAGTATGATCCTTCCTAGATTCCCCAGCCTCCCTCATGACAGCAGTTGACCAATGAGATGTGTCTGGAAATCCTTAGTTGGAGGCCAAAAAAGCTCTCCGTCTGCCACAAGCTCTTCACCTGCCGGATGCTGCTGTCCCTTCACCCTTGCTTCTTTGGATGCAGACCCAATGGCTGGAGCTGCAGCTGCCATCCTGGGACCACTAACTGACCTTGAGAATAAAAGCCATTGTCAAGGAGGGTGGAGCAGAAAGTTATAAGATGCCTGTGACCTTCAAGACATCCAGGGAGCAACTGCACTGCCCAACCCCAGGCTACTCTTACAGAAGATAAACATAAAATTTTATCTTATTTAAGTCACCATTATTTTTGGTCTGTTACTTGCAGCCAACTGCAATTCCTACTTAGGTGACATGACTGGGAGAAGTTATTTTCTTCTTCTGAGTTTTGAATATGATTTGATTAGGTCCTGAACTGATATACTTAGAGCAAAGACTCTCATAAGTAAGTTCTGAATCAATGACATTTTATATTTGGCTGTCATCTATTTCAAAGCATTCCTCCAGTCTCTAAGGAAAGAGAAAATAGAGAAAAAAGTCAAAGCATCATGACTTTGATGGTTCCAGTCCTCTTCCCCTCCTATCTCTGAGGCTGCAGGAACTTTCTCACACTAGACATCCAGGTGGTGGACAGGGAAGAGTGGGGTTCACACAGGGCACCCAGCTTTCTCAGTGGCCTCTCAGGCTGGCCCACCCCTTCTAAGAGCTGAGGCAGGGGTGGGTGAAAGAGGGTGGTGAGGAGGAATTGTATTGGAGGAGACACCGCTCTCTCTCTCTCTTCCAGGTCTCAATCTCTGCGGTTGTCAAAATTAAGATTACCTAACCTTACCAAATGTACAGCATCATGTATGTTTAAGAGTTGACTCTGGGCCAGGCGTGGTGGCTCACACCTGTAATCCCAGCACTTTAGGAGGCCGAGGCTGGTGGATCACGAGGTCAGGAGATTGACACCATCCTGGCCAACATGGTGAAACCCCATCTCTACTAAAAATACAAAAATTAGCTGGGTGTGGTGGTGTGCACCTGTAATCCCAGCTACTCGGGAGGCTGAGGCAGGAGAATCACTTGAACCTGGGAGGCAGAGGTTGCAGTGAGCTGAGATCACACCACCGCACTCCAGCCTGGGCAACAGAGTGAGACTCTGCCTCAAAAAAATAAAAAGAGTCGACTCTGGAGGCGGCCCACCAGGTCTCACACCCCCTCAGGGCTTCCCAGCTGTTTGACCCTGAGTAACTTACTACAACCTGGAAGAGGGCCCTCACCAAACTCCAGCCAAGCTGGCTCCCTGATCTTGAACTTCCAGCCTCCAGAAATGTGAGAAATAGATGACTGTTGCCCATAATATAAGCCACTCAGTCCATAGCACTTTGTAACAGCAGCCTGAACTAACTAAAACAGTAGGCATTCAGTAAAATGCAGATATTGTTATTATCTTTGTCAGAAGAAGAGAGAATTTCAGG
This sequence comes from Homo sapiens, assembly GCF_000001405.40. Classification (NCBI taxonomy): domain Eukaryota; kingdom Metazoa; phylum Chordata; class Mammalia; order Primates; family Hominidae; genus Homo; species Homo sapiens. The sequence goes on along the minus strand of NC_000017.11, from coordinate 10,816,010 downwards.
CTACAACAATAATGCAAGAATTCCCAAATCATCGATAAAAATAGCTTTACATTTGAACATGTAAAACCATATATAGATTGTTTCGGGTAGGACATAGATATCTGATTTCAAACAAAGGCTACAACATTTTGGCAACCAAGTGCAGGGTCTTACCCGTAACATTACTGTAATTATTAGAGATCCTCTTAAGACCCAGACTAATTTGCACGTGCACATTTTTACTTAGAATTTTGCTCAGAATCCAAGTAAGAACCTCACAAAAGTCAGGTAAGAACTTCAAGTAAATAATTCTGGGAGCAATTGCCAAACTCCCCTGGTGCCTATGCACGGGTAAGAGGGAAGAAGAGGCCAGTGGAACGTGCCTGCAGGAATTGCCATCCCTCAGGGGAGAGGGCGTGGCTGCTTTCTGGGACAGGCAGGGAAACCAGACTAGCAACTGGCACCAGGCATGACCCATGGTCAAGGCCAGAGCAGCTGCTTTCAGGTTCACCCCAACAAACAGATGAAAGGGAGCGGGGCTGGCCCCTGGGAGAGCCTGTGTGTGTGAGAAGAGACAGGCCAAGGTAGGTGTGGGTGGAGCCCACATGAGCTGCTGGAGAATGAGGAGTGGCTGCTCAGTCTGGAGGAGGAAGGGGTGGCCAGGGCTTGAGGCTGATGCCGATGTGGGAAAGGCATGGGATGGCTTACAAAGCTTTCTCCCATAAGGCCTCTGAAAGACCACACTGTTCCATTCATCCACTCAGTGAGTAGCTATGGAGCACCGGAGCACACGGCCTCAGTGCTGAGCTGGGCCCTGGAGAGAGGAAGGGTGTGAACAAAACAGACAAAAGTTCCTGCATTCTAGAACTTTCCCCTGCCAGGAGCAGACAGGCCACAAACAAGGACACCATCAAATGAGGAAGATGCTGTCGGAGAGTGATGAGGACTGTGAAGCCGAGAAACTGGGTGAAGGAGAGAGACGAGCGGGGGCTACTTAAGATTCTGGCTGTAGGAGGCCTCTCTGGAGAGGCAGCATTTGTGCTCAGACCTGAATGAAGAGGAGGCAGCCACGTGAAGATCTCGGATAGAACATTCCAGAAGAGGGAAGGGGAAAACAAGGGCAGAGTGGCTCCCTGCAGAGAGAAGGCAAGCAGTGTGAGTTGGAGACCACGTCTCACCTCTTTCTACCTCCCCTCTCTCCTCTCCACGCTGCCGGATGAGCCTTGTCAGTCCACCATGTTGGTCTGACTCACAGCCCTGTTGGGTGATGCCTCTCATTTGGTTGTTCTTCCCGATCTCTTTGGTTCACATGGCTGAAGGGTGTTCTGTTTTGTTTTTTTCTAATTTCTTATGATGTCTAGTAGCTTTTAAATCAAGTTTGGAAATCAAAATACAGTGAAGTTGTAGTTCTACAAAATGAATAAATTCTAGAAATATGCTGTACAGCACGGTGTATTGTGTGCTTAAAACTTTATTAAGAGGGTAGATATGATGATAAGTGTCTCAGGAGTCACCATTAGCACCCAGCTTTGCAAAACAGAAAGCTGGTAGTCCACAATAACCCCTTCCCTTTCCCTCATCCCACATTGCATCCACCACGGAGTTCTGTTGACTTCACTCCCCTGCAGGCTCTCAAATTGATCCACCTCTGTGGAAAGAGAGGTGTCTTTACTGTCCTCACCTTCCTCCTATCAGCTCAGCTGCAACTGTGCTTGCTGTTTGCCACACTCCCCTCTGATCTCAGCCCCTTCCAATCTGTTCTCTGTACAGCAGCCTCCTTAAAAAAATATGGATTGCTTGGGTGGGTTCCAAGTCTTTGCTATTGTAAATAGTGCTGCAATAAACATATGTATGCATGTGTCTTTATAGTAGAATGATTTATAATCCTTTGGGTGTATACTCAGTAATGGGATTTCTGGGTCAAATGTATCCCAGAACTTAAAGTAAAATTAAAAAAAAAAATTTTTTTTTGAGATGGAATCTTGCTCTGTCACCCAGGCTGGAGTGCAGTGGCGTGACCTCAGCTCACCACAACCTCTGCCTCCCGGGTTCAAGCGGTTCTCCTGCCTCAGCCACCCGAGTAGCTGGGATTACAGGCACGCACCACCACGCCTGGCTAGTTTTTGTATTTTTAGTAGAGACGGTGTTTCACCATGTTGGTCAGGCTGGTCTTGATCTCCTGACCTCTTGATCTGCCCGCCTCGGCCTCCAAAAGTGCTGGGATTACAGGCATGAGCCATTGCGCCTAGCCAAATAAAAAATTTTTTAAAAAATTTAAAAAATAAAAAATAAAATAGGGATCACATCCCCTACTGATTAAAACTCTCCAACAGCTTCCCAACACTCCTAGAAGAAAGATGTTAGCACGATTCTTTGCCCCTTCCTCCTCTCTGTCCCAGCCACACGGCAGGGCCATCTACCACCATCAGTGCTTTCATACACTCCTGCCTTACCTGGGAGCCTCTTCACACCCCTTTCCCTGGCCTCGCCTGCCCATCCTTTGAATCTCAGTTCCAACAGCAGAGCCTCAGGGAAGCCTTGGTCAGTGCCCTCTTTATCACATTCTCATAGATCATGGTCCTTCACCTCTGGCTGCTGATCTCTCATCTCTGTCATATTTACATGTTAATTTACATGATTAGTTCATGTCTGCTTTTCCACTGTCTTTCCTCTTCCTCCCTCTCCCCATTTTTTTTTTTTTTTGAGACGGAGACTTGCTCTGTCGCCCAGGCTGGAGTGCAGTGGCGTGATCTCAGCTCACTGCAAGCTCTGTCTCCCGGGTTCACGCCATTCTCCTGCCTCAGCCTCCCAAGTAGCTGGGACTACAGGTGGCTCCCACCACGTCTGGCTAATTTTTTGTATTTTTGAGTGGAGATGGGGTTTCACCATGTTAGCCAGGATGGTCTCGATCTCCTGACCTCATGATCCGCCCGCCTCAGCCTCCCAAAGCCTCTCCCCACTTTAGGCTCCCTGAAGGCAGGCGCCATATTCCTCTTGCTTGCTTATACCTGGCTTTGCACATCTTTAAAGACATCTTGGCAGCTTAGGAGTGCTGGACCCCAGCTCCAGTAGGAGGTCATGGCTAGAGAGGCAGTTAGGCCTGAAGCTCTAGCTCTGAAGCTCTGGGTGGAGCTGCCTGGGCAGGGCCTCTGGAACTTGGCACTGGGCCTGGCTGCGGGAGGAAGGGGGTGACAGCCAAGACCTCTGGCAGCTTAACCCTGGAACTTTGCAAGCAGGCTTTGCACCTGATTGCTCCTGGGGCAATCCAGCGATGCCAGAAAATGGTGACAGAAATATCGGCTTTAACGCCTAACCCAGCTGCTCTCATGGTGGTGATGCCTCAGGATTTCCATCTCAACATCTTGTACAATGTGCCCAGCAATGAACTTGGAGCTGAGTGTCAGCAGAAACAGGCAGCAAAAATAAACTGGTGTGGAAGGGACCCACATTCACAGTAGACCACTGAAGCGCTGGATTTCCCGGCATCATGGGACTTCAAGGTATTATCGTGGAAGCAATTTGCTTTGATGGGAGGTAGCTGGGAGACTACCTCCCCAGAAATGGGAGGAAGGAAGAGAGGAACAACACAGAGGCACTTTGAGTAGAGCTGAGTAGAGTTGGGGAGATTTGGCGAAGCAGCCTCAGCTTTTCCAATAAACTGGGAATGTCCCAGGAATTATAAAGAATGCATCTATTCAGTGAACACCAGGTGCTGGGCTACCAAGGAGAAGGCAGGGATGCTTGTACTGACAGGGATGCCCAGCCTCATGAGGGGGGCAGAAAACTAAACAAACTACTTGGATCAATGTAACGAGGACTAGTATAAAAGTACATAGGAATCCAGTTTTCACTTTAGGATAAGATAACTATTATCAAGAAAACAGAAAACAACCAATTTTGGTGAGGATATAAAGAGACTAGAACCCTCCTAGATCACTGATGGGATTGTAAAATGGTGCAGCCACTGTGGAAAGTGAATGGGATCCTCACATGAGAATGGGTTCCTCCAAAAATTAAACATAGGCTGGGCACAGTGGCTCATGCCTCGAATCCCAGAACTTTGGGAGGCCGAGGCAGGCAGATCACCTGAGGTCAGGAGTTCAAGACCAGCCTGGGTAACATGGTGAAACCCTGTCTCTACTAAAAATACAAAAATTAGCTGGGCCTGGTGGCGCACACCTGTGATCCCAGCTACTCAGGAGGCTGAGGCAGGAGAATCACTTGAACCCAGGCGGCAGAAGTTGCAGTGAACCGAGATAGCACCAGTGCACTCCAGCCTGGGAAACAGAGCGAGAGTCCGCCTCAAAAAAAAAAAAATTAAACATAGAATTACCATATGATCCAGCAATTCTACTTCTGGGTATATACACTCATACCAAAAGGAATCAAAAGCTCGGATTCAAATGGATATTTTTATACCCATGGTTATAGCAGCATCATTCACAATAGCCAAGAGGTGGAAGCAAACCTAGTGTCCACCCACAGGTGAATGGATACATAAAATGTGGTAAATACACGCAATGGAGCGTTATTTAGCCTTAAAAGGTAGAACATTCTGACACATGCTACAACACGGATGAACCTTGAGGACTCTATGCTAAGAAAAAGAAGCCAGTTACCAAAGGACAAGTATAGTATGATTTCAATTACATGAGGTAGGTAGAGTAGTCAAACTCACAGAGACAGAAAGCAGAATGGTGGTTGCAGGGGCTTATGGGAAGGCAGTCTGGGGGGTTAGTATGTAATGTGCACAGAGCTTCATTTCAGGACAATAAAAATGTTCTGGAGGTGGATGGTGGCGATAGTGGCACAATGCGAATGCACTTAATGCCACTGAACTGTACACTTAAAAATGGTTAAGGCAGCAAATTGTTAGTCACATACATTTTCTACAATGAAAATAAATAATTTTTAATTAAAAACTTAATTAAAGGCCAGGCACAGTGGCTCATGCCTTAATCTCAGCACTTTAGGAGGCCGAGGCAGGTGACTCAACTGAAGTCGGGTGTTTGAGACCAGCCTGACCCATATGGTGAAATCCTATCTCTACTAAAAATACAAAAATTAGCCAGGTGTGGTGGCGTGTGCCTGTAATCCCAGCTACTTGGGAGGCTGAGGCAGGAGAATCTCTTGAACCCAAGAGGCGGAGGTTGCAGTGAGCCAAGATCGTGCTACTGCACTCCAGCCTGGCCTGGGCAGTAGAGTGAGACTCCGTCTCAAAAAAAAAAATTAATTAAATGGGAATAAGAAAGAAACTAACTTGATTATCTGAGGATTTGGGAAACAACTGACACAAGGGTGGGGAAGAGGAAAGGGAGAAGAGTTGGTATTTGTATTTAATGCCCATGAGACGACAAGACCAGGTTCTAATTGCAGCTCTGTTACCTACTTGCTGGCTGAACCTAGGCAACTCTCTTAACGGCTTTCAACTCTGGAAGAGGAACAGGGCTGCAGGGAGGACAAGGAGATGCTGGATGTAGATCGATGTCCATTGTACATAAAGTGCAACACAAATGCATGGAAATACTATTATTATCTGCTGAAAGGGGGCAAGGTTACCAACCTGCGGAGAAGGAAGGTGATGAGCAGCAAGGAGGTGGTAATGGGAGGATGCTTTTGAGATGTGGACAGGAGTCATGAAGGTTTAGGTCAGCCCAGTAGGGAATAAGATAGGAAAACCAGAAAAGAGGGCTAGAGTTTCCTGAGCTGGAGGGAGGGTCCTCGAGCATGGATTACAGAGGTCCAGGCAGCGCACTTTGGGGAATTCTTATAAGACCCTGTGGGTAGCCTAACAGAGGAGGAATGAAGAGCTCTGAAAATTGTCAGGGGTCACTAAGATAAGAGCGAATACATTTCTGAAAATACTGACCCTAAGTCCCACACTGAGAAAAAGGAGGAGTAAATGAAGATTGATTGGGGAGCATTGATCAGGGTCAACATTTTTCCAGATTCTGGCACTATATCCCTGGCAGTATGGGAAGGGATTTCAGTTGGCAGACAGGCTCACATTAAAAGGCATAGCCATTTCAATTTTCATTCAATCTTTCCTATGACTTCCAGGACAAAGCCACTGGTTGGTGCTATTATGTTTTATGTACCTCTCTAAACTTTGTGAGTCTTGGGTCTTTATTTGAGAAAGAGAGCAATTTCAGTAGGCAACAATGTCTAGTTTGGAAATCAGCAAATCTGACCTGCTGCCTGGTTTTGTAAATAAAGGTGTTTTGTTTTGTTTGGTTTGGTTTGGTTTGGTTGGAGATGGAGTCTCCGTCTGTCATCCAGGCTGTAGTGCAGTGGTGCGATCTCGGCTTATTGCAACCTCCACCTCCCTGGTTCAAGCGATTCTCCTGCCTCAGCCTCTTGAATAGCTGGGACTACAGGCATGGGCAACCACACCCAGTTATTTTTTGTATTTTTAGTAGACAAGGTTTCACCATGTTGGACAGGCTGGTTTCAAACTCCTGACCTCAGGTGATCTGCCCACCTCAGCCTCCCAAAGTGCTGGGATTACAGCAAAGTTTTATTGGAATGCAGCCACACTCATTCATTTACATATCATCTCTGGCTCTTTCACCATGCAGTAGTCTGTTTTCATACTGCTATAAAGACATACCCAAGCCTGGGTAATTTATAAAGGAAAGAGGTTTAATTGACTCACAGCTCAGCATGGCTGGGGAGGCCTCAGGAAACTTACAATCATGGTGGAAGGGAAAGGGGAAGCAAGGCACCTTCTTCACAAGGTGGCAGGAAGGAGAAGTGCCCAGCAAAGGGGGATGAGCCCCTTAGATCTCGTGAGAACTCACTATTACAAGAACAGCATGGGGGAAACTACCCCAATGATCCAATTACCTCTACCTGGTCTCTCCCTTGACAGTTGGGGATAATGAGAATTATGTGGATTATAATTTGAAATGAGACTTGGGTCGGGACACAAAGCCAAACCATATCACACTACAATGGCAGTGTTGAATGGCTGTAACGGAGACCAACAAGATTGCCTGCAAAGCCCGAAACATTTACTATCTGGCCCAATACAGAAAGAGTTTGAGTACCCCTGGTCTGATTTAATTACAATTGTTTTGTGTTCAGTATATTTATTCCCAAGTACTTTCTGTCTAAGTCACACCAGTTTTTCACTGATGGTGACAATAACTGATTGCAGTTTTAACAAATCCATTTTTTTTTTTTGAGACGGAGTCTTGCTCTGTCGCCCAAGCTGGAGTGCAGTGGCACAATCTCAGCTCACTGCAAGCTCCGCATCCCAGGTTCACGCCATTCTCCTGCCTCAGCCCCCCGAGTAGCTGGGACTACAGGCACCCGCCACTATGCCCGGCTAATTTTTTTTGTATTTTTTTAGTAGAGACAACAAATCCATTTTTAAAAATTAACAAAATAATATAGCATTAACAAACGAATGTAATATTCTATAAGTAAGAGACACAAATTGCAGGGAATGGTACACTTAAACAATAAGTGAAGCTTGATAAACACTGGATTACGAGATTAGGGGGCGTTGAGGGATTTGAGGATGGTGAAGATAAAGAGCCACTTTGGTAGAGGTAAGGGATCTGAAAGATAAAATGGATCTGGGAAGAGGAGTTCATGAAAATAAAGGATTTGTACCCATCGAAGAATGGTGAGACAGCACTGCACGTCCTAATAGATTTAGTGAGGGTAGTATGGGGAGGCCAAGGGCCAGGCAGCTGCTACCAAGTGAAGCCCAGGTTGGTAAAGGGGAGAAAATGATGGTGCCAGAGAGTCATGGATGGATGCCTTCCAACCTGGGTTTTTCCTTACATAAGCATCATGGCAGAAATGTAAAGATTCCCAGCGGCAACCACAACAATAACACTTGTCCCTGTTTACAGAGTGCGGGTTCTAAACACTTCACACCCATGCACTCACTTACGCCTCACAGTAATCCTATGAGGAAATTGAGGCACAGAGAGGGTAAGTGACTTGCTCAAGGTCACACAGCAAGTGAGTGGCACAGCTAGGCACTCTACTAAGCTCTGCACCATGAAAAGGTAGGCAGACCTAATGAACAGGCCGGCATGGCTAGACCCACCCAACATCTGAGCCTGCCACCCAGGATGTGACTGGGCCTTTGTCATTCATGGAGTCAGGTCTGGGATCTGTGACGCTGGGTCAGCTGAGCACCTAGCTAGTCCATCCTGGTGTCAGTTGCCTGCCCTTTAGGATCCAGGTCATGGAGAGGCTGTCATCTGGTGACATCACGGATGACAAATCATGATGACTTTGCCAAGGGAGTGACAACGTCTCAGTTGCCGAGAAGAGGCGGAGCTGTGAGACAGCAGCAGAAAGACAAACCTCTCAGAGGCACAGGGGTGGCTGCAGCCCCAACAGCCCAGCAAAATCGCAGAAGGAGAGAGGCAGAGGGGCCCTCAGTGACCAAATTGGAAGTTGCAGGCCAGGGGCTAGGCGTCCACCTGTGCCTTCCACACCATGTTATGGTTCAGAAAGCAAATGTCCAGAGGAGTGTAACAGATGCCTACTGTCTTATACTTCCCTGTTTTTGCGATTTTTTTCTGAAATTATTAAATTGCAATATAATCTGAAATTATACCATTCATGTGTTAATTATTGCCTCCACTCTTAGCATCTTATGTCTGTGATGTTAGGTCAAGATCAAGATCATACTTGATCTTGATCCTGCTGCCTGACCCATAGTAGGTGCTAATAATATTGGTTCAATTTAAATCCCACTTCAGCTCAAACTTCAAAATGTGTAGGGGTCACTTAGGGTTACCCACTCGTGGAGAATGAGCACCTTGGCTTGGTGAATAGAGGTGACAGCAGCCAGAACCCAAGCAGGGTGAGAAGACCCCACCTTCTCAGCCTCTCGCCCAGGGACACAGACATAGCCAACAGCACCTCCGTGTCCCCAGGAGAGACAGGGAGGGGTTGAAGCAGTGCCTGCTGGCATGGAGGGCCACCTTCAATGGGGTGCTGACTTTGCAATTATGTTTTTTCTGAAAACTTGGCTTGAGAGTCTAAATTTTCTATCTATACTACAGCTAGAAATCAAAGGATGTCCAAATAAACAAACAAACCTTTTAGGTATTGCTATGGGCTGTGGTTGAATTCTGTCCTCCCAATTCATATGCTGAAATCCTAACCCCCAGTAACTCAGAATGGGACTTTATTTCGAAGTAGGATCTTTGCAGATCTAATTAGTTAGGATGAGTTCATACTGGAGCAGGATGGTGCTTCTTATAACAGGGGAGATGTGGACACAGACATGCGCACATGCGCACAGGGAGAACGCCATGTGAAGATAAAGGCGGAGATCAAAGTGGTGCATCTACAAGGCAAGGAACGTCACAGATGGCCAGCAAACCACCCAGAGCTAGGGCTGAGGCCTGGACCCCATTCTCCCTCACAGCCCTCAAGGGAACCAACCCTGGAGACACCTTGATCTCAAGACTTCCAGGATCCAGAACTGGGAGATGATACATTTCTATTGTTCAAGCCACCCTGGCTGTGGTGCTTTGTTACAGCAGCCCTGGCAAAGCATGCAGCTATTTCCAGCTGTGGATCCAGCCTTGGCAAGTGAGGAAGTCACAAAGGATCTCCGTGAGAAGAAGAGGGTGGTGGTGTTCTTCTTGCTAACGGGGGTGCAGCAAACTGCTCTCTGATCACCTGCCCCTCGTCCACGCCTGCCTCCGCCCAGGCAGTTTCTGGTTCCCACACTTGGAGCCACCCTCCTTACTCACTTTCATCTCCCTTCTTTTCTTTCTAGCCTGCCCCCCTCCAGGGCTCCAGACTCACCTGGCTTTGCATCAAACGTCCCAGTAGGTCTCTCCCAGCTGTGCAAATACCGAGGCTGCCTCAACACACAGGAGTGGTAACTTTGGGAAACAAGAGTAAGAAAGATACACAGGGGCAGAGGTGGAGGGGCACTTCACAGCCTGGCCAGTCACCTGGAGTGGGGCCATGGTTAGCGATTTGCCAGAATGGCCAGGTATTATGAGAGAGAACGCAGACCGCGGAACTGAGAGTATGATGTGGCCCAGTTAGATGGGACTACATTGACCAACCATGCCAGTTGACCCAGAAACAAAGGATTTTCCAGCATGCAGAAATTTTAGTGCTAAATTGTTGTCCATGGTGGACTAGAGCCACACACACAGGACTCTGCAAAGGGACCTGGGAACCTGTATATGGCTAGACCAGGACTCATTAGCCCAGCCCTGTGCAGACACAGCAGCAGTGCTTGTCCTGGCACTGGGAAGAGGCCATTGCTGTCCATCAATAGTTTTTCCCAAGAGACTCTCTCCTACAGGGGGAACAAAAAATTGAAAGAGTCATGGCTTCCCCAGCAATGTGAGGTGTTTCTGTAGGTACCTGGCCCCTTCCGAGGACCTAGTGGGACAGGAGGCAAGTACTGAGATGGAGATTGGCCTCAGCTACTTCCCACTTTGAGGTGTCCAGAGTGTTCACCTGGCTTGGCTCAAGTCTCGTGGCGTTTCAGATCCTAAGAGCTATGGTTTAGGTCATCCCCTGCCACCTTCCCCAAAATATTTTCTGAAAGTTTCTTTCTCATCCTGGCTTATTTTACACATAGAAAAATGAAGGCCGGGCATAGTGGCTCATGCCTGTAATCCCAGCACTTTGGGAGGCGGAGGCGGGCGGATCACCTGAGGTCAGAGTTCGAGACCAGCCTGGCCAAGTAGAGTTTGAAACCCCATCTCTAATACAAATACAAAAATTAGCCAGGCATGGTCATGGGCACCTGTAATCCCAGCTATTCCAGAGGCTGAGGTGGGAAAATTGCTTGAACTTGGGAGGCAGAAGTTGCAGTGAGCCAAGATCGCACCATTGCACTCCAGCCGGGGCAACAAGAATGAAACTCTGTCTCAAAAAAAAAAGGAAATCAGATCCACCTACTTATTCTCACCCTCTGGGGAAGGCAAAAGTGAGAGTGGAAATTATTTTCTTCATTTATCTGGGTAAACTGAGGCCCAGAAAGGTTTGGTGCCCTGTTCTAGCCTCCCTGTGAATCAGGGACAGAGGGGTGGCTGTCTGCAGCCCTGCCAAGGACTGCCGCTGCATTTTCCTCATTTGATGTTCACCCCCACACCCGCCGTGAGCAGCCACGGGGATAAGATCGCTCCCATCAATGTAGAAGGGATGCAGGCAGTGTCTGGAAGGGCTTACAGGGTCATCTATTATGAGAAAGAAAATGAACATAAAATGAGTTCATGTAGAAAACACAGAGGCAACAGGCCCCGGAAACATCCCTTGACTTTTGCCTGGGAATTGCCCTTTGGTCCACACAGAATCCACTGCAGGAAGAGGCCAGAAGTTTCTTCTCACCCTGTTGTCTTCTCTCTGTCCCCTCTGTCTTTTCCATCTCTACCCCTTTCCCGCCCTTATCCTTACTGTCCATTATCCTAGGGAACTCAGATCCTTCCGTCTGCAGAGTGAGGGCTCTACAAGAAGGCAAAACTTCTCTTGCTAACATGGACCAATTCTTACAGCAACGCTTCAAAATCGATTGATCTTACAAACTCTTGTCTATGTCCTTTACATAAAACCTTTTCCCCCAAGGAAGAGAGTAGGGCAGGGAGGTGAAGAGGAATGGAAACTCCACCACTCCACCCCGCTATACTAGATGAAGCAGCTGTGTCTCAGAAACAGGGCACTCAGGCTCTCTGGCTTCCAGGGATTAGAGAACAAGGCACAGATCAGCCCCTCCCCCAGAATCACAGGACCGCCAACTTGGCAGATGCATCCAAGGGCACCCTGACTCCTCTGCCACATGGATTGTAGGTCCCAGCGATGAGCAGCCCAATTAACAGTGATGTCAGACTGTTTGGGTCCAGATCATTCCTGAGCCATGAAACAGTTAAGAAATATCCTGCCCCACTGGCTGCCGTGCTCATAAAGGTAGACCCACGTGTACTTCCCTGTGGCTCCAAGAAGCGCCAGCTCGCTCATTTGCTCACACCCAGCAGGCAGAGAAGGCAGCAGCAGGCAGGACCGCCACCCTCCCATGCAAATCACCCCCGGGAGTGCAGCTGGGCTCCTCCCGCTCCTCCTGGGCAATGCTCCTGGGGAGTCTGTGGGGAAGATGCCATCCAGGGCGCTGTGCGCTCTTCCTCATCCTCGCCCTCCTGCTGGACGCGGTCGGCCTGGTCCTTTTGCTGCTGGGGATCTTGGCCCCCCTGAGTTCCTGGGACTTCTTCATCTACACAGGTGCCCTGATCCTGGCTCTCAGCCTACTGCTCTGGATCATCTGGTATTCCCTCAACATTGAGGTGTCTCCTGAAAAACTGGACCTGTAATTTGGCCATGGGAAGAGGAGAAGAGACGCAGGTGCTGTATGCAGACATGTCTGTGAACCTGGGGCTCTTGGGCAGCAACACGTTGCAGCTTCCACCTAGCAAGCCACGCCGGGACCAGGTGAGTGCACACAAGACCTACCTGGCAGGGTGGCCAGAGAGGCTTGGACAAGCAGGGGCAAGACCAGGCCTCCTGAGGCTGCATAAGCAAATAGCCAGACACTGCACCCTGACTGGGGATCCTGTGGCCCTGGCCTCAGGTCCTGCTGGGGTGGCCAGCCAAGAGGACGTGGGGCAGGTGTTTTCTCCTCCGGGCCCTTTTCCTCGCAGAGGCTGGAAAGAGAGTCTCAACAGCCCCTTCCACCCCTGATATACCACGAATGATCCTGGCTTCTGGGCACAATGGGAAGTTATCCCTTTACCTCGGAACTTGGGGACAAAAAGACCCCATCTGCATTCTCTGTTGGGAAGAATCTCTGCTGGGGAGAAAAGTCTTTAGCACAGGAGAGGACGGAAAGTTCCCCAATGACTCTTGTGCCCTTGCATACATGAAGGGGTGTGAACTGGGCCACGGTAAAAGCAAACAGAGCAGAACCACCCAGAACGGCCCCTCTCGTTCACTTCCTCCCTGCACCTGCCCAGATGGGATACAAGAAGCGGGGTAGGGACTACTCGCCTCCATGCCCACTCAGTGCACACACCTCCTCTCTCTGCAGTATTCCCACCCCACCCTCACTCACACTCACACGCAGCCAACACATGTGCCCAGCCAGTCTCCAAGGCCCAGAAGTCAAGACAGTTTGGCTTCATGGATTTCATCCGCTGAGTTGCATGTCACAGCTCAGTCTATCGCGTGCAACCAAAGAGGCAGAGAGTTGTAAGATTTTTTCACATCAAGACAGAGTCCCAGAGATAGAGTGGTCTGGTCCTTACAACCCTGAATTAGAGATGGACAGCTGTCTCCAGGGGACTGAAGTCAGAGCCACGGTCCATTGGGCAGCCATACCCTCCTCCCCAGGTGGGCCCAACCTGCACGCAGGTGTATCCAGGCACTCCCGTTTCTTACTCCCTTACCAGAAGTAAGAGCAAAGGTCGTTGCTGAGTTGAAAGAAGGAAATAATAATTGTGTCTTTTGTGGGGGATTACACCTGACTCTCAGAACTCAGAGAAAAGAGAAGCAAAATGAAGAGGTCTCAGTAGAGTAAGGTAAGCCCATACCTAGGAAATGATGTAGAAACAGATGAGAAGTCAGTCCCACTCTGATCTTCAGCACTTGTTAGCTGGGTGTTTTTGGCCAGGTTGCACACTCTGAGCCTCAGGATTCTCATCTGTAAGATGAAGAGAATATTTCTGGCCCTTATTGCTGCAAGGATCGAAAAGAGATAAGGCAGGGAAAGGCTGTACAATTGATGTGGTTCTTACACCAGATGTCAAGCATACAAAACACATAATCTGGGATGAGTTAACTGACCCAAAGTCCAAATGTGAAGTACCTTGGTGTCTCTCAAATTGGTAGTGATGGGGGTCAACTCACACTTTGCATCAGGAAACTTCAGAGCAAAAAGGGTCCCTGATTTGTGTGCTGGTATGTTGGAATGTGTCAGGCACTGTGCAAGACACTGGGGATAAGAAATGAGACACATGGACCAGGCACAGTGACTCATGCCTGTAATCCCAGCACTTTGGGAGGCCGAGGCGGGCAGATCACTTGAGGTCAGGAGTTCAAGACCAGCCTTGGCAACATGGTGAAACCCCATCTCCACCAAAAATACAAAAAATTAGCCACGCATGGTGATGCACACCTGTAATCCCAGCTATTCAGGAGGTTGAGGCAGAAGGATTGCTGGAGCCCAGGAGGCACAGGCTGCAGTGAGCAGAGATTGCACCACTGCATTCCAACCTGGGCGGCAGAGTGAGACCTGTCTCAATTAAAAAAAAAAAAAGACACATGACGTGGGGGCTCTACTCTCAGGGAGTTTACCATCAGGTGAGAAAGACAGACACTCACCAAAGATTCACACTTACAAAAGTACAATAACAAAGTCAGGTCTGCTCTAGGAAGGAGAGGAGCATCCTGCCACAAGAATATTCAATAGAGAAACTGACTCAGAAGATGGAGTCAGGGAAAGCTTCCTGGAGGAGGTGATATTATGCTGAATGCCAAAGGAAGAGTGGGAGGTGAATGGAAAGTCTTTCAGGGAGAGGCAATGGCTTGGGCAAAGGTCCTGGGATAACAGGAAATAAAAGACGACAGGGAGATTGAAGGGCAGAGAGCAAATGTCGGTGAGGGTTAGGGCTCTGTGGTAGACAGAGGCCAGATCTGGCAGGGCCTCGAGGGCCCTCTGAAGGATTTTGGTCATTACTTGAAGAACAATAAGAATCCACTGAGGGCTGGGTGCTGTGGCTCACACCTGTAATCCCAGCACTTTGGGAGGCCGAGGTGGGCAGATCACGAGGTCAGGAGATCGAGACCACAGTGAAACCCTGTCTCTACTAAAAATACAAAAAATTAGCCGGGCGCAGTGGCAGGCGCCTGTAATCCCAGCTACTTGGGAGGCTGAGGCAGGAGAATGGCGTGAACCCGGGAGGCGGAGCTTGCAGTGAGCCGAGATCGCACCACTGCACTCCAGCCTGGGTGACAGAGCGAGACTCCGTCTCAAAAAAAAAAAAAAACAGTAAAAAGGAATCCATTGAAGAGATATAAGCAGAGGCAGGGGCTTAACATAATTGGACCTGTGTTTCCAAGAGACCACCCCGGCCACAGTATAGGTTATTATGGTTATGATTATTACCGGCTGAAACCCATTTGGGGAGCCAAGACAAGTACCCAAACAACACAGAGTCCCCAGTGTGAGGCTCCGTGCCCTGAACAGCCTTCCCTCATTGAACAGAAGTTCAATAGCCCGGCGTTGAAGAGCATGGGCCATACCTAGACTCTGGCTTGAATCCAGTTTTATTCCTTTCTAGCAACGTGACTTGGGGCAAGTTACTTCACCTCTCCGTGCCCCATTACTCCAAATATGTAAAATGGAGATGGTGCTAATAATAGCCACTACGTCATAAAGATGTTGCCCAGATTAGGTGGATTAATATTTGTTCAGCACTATGCAAGTGATGACTAAATAAAGCGTCAGTCACGATGCAGGTAGCCAGCACATTACAGAGGGTGAGGCCCTGACGCATTACGATCAGTTCTAATGGCAATGTACAACATTAGGATTTTTCAGTAGATATGAGACTGAATGCTGCTCCAGAATGCTAGAGTTTTGTCCTGGTTCAAAGAAACTTTAGAAGTTTTAATATGTTCTTTATTGTATTCTTTACTGCATCTCCATCCCCTGACACATTTCAGGGATGGCCCAGAGTGACAGATTCGTGTGTGCTGAGTCCTGCTGTTCAGGACGTTGCTCACTTATGGGGCTGCCCAACCCTCCTCCACCCCATGGCCTTGGGCGAATCATTTTACTTCCCTTTAGAGTTAAAGATGTGGTTTCCGGCCAGGCCTGGTGGCTCACGCCTGTAATCCCAGCACTTTGGGAGGCTGAGGCGGGCGGATCACGAGGTCAGGAGATCGAAACCATCCTGGCTAACACGGTGAAACCCTGTCTCTACTAAAAATACACAAAAATTAGCCGGGCATGGTGGCGGGTGCCTGTAGTCCCAGCTACTTGGGAGGCTGAGGCAGGAGAATGGCGTGGACCCGGGAGGCGGAGCTTGCAGTGAGCCGAGATCACGCCACTGCACTCCAGCCTGGGCGACAGAGCCAGACTCCGTCTCAAAAAAAAAAAAAAAGATGTGGTTTCCAAGGGAGGTTTCAAACTGTGTTCTGCCAATGTCCCTGGAAGGGAATTGGGCCTGGGGTGAGGGGCAGAGTGAGGGGACAGGAGTCCAGCAGCCCTACCCACCCCGTAACACACATTTCACCCAGAACAGTGGAGCTCTCAGCAGCTTTGCACATTAAACTGGCACGTAAGACTTTACATGAACACAAGTTTCTGATGCCAAAAAATATTTGAAAAGCAGCTCGTCTCACTTCCCCTACAGCCTACGACCTTTGGCCTATATGTCAATTCCAGACACATTCACGATTTACGGGCAGATTGTAACTGGCTTTGCCAGCTCTCTCATTCTCAGAGCGGGGTAAAAGGAAAGAATGTGGGCTCCCTGCATTCAGAGCTGATGCCCACATTCCTAGCTCAGCCTTCAGAGGCTCTGTAAGATGAGGTTGAGGCCGGGCATGATAGCTCATGCCTGTCATCCCAGCACTTTTGAAGGCCAAGGCCAGAGGATCACTTGAGGCCAGAAGTTGGAGACCAGCCTGGCCAACATAGTGAAACCCCGTCTCTACTAAAAATACAAAAAATAGCCAGGCATTGTGGCATGTGCCTGTAACCCCAGCTACTTGGGAGGCTGAGGCAGAAGAATAGCTTGAACCTGAGAGGCGGAGATTGCAGTGGGCCAAGATCGTGCCACTGCACTCCAGCCTGGGCGGCAGAGCAAGACTCCATCCCCCAAAAAATAAAAAATTAAAAAATGAGTTTGATAGGACCTGCCCCCACCCTGCCCCAGAGATGAGGAGGTCCCATGCTCGGTCAGGACAAGGCAGGGGCCTGGCTGCCCCACAAGCCTTCTGCCCACAGCCTGCGTGGTTCTCCAGAGAGAGGGCAGGGTGGCTGCTAAACCTCAAAGGCACCCCCAGGAAGTTTCAGGGCGAGTGGCTGATTTTTATAGATCAACTGTGCTCCAAGAGAGACAAGCTGCCGTTTGATTTTATCACCTGGTCACTGTATTTTCAGATTTTTTTTTTTGCTCCATTTTCCACTTCTTGGTTATTTCCTGCAGATAAAGATAAGTCCCCAAGCAAAGTCAGATGAAGACTCTTGTCCTTTTTTAATAGGGTGTCCAAGACTACACACCCAAACAATACACACACACCAACACCCCACACACGTACACACACATCCCTCTTCTACTCCACGTGTTCATGCACACACAAACACGCCCCCCACACACTCACACCTACCACACACATCCAGAAACACACACTCACAGAAACAAACACACCCACCACACACTCACACCTACCAAACACACACCCAGAAACACACACTCACAGAAACAAACACACCCACTCTCACACCAACCAAAGCCAAAAGGCTAACAGCCTTGAGCCTTGGAAAATGAAACTTGTTCCTCCACTTCGACTTTTTCCAACAGGCAGCCTCTCCCCTCTGCCCACAGAGGAGGCCAGTGGAGCTGCCAAGTCAGCTCAAAGGTGAGCCTGGTAAAAAGCCCTCCTCTCCTGCTCAATGAATCTGTGCCCCATGCAGACATGGTGCCAGGGCTGTGTGGAGGAGCAAACATTTCTCTAATCTCTCCAGGGATTTTTAATCTAAGGGGAGAGATAAAGCATGTGCACGATACTTCACAAAGTTTCCAAGGGAAAATGCATTGCAGGAGATAAGCACAGTCTTGCCAGGGCTCTGAAAGCTGAGAGGAGGCACAGAACCTCCTGGCTGGGGGAAGCGTGCTGTGTGTGGTTCTGGCTGGGCTGCTAAGGAACAGGTAAGAATGTGACAAGTAGAGATGGCACAGGGACAGCAGCCGTGGGTGGTGGGTAGGGGGCAGTCCAGGCAAAAGGAAGGACTGCAGAAATGAAAGAATTAGGGTGTCTAGGAAAAGCTAAGCAGGCACATTTGCCTGGGGGTTGGAGTCTTCAGTGCCGGCTGTGCAGGACTTTGAACACCAGGTGAGGAGTCTGACACTAGGAGAGGAGGGAGGAGTCTTCAGTGGTGTTAGATACTAGAGAGCAACATGATCAAGCTTTGCCTGTAGAAGAGTAACTGAGCATCGTGTGCAGAATGGATGAGAGAGAAGCAGCAGAGAGACAGCAAGGCCATTCAGCAAGCTCAGGTGGCAGGTAATAAAAGGGTTCAAGCTGAAATGATGGCCACGGAGGGGAGGGGAGAAGAGCAGAGACTGCATGAGTGGAGAACGGCCTGTCCTGTTCTACAGCAGATCGGGGGTGGCATTGTCAAAGCCTTCAGAAAGCGCCCCTGGGGCATGGAATGAGGGAGGTCAGAAAAAGGCATGAGTTTGTTTAAAATGATTCATTTTCTTTTGAACATGCAGAGTTTGATATGCAAATCGTATACGAGCAGAACTACCTAATTGGCATTGAATGTGCAGATTTTAAACTCAGAAGAAAGATCAGATGTGGAGGGAGAGGTTAGGGGTTAGAGACATGTGGATGAGATTACAGAGGGTGAGGATGTAGAGAGAAAAGGGATTGGGAGAGTGAGGAAGGAAGGAAGGAAGGAAGGGAGGGAGGGAGGGAGGGAGGGAAGGAGGGAGGGTGAGAGGGAAGGAAAGGGGGGAGGAAGAAAGGAGAAAAGAACACTAAGATTCACTGAACCAGGCCCTAGGGTTGCACATTATCCCATTTCACCCTATCAACAAGGCCATGAGGAAAGTAGTATTATCATCATAATCATTATTATTCCTCTCTATTACAGATAACGATAATAAGGTGTATGGAGGTTAAGTAACTTGCCCAGCATAATGGAACTAGGCAGTGATCGAGCCAGATTGTAAAACCAGGTATATCTGACCCTGTGGTTTATGCTCTTTCCATAAGACCAGGGGTAGGCAACTACAACCTATGGGCCAAATCTGGCCCACCTCCTGTTCTTGTAGATAGTGTTTTATTGGAACACAGACTGGCTCGTTCACTCTCATATTATCTATGGCTGTTTCATGTTATAGTGGCAGGGTCGAGCAATGGTAACAGAGACTATGTGGCCTGCAGAGCCTATGACATTTACTACCTGGCCCTTTACAGAAAACATTTGCCAGCCCCTGGCCTAGTCACGTATGTTTCCTATAGGAGCCAAGTCAGAACCTTGATCCATGCCTGCATGTGGGGAACGGGAAAAGGAAAGCAGATGGAAGAGCCCAAATGGAAGTTCCCAGTAATAATAAGGAAGAGACGTTATGCCAATGGCAAAGAGGACAAAGAAGGACAATTATCAAGAGTGAGGGGAATTGACCATCAAACACTTCAAAGCCATCAAAAAAAGGCTGAAGCCTAAGGAAAGGCAGTTAGGCAGACCCAGCAATGTGCCTTTCTCAGTAAATGGTGGAGACAGAAATCAGATGATGCTACTTATCGGGTGGCTGAAGATGGGTGAGGAGTGAGTGCAGATTCATCTTCAAAGTATTTGGTGATGAGATTAAGAGGGTAGGGCAGTCACCTGCTGGCATAACCGTGCTAAGGTGGGAATTCTTAGAGAAGGGATATAGAACATTGAGCAAGACGGTAAGTGGAGGAGAGAAAGTCAGCAGAGAGGAAAAGAGGATGCTGACGTGATAGACGAAGATGAACCTGTGATCACATCCAAGGTGGAGGTTGAGGCAGAATCCAGAGAGCAGAGAGAGGTAGGCATCGGCTTTGCCTGCAAGGAAGGGTAAGGAGAGGAAACTAAGATTTGATGAGAATCTTGATATTTATTAAGCCAATCACTTATTTTCATGATCTCATTCAGTGCTTACAACTCTGTGAGTGCGGGATTCAAATTTCCATTTTCCAGGCAAAGGAAGCTGAGTCTCATGTGGTTTCAGGGCTAGCCCAAGGTAACAGTGCCATGGAGAGGCTGCTCTAGGATTCAAACCTACGTCTGGCAACTCCAAAGACTATGCTGGTTTCACCACACACAGGCTTGAAATTGATGGATTTGGGTTGGGGGCTGATCCATTTTATCTTCCTTTGTTCAACACAGGTCCCATCTGATGGAGGAGAATCAATTCAAGGAGATGCCCTTCCTTTACAGAACACCCTTTAACAGCATCCAGGAGGAACGAGAGGCTGCAATACTGAGGCTTTCAAAGTACTCACGAGGATGTCCGAGAATGGCTGTGATGCCAGGCTTCTGGCAGGTTCCAGACTCCATCACAAGCCCAGCATCCCTGCACCAGATCTGACATCGCTGCTGTTGTGCCAGCTGTTTATGAAGGGCCTGAGTAGCTAGCAGGTTTTTATCAGGAGCCCTGCTGGGGGCTTAGACACCAAAAGAGAAGACTCATCCTCTGTAGTTCTTCTTGTGAATGTCCTTTTAGAAAAACAATTAGAACCAACCACAAGCACCAAAGTCCTAATGGGATCTCCTGCGAGCACATATCAAGCAGGATTGTTGCTATTTCTCCTCACTGGCTCTTTGGACAGACTGTGTGAGCTCCTGGAGGGTTCCACTGTATCTACCCTTTGACACTGACCAGTTGGCACATGGTGACATATTCCAATGTGTTGATTGCAAATGTGAACGTACAGCCAGTGCTGTGTGCGGGAGGACTCTCTCCTCCTCAGTGGGGCCACACCGTGCACTATTAATGGAGCCCCACTCCTTTGCACAGCCTGGCCATGCAGTGGCTCATATTGAGGTTTTAGCCAACTGAAATCTCCCGTGCATTTTTCTGACAAGCCAGCTAGGCCTCTGCTATGCTGTCCTTGTGTCTTTCATTTGATGACCTTAAGGGTGGGACTGTTTTATCTTAAGTTACAGGTGGTCAAGTCCAGCCCAAGGACAGCAACTCTGAGGGTCAAGCCTCATAGGCTAACTGGATAGATGTTCTCTGCTTTGCCACCCACTGGAGCCCGACCTGCCCCACTAATTTATATTTCCCCTGGTCTCATTTTGTACTTTTTATTTATAATTCACCCTTAAAGTGTATGTGTCTCTTATAAGCTGCCTCCGATCTTTCATGGTATGAGGTGGTTACCTAAATAAAGAAGGAGATTTGGCCTTTGTTTTTATGTAACAGGACAGATTTGCGAGTCTTTGTGATCTCATAACAGTTCTCCCAGTTTTAGGATATCCTTTTCCCATTTGTTTAACCTGCCTTGGTGCAAATCCTGTAATTCTGCACTCAGTACAGTGCCTCCAGGGAAGGGACACGTAGAACACGGTGTGATAAAGACAGAGCAAGGATGGGCGCTGTGGCTCACGCTTGTAATCCCAGCACTTTGGGAGGCCAAGGCGCGTGGATCACGAGGTCAAGAGATGGAGATGGTCCTGACCAACATGATGAAACTCCGTCTCTACTAAAAATACAAAAATTAGCTGGGGGTGGTGGCATACACCTGTAGTCCCAGCTACTTGGGAGGCTGAGGCAGAATAATCGCTTGAGCCCAGGAGGCAGAGGTTGCAGTGAGCCGAGATCATGCTACTGCACTCCAGCCTGGTGACAGAGCGAGACTCTGTCTCAAAAAAAAAAAAAAAAAAAAGACAGACCACAGGTTATCCTGACACCATGAAGTCTTCTGGCATCTCTGTGCTCTGCCACCAGTCTACTATCTCTGAATTGGGCTGGACTCAGAAACCTGAGGAGCTATCACAAAAGAGCATTTGGAATTAAGAAGAAAGATTTCTTTCCTACTCAGAATCTCCCCCAACCATCTTCACTTGTAATCCTCTTCATCTTCCCAGTTGGAAGTTTCTTTCTATGTCTGAACTGACTGTACACCGTGAGGGGCCAGAGCCTCTTACCTGGGGTTCTAAAGTTCACAGGGAAGGAAAAGTTGCATGTAAT